>NC_000003.12:112493452-112796483 GCF_000001405.40 Homo sapiens
AGAAAAAAACAAACAACCGCATCAAAAAGTGGGCAAAGGATATGAACACACAGTTCTCTCTGTTTTTTTTTGGAGACAGAGTCTCACTCTGTTACCCAGCTGGAGTGCAGTGGTGCAACCTGGCTCACTGCAACTTCAGTCTCCTGGGTTCAAGCAATTCTGCCTCAGCCTCCCAAGTAGCTGGTCTTACAGGCGTGTCCCACCACGCCCAGCTAATTTTTGTATTTTTAGTACAGACAGGGTTTCACTATGCTGGCCAGACTGCTCTTGAACTCCTGACCTCAAATGACCCGCCCTCCTCAGCTTCCTGAAGTGCTGGGATTACAGGCGAGAGCCACTACACCCAGCCTAAACAGACACTTCTCAAAAGAAGACACTGGCTGGGCGCGGTGGCTCACGCCTGTAATCCCAGCACTTTGGGAGGCCGAGACAGGTGGATCATGAGGTCAGGAGATCAAGACCATCCTGACTAACACGGTGAAACCTTCTGTACTAAAAATACAAAAAATTAGCCAGGCGTGGTGGCAGCCGCCTGTAGTCCCAGCTACTCGGGAGGCTGAGTTAGGAGAATGGCATGAGCCCGGGAGGCAGAGCTTGCAGTGAGCGGAGATTGCGCCACTGCACTCCAGCCTGGGCGACAGAGCGACACTCTATCTCAAAAAAAAAAAGAAGACATTTATGCCACCAACAAACATAAGAATAAAAGCTCAACATCACTGATGGTCAGAGAAATGTAAATCAAAACCACAAGGAGATAACATCTCACGCCAGTCAGAATGGTGATTATTAAAAAGTCAGGAAACAATAGGTGCTGGCAAGTCTGTGGAGAATTAGGAATGCTTTTACACGGTTGGTGGGAGTGTAAATTAGTTCAACCATTGTGGAAGACAGTATGGCAATTCCTCGATCTAGAACCAGAAATACCATTTGACCCAGCAATCCCGTTACTGGGTATATACTCAAAGGAATATAAATCATTCTACTATAAAGACACATGCACACGTATGTTTATTGCAGCACTATTTACAATAGCAAAGACACGGAACCAACCCAAATGCCCATCAATGATAGACTGGAAAAAGAAAATATGGTACATATACACCGTGGAATACTATGCAGCCATAAAAAAGAATGAGATCATGCCCTTTGCAGGGACATGGATGAAGCTGGAAGCCATCATCCTAAGCAAACTAACACAGGAACAGAAAACCAAACACTGCATGTTCTCACTCATAAGTGGAAGTTGAAAATGAGAATATATGGACACAGAGAGGGGAATAACACAAACCAGAGCCTGTTGGGGAGTAGGGGGAGAGGAGAGGGAACTTAGAGGATGGGTCAATAGGTTAAGCAAACCATCATGGCACACGTATACCTATGTAACAAACCTGTACATTTCTGCACATGTATCCTGTTTTCCTTTTTTAGAAGAAATAAAGAAAAAAAAGAGTAGATAATAATATCAAGAGTAATTTATAGAAGACTTTTGTGAACTCCAAATTTTTATTTGTGGTTGATTCCCAATTGTCACCCAATGTTACTTTAACAGGACTATTAAACTAATGAAATGTTGGACTAAAAGAAAAAAAATTAGCTAAATATACACAGCACTGAATGGCATGCCATGCACTATTCTAAGTGTTTTACAGAATTAATTCACTTAATAGTCACAACAACCTTATAAGATTATTCTCCCATTTTTTTAGATGAGAAAACTGAGAACCAGAGATTTTATAGTCACAAAACCATTAAATGGCAGACATAGGATACTAATCCATGGAGTCTGGCTTTAGAGTCCCTGATCTTAGCCACTATACCACACAGCTTCTCCAAGGAAAAAAGAAAATGATTATTTTTTGGACCTGATTACAAATGCCTGTAAATATTTTTCTTTTAACAATTCTGAACTCTACATAAAGATGAAACTCACAAATAATGGAAATTAAGTAGGAAAGTCCCAATGAGGCAAGATAAATAGTTTTGACGTCAACTTTACAATAGAGGAAACTTTGGTAGTAGGACAGAGGAAGCAAGAAATTTAAAAACTTCTCTGTGATAGGAAAAGTATATTCAAGGCTGCAATGAGCACAAGGTTAATCTTTTCATGCTTTAATTCAAGAAGTCCTGTAACCACAGAATGCATTCCTAAACATTTATTTAATATATGGCAGGCATTGTTGTAACAATACATAGGCACTTGGCAGAAGACAGAGCTCTATCTCTAGCATTCCTCCATATGCACATTTCAATAAGAACAAATAGCTGAAGCCATAGAAATATGCCTTATAAAGATACTGTGCTACAAAACCTGAACTTCAAGGAATGATATTTTTTGACCCAAAGATATGGCCAGTTTGTAGTAGAGCAAAACAATCTGTGTGGGATGTGGAACACGGTGTTTAAAAGCTGGTCCATGGACCATACTGGACCATCATAATAAAGGGAAAAAAATGACACAAGCCAGACCAAAATGGAGACATAGCCCTAACCACTGTATTCTCAAAAGAGCCAGAATACAGGTGTCTTTCCCTTACTGAACCAGACTAGGATTGCTTTTTTTAAAAATCACAATAACCAGTAATCAATCAAACAGTTCCAACTGCCTTTATTCTGCATCATATATGGTGTTGGTGATACCCAGACATTAACTGCAGTGTTCCTGCCTGCCTAAAAGTGGAATCCTTGGTTGATCCTCAACTGAACTAGGGTCTAGGGCAGCCTCAGACAAATGGTCCAGGATGACAGGGCAGGCAATGGACAGAGACACTTCCACTTGCAGTCTAGATCTTGCCAGCATGATCTGCCCATGAAGGGAAGATATTGACATTTTTATTACTTCTATCAGGACAGAAACTGTATGCCACACACTGAGGGGCAAGTTTCTCTAATTTTTTAGAGAAACACAAAAAGTAAGCAAGCATACTTTTGTAATAAAGAAGGACCTTAAACAGGAAGTTTGTAGAGAACATTACATTTTTTCCAGCCTTATTATATATGCAGCCTCACTCCTAGGAACAAGGACACGGATCTCACATTGCTTTGAAGTAGGGGGAAAAAATCTTCAAAGGCTATCTTTAAACACTGAAAATGTATTACTGTAAAGAACTCAGCAATTAAGTAAATCACAGGAAATCCCCAAGATATAAGGTATTTAATGTGGTTTTAAGAAATGGAGCCATCAGCTCTGCCTGGGAGAACAAATTTCACCAAATGTTCCTTCTCTTAACCTATAGCTTTAATTTAATGCAACTGCTGCTGCAATCCATTATATCAACTGGTATATATCTGACCAGTACTTCACTCAAGTCTTTCCCTTTTTTTTTTGAGTGCAGTGGTGTGATCTCAGCTCACTGCAACCTCTGCCTCCTGGGTTCAAGCTATTCTCCTGTCTCGGCCTCCCGAGTAGCTGGGACTACAGGCACCTCCCAACACACCCAGCAAATTTTTATATTTTTAGTAGAGACGGGGTTTCACCATGTTGACCAGTCTGGTCTTAAACTCCTGACCTCAGGTGATCTGCCCGTCTTGGCTTCCCAAAGTGCTGAGACTAAAGGCTAGGGCCATGGCTCCCAGCCATATTTCATTTTCTGAATAATTTGATTCACTATATTTTGGGCTAAATATATTGCAAAATATATTGTACTTATTTATTTTATTTTTAACTTTAAAAACTCAACTATTTTAAATAATAATGTTAAAACATAATTCTCATTTAATTACATAGAGGTTGCATGGTGAAAATAATTTAGGAAAAATACCACTAACATTTACTGAGCTTTAAATACGTGCACTTACTATGCGAGGCACTTTACCCATATTATTGCATCTACAGTCTTCACAGCAGCCCCATAATTTAGGTACAATTATTACCTGTATTGTACAAATGAGGAAACTAAAGAGAAGAGAAGAGACTTAATCAATGCCATACAGTAAGTGGCAGAGCCAGTAAATTAACCCAGTTCTAACAGCCAAGTTCACTTTTGCAAATGCTAGGTTGCACATTGGGAGAAATAAAGGTCTTACCCCACCATCAATGTGGTTTAGCACTGAAACTCATTGTTCTTAATTTCATAGAGAGTAGTTTATGTATCCTTCAAATGGGGAAGAAATCTATTTAATAATATTTGACTCCAGTTGTAGCTATGTGACTGTAGGCATCTGATGGAAGGTGGAAAATTCAGTCAACCATCTAAGCACCTAGTTGACTTAATACTAGATACTTACAAACATAAAGATGTTTGAGTAACTAAGGACTTTTTTACTTTGCACTTGGTTGTGTGGCATCCTGGCATCATAGAGACATATTCCAAACTACACAGTTTAAAATTATAGATAGACTTTCCATAGAACCTCAGTGGCCAGATTTTCTAATTTAAAATTGCAGTAGCCAAACTGATAAATGTGTGCTTGTAGGGAATAATAAGACAGAATATTTAAAACCTGAAAAATCACTGGGCATGGTGGCTCATACCTGTAATCCTAGCACTTTGGGAGGCTGAGGCAGGTGGATCACTTGAGGTCAGGAGCTCCAGACCAGCCTGCCCAACATGCATTGCATCCATAGCTTGGCTGACTTTCTTAAAAAACAGGTTGATGGCAAGAAAAGAGAACTGAGTAGATGTTATAAATAGTTAAGTACAAATCTATCACTACTTCTTGCGAAAATGCTCAGGCTGCCACACTGATGATGAATAGATAGCTCGTTCTTCCCAAACTGAGTGCAGTAGAGTGTTGCAGTGCTCAGTTGGGTAGGACAGATGTTGGATAATTGGGGTTATCCAACATCTCTACTAAAAATACAAAAATTAGCTGTGCGTGGTGGAAGGTGCCTGTAATCCCAGCTACTAGGGACGCTGAGGCAGGAGAATAAATTGAACCCGGGAGGAAGAAGAATCGATTGAACCCGGGAGGCAGAGGATGCAGTGAGGCGGGATCACGCCATTGCACTCCAGCCTGGGTGACGAGAGCAAAACTCTTGTCTCAAAAAAATAAAAAAATAAAACCTGAAAAATCAGAAGCTTCTGATGAGCCACTCATAGGCTTTTCCTCTTGATAATATGTGGGTTCCTATGCAATATAAGGTAGGAAGCGACTTTACAATAAAAAAGAAATTGCCTTTTTTTTTTTTTTTTTTTTTTTGCCTGTATAAAGTCTTTGCAGGGGTGGCTAAATATCATCTTTGCAGAATCCAACTTATTTTCTGTGTTCAATTGACAACCAAGTAGGAACCATTCCCTTTCAACAAAATAGAAGCAATGACGAAAAGTTCTGCTCCTATATTTTGTAGCATTTTCTCAATCGGTATTCTCAAGGCATACATCCCAATGAAGCAAGTATAGAGATTTTATTTAGAGGTAATATTATTTGAGGGTAACCATGGAGATATGTATAATTCCGATTATCCAACAACTGTCCTACCCAACTGAGCACTGCAGCACTCTACTGCACTCAGTTTGGAAAGAACGAGCTATCTATTCATTATCAGTATGGCAGCCAGAGCATTTTTGCAAGAAGTAGTGATAGATTTGTACTTAACTATTTATAACATCTACTCAGTTCTCTTTTCCTACCATCAACATGTTTTTAAGAAAGTCAGCCAAGCTATTGATGCGATGCCTATGATTAGGCAGGTGAATACTATGTTCTAATTTGGTTTATGCTCTACGATGTCTTCGGTAAGCAAATGTAACAGCTTGGTTTCATCTACGATTACCCACTTCGTATAAACGTTACACCGTACTAAGTTCAGCAAGGGAGAATGTTGCCTCCAAGACCCCCTGAGAAATAAAACCAGAAATAACCTAAGCAGGTGCCTTACCATGGATGTTCCAGATGTCCAGATATGGGATTAAGAAGAAGACCCAAAATAATTTCCCAGTTCCAAGCATGGCAGGCAATGTCTTCATTTCCTGCACATATCAGTGATGGAAAAACTGCTCAAGTAGAAGGCTTTGCTTCGTCTTCTGAGTGCTGCAGAGTTGGGTCAGTTTACCTACCCCAGTGGCATCTGTGAAATAACTAAAAAAAAAAAAAAAAGAAGAGAGAGGTGGTAAGAGAGGAGAGTAGGAAGAGCCTGGATGATTTTGTGAAAAAAAGTGAACAGAAAGACGATGTGGTACTCTGTTCTGTGGTTTTTGCTTCTTGTCAGGTTGGCTGTTCACTTTCAAACACTGTGATCTGCAAAGCAGCTCAGTCCTTAACTTCTCCTTCCGCTCTACCACGTTTTTGCCCCAGGTTGAGGTTTTTCCTGCACTCAATGTTCAGTGAAATGAGCAATTAAACTTTAAAGAAATCTGTATTGTTGCAGTCTTTAAGTTGAGATTTTAATCAAATTAAGGTCAGGAAATTTATGGTAAAACTATCAATGGTAAGTATACATTTTCCCCTTTGTGATAGCTTGTGATTATGAAACTTCTTTTATGTAAAAGATTTTAGGTTTCTTTTTTTTCCTGTACATGTCACGGTAAGATGAGGATGCTTATTGTCATTAAACCAGTGAAGATTTATCTCAGGTTATGGAGAAAATGAGTGACAGGAAGCACTTCCTCAACAGAAGAAGGAAGAGCAGCCGTCTTTAATCTGTGGATACATATCAATGGAACAAGATCATCATTAATATTGGCTACATGTTCTCTCTAGATAATAAAGTTCTAATCTAAAGGAGATCTTGAATATCAATTAAAGGAAATTTCCATTTTAAACATTCTTCATGCAGTTGTTGTCTCGATGAAGTAGAATAGAAACAGTAAAGGAAGAAATGGAAAAGTTCAAGATCAGATAGCACAGGCCACCATAGGACTGTTTTCTCCACATCCACTTGTAATAATTAGCTTAGCTTATAGTCATAGGAGCTAATCAAATTCATCTGCCATTTGAGACTCCAAATGAGAGATCTAGATTTGTGGCATTAGTGATCATTGACAGAAGTCGATTATATAAGTTTTTTCCTCAGAGACTGATGATTTTATTCCAAGGCCAAACTTCAATAGTTTTAAGTTCAAGGAAAGTTTTAAGAGCAAGGAAAGTGTATAGATTGCTGGACATTTTGACCTGACATGGGAAACTGATGGGCAATACTTAATTCAGAGCTCCCAGTTGAGTTGCCAAGGGTAAATTAAAATTAAAAAACAGTTATCATGTATTTATTGAGTCAAATAGACAATGTGCTATGGTTGGAGATGAATGATGAATGAGTTGCTATTGCTGATTTTAAAGAACTCGTTCAATCAGTATTACGACTTCCTCACATCCACCTTTAGTGTTGGTCTTATAATATAGTATAATACAGAGAGGGTACACATAGCCTTTTAGAATTTCTGTTACTAATCAAATAAACATCCTGGGAAATATTAAGGCAGTATTTTCACAGCTCCTTCCTTTTCCTGTGTTCACAGTGAGTAAAAGCTTCTTGAGGCAGCTGAAGCAAGGCTCATTGTCCCTTTAAAATGGCCCACAGGTCAAAAGCCATAACCTTATGGCTTATGGGTTACATAAGCCCAAACCAGAGAGAGATCATATTAACTTTATCTCAGCTTAAAACTGTTATGTCACTATTTTAAATATTTTTCATATAAAAAGTCCATGCTAATTAGACAAAATTCGGAAAAAATCTTATGTAGCATCTAATGTATTTTTAAAAGATTTATATATTTCTTGCTTTTATTAGCATGCCTAGCACTTTATCCCTCCACAGGTAGAGTCCTGAGTGTCCCACTGTAGATAAAACCCTGCCTCTGAATCTCACTCCTGTCTTCGTTCTAGTTAAAAAAAAAAAAAAAAAAAGGAAAGAAGCCAGACTCAGAAATTAATTAGCTCAGTAACAAGTCAATCTTGCCTTAAGCTTATAACTTTTGTAATCCCATCATAATTATGTATATTGTTTGATCCAAAAATTACAATTTTCATTTATATTTGCAAATTTAAAGAGTTTACTACATTCTTGAAAGCGATGGCATTACATATTGAAACAATTTTAAAAACATGAACGTCTAATCAGTTTTATGTTGAAAGACAAAAAGGAAATAGAATTTAGTATCTTCAAACTCTCTTTACAAACATCTCAGGAACTACTTGGAGGGCAAATTTTTCAGTTCACTTGCAGACTCAGTTGCTTTCATGAATGATGAAGCAGCTATACTTTCTGCAATATTTTTCCCCCAGGTGATCAGAGAACCAGCAATCACAAAACATGACACAGGATCCTGGAAAAGTCTTGCCCCTGATGTTAGACAACCCCAAAGAGATGAATCTTGGTACTGATCTTTTTAACTTTCCCCAAAAACATTCCATAGCTTTACTGTAAAAGTAGTCCAGCATTTAAAATCTTTGACATTTTTCTATTTGATATCATTTTTTCACTAATGTTATTGTAAGCAATAGTTTCTATACATTACTGTGTTCTATAATCAACCTGGACACTTTTTATAAAATTGGTGGAATTTTTTAATCCTATCCATTTCCATTGAATCAGAATCTCACAAGATGAAGGCCAGATATCCCCATTTTCAGAAAGCTCCAAAGGTGATTTTGATATACTAGTTTGAAGGAATATTTAGAAACCAATTATGAGTTGGCAGGGGATATAAGCTTTTGAATCACACATGTGGTATCAAAGCTTTTTCAGTTATTAGCTATAGAAGCTTTCATAGATTTTCTACGTTCTTAGAGTCTGTAGTAGACACAGAAATGCACTTCTCAGATCCCCCTTCAAGGATGTGTTTGCTCTTAGATGGGGGGAATGCAATAGGCAGAGTACATCCAACTGTAAACTTCTCCCAGGTCTGCTCAGTTGAGACACATCTTGACCAAGGTCATGCTTTCCCATGACAGCTTGCATCCAATGATGGAGCAAGGAAAGTGTACAGATTTCTGGCCATTTTGAGCTGACATGGGAAGCTGATGGGCAATACTTGATTCAGAGCTCCCAACTGAGTTGCCAAGGGTATATTAGGCCTACATCACAGTTTCTTCCTCTGATCCCTTCCTTTCACAGTTGTTGATCCCTAATCTATCTATGTTTGCTTCCAGAGAACCAAATCTGCTCCACATTTCATTTTCCAGTTCTTTAAAACATAGTAACAATACCTATCTGTTTTGTTGGTTAACTGAGGTGATATATGCAGGGTAATCAGTAAATTGCAACTATAATCATTCTGGAACCAAGAAGCCCTGTATTAATAAGCCAAAATTTAATGATGGTGGAACAAGTTGAAAATGGAGCAAGTTGAAAATACTTGCTAATGGGAGTCATTGTTGCATAGAGATCAAGACTCTAAAGTAAATGCCGTAATAAAGCTTCGATTAGGAGAGGAATGGTGTAGCTTAAAGATGGTCCAAATTAAAAAACATTCGCAAAGGGGCCTTAGGTCTATATGTAGCATCTCATAGTTCCATGTCTTATGAACTAAAAATCAAGTAATATGCACCCAACATTTCCATGATAGTGTTTAAAAAATTTTCATAAGAAATGTTTGATTGTTGAGTGAAGTATTATTTGTAATAATAAAACATAATAAAGTGAGGAAGCCTCACTTTTAGGACAATTGGTCTCCCCACATGAAGAAAGAATAGAGTATTCATAGTTCAAATTCTTATATAACAGTAATCAATTCCAATTGAATAATATTTAGCCCATTTTGATAAAAACTGCTATGGTTTGAGTGTGGGTGTCTCCTTGAAATTCCTATGTTAGAACTTAACCCCTAAAATGATGGCATTAAGAGATAGGGGCTTTTGGAATGTGATTAGGTCATGAGGGCTCTGCCCTCATGAAGGGAGTTAATGTCCATATGAAAGAGCCTTCAGGCTGGGTGCTGTGGCTCACGTCTGTAATCCCAAACTTTGTGAGGCCAAGTCAGGAAGATCGCTTGAGGCCAGAAGTTCAAAACTAACCTGGGCAACATAGTAAAACCCTGTATCTACAAGAAACTTCAAAACTTAGCTGGATATGGTGGTATGTGCTTGTAGTTCCATCTACTTGGGACGCTAAGGCAGGAGGATCATTTGAGCCCAGGAGTTCAAGGCTGCAATGAGTTACAATGGTACCACTGCACTCCAGCCTGGGCAATGGAGTAAGACCCCATCTCTAAAAAAGGCTTCGGAGAGCTGCCTGCACGTCCATCTCTTCTACCATGTGAGGACACAGCATTCATCCCTTTTTGCCCCCTTCCACCTTGCTGTCAGGAGGCAATAAGAAGGCACCATTCTGGAAGCAGAGAGCAACCCTCACCAGATACTGTATCTGCTGGAACCTTGATCTTGGACCTCCCACTCTTCAGAACTGTGAGATATATATTTCTCTTCTTTCTAAATTACTCAGCTTTTATAGTGAGCTATGATTGTGCCACTGCTCTCTAGTCTGGGTGACAGAGCAAGACACTGTCTTTAAAAACAAAGGAACAAACAACAAACAAAAATTACTGTTTAAAGTATATTGTCTTACCAGCACAAATGGAAGAAGATAGTCACATAAGTTTCTGCAAAGATGTTTTCCAGGCCATGGTGCATCAATGGTCCCTATTAGAAAGCTACTTTAAGCTAAGGGCAAAAAATGTCAATATGACTAATTTTCAGTTGTTAGGGAAATAATACATAGACACACACACACACGTTCCTATTCAGAAAAGGGAATAGAAGAAACATAGGTAGCCACTGGTCAATAGCCAGGGTGCCCTGCTGCAGCAGTGGGTGAAGTTTTTTAATTTGCCCACGCAATAGCCCCAGCCTCTGATCCTTGGAAGGTCTTTCTAGTTTTTGAAAATAAAGCTCAATGGGAAGCAGAATCTGAGGCAGAGACTAGTGTGCAGGAAGTTTATTAGGGTGTGCACTGGGAATCATTAAGCGTGGAGGCAGAAAAGAGAACCGAATTCAGCAGAGAGTAAAGGGAGACATCAGGATGTGATACAGTCTCAGCAAAGGCCTCAGCAAAGCAGAAGAAGGTCTGAAGCTGAGTTGATCCTTTATAGTTTTGAGTTTGGCCAAGGAGGTTGGGACTTTATATACCTGCAATGACCAGTAATTGGATGCAGGCTGTCTCCAGGAAAGGGGATTTGCTTTTGGGTAAAGAACTTCTCTTCAGCAGTGGAAAATTCCCATACAAGACTGAAGGCTGAGGGCTCTTAGCCAGGAACACTCCCCACAGTTTGGGGAAATAAATTCTTCAGTCCTGAAGAGGATCTGAATGGTGCATCCATAGCTTCCACTACACTAGCTCTCTTTCCTTGATGATCACAGCTGAGGTGGGCATTAGAGAAGATGGCTTTGGGGGATACACAGCTTCATCATTCTATTTCCTGGTTGTGCAAGTTAGGGTCCAGGTAGAGTTTTGGTGTTTAACATAGTCTATTATAAAATAGTCGTAGAGTTCTCTCAAACATCTGGTAGGATTTCTGTCTATTCTCTTTCAGTAAGTTTTGTGCACAAATAACCGCAGTTAAAGAACTTGTGCAGTCATGGATTTTTCGAGCCAAAGAGACTTACTAGCCATTATGCTCTGCCCAGCCTCCAGTTCACATTATAATGATAGCTATCCTGAGACTATTTAAAATAGGACTTGGTAGAAAGGCAATTCTTAATCTTCTCTTTATGAGCGAGTTCCCACTGTCAGGCAAAGAACTCTTATAGAACTTTTTGTAAGAGAACTTGGGGTCAGAAACTTATCCGCCTTCTAAGGCTACAGTTTTACAATTGGGGTAAGGAAGCAGCTGGTAAAATAAAAAAATTTTATTTTTTAGGGTGGCTTTCACAGCAAAATTGAGTGGAAAGTACTGAGTTCTCATATAGTCCCTGCCCCCACACATGCACAGCCTCCTTCACCATCAATGTTGGCATTAGTGTAATACATTTATTACAATCCATGAATCTATGTTAACACATCAGCATCACCCAAAATCCATGGTTTACATTAGGGCTCACTCTTGATGTTGTATATTCTATGGCTCTTGACAGATGTATAATGACATTTATTCACTGTTATAGTAACATAAAGAACAGTTTCACTGCCCCGTGAATCCTTTATGCTCTGTCTAATCATCCTCTCTCCACCCTAACACCTGGCAACCACTGTTTCTATAGTATTGCTTTTCCCAGAATGTCATATAGTTGGAATCAATGCAGCCTTTTCAAGTTGGCTTCTTTCACTTAGTAATATACATGTAAGTTTCTTTCATATCTTTTCATGGCTTTGTAGCTCATTTCTTTTTAGTGCTTAATAACATTCCATTATCTGGATGTACCATAGTTTATTCATTTATGTACTGAAGGACATCTTTGTTGCTTCCAGATTTTGGCAATAATGAATAAGCTTCTGTAAGCATCTTTGTGCATGTTTAGGGGAGACATATGTTTTCAATTCATTGAGTAAATATCATAGTTGAATTTTTTAACTGCAAGATACCAAATTACTGAAGGCTCAGCCTACTTAGATTGTGGACCACAGGCCCACAGCCTCTCTTAGCCAAGTCCTATTCCTTCTACCTCGAGTTTGAGTTGATCTGCGTCTTCATCCTAACATTTTGGTTAATGTTTCAGGCTTAGTCAGCATGGGTTCTGCCATGTAAGGATTGTTTAACACCATATAACTAGGTTCACTAGCTTTCCAGGCTGAAAATTCAAACTCTTAGTATCTTTCTGCCTACTTCCTCCATGAAACCAAAGCCACAATTTAGATTATGATATACTCTGTATACAGTCCTGATAAAAATGACTAGTTCCTACAATAGTCTCTGACTAGTTTAATGAGAAAGGAGTCATTTTAAATTTCTTGAAGTGCCAGAAAATGAACTTAGATGCTATATAGTGAGAAGTAATACAGCAAAGAGAAATGTCCAACTATCCAACAGAGTTGCATTAGCAAAAATCATGCTGCTGCCTCTGTGCTCAGTTCCTATGAAGTCAGAAACTAAACCTTCACCCATACTGTTCTGGAAAAAATTACCTCCATGACAGTGCTATCAGAAAAGTCACAAGCCTCATGATGTCCACACCATATTCTAAGTCTTACCCAGCTGTGTGCTCAAAAGCTGTCACATGCAGACTCCCAATTGCAAGGGAGGCTGGGGAATGTGATCTTTAACTTGCCTGCTTCCAGGGTCCCAGAAGATTTGAAGATAAAAAGTAGTTGGAGTGGCTCTGAAACAAGGGTGGTTTTATCCCACAGGGAAATTTGACAATGTTTGGAGACATTTTTGCTTATCACAGCTGGTGTGGGGTTGCTATCAGCATCTAGTAGGTAGAGGCCAGGAATGCTGCTAAACATCTTACAATGCACAGGAGAGACCTCACACCAAAGAATTATCCAGCCCAAAATGTCAACGGTGCAAGGTGAGAAACCCTGGTGTAAAGTGAGCAGACCTACTGTATCTACCTCAAAGTCTATCCCCTGATTGATTGATAGTCCTTGATGGCAGTGAAGGCCCTAAGATTCATTTCTGGAGACTCACAAAACAGAAATCTGAACACCACAGTCTTATGCTCTCCCCGCTGCCACCTCTCCCTCTGTCACACACACACACACACACACACACACACACACAATCACTTATTTTAAAAAGCATTGAAATAAAGATAGAGACTATGTTTTATGACCACCTGAGTTTCAGTCTTCCATCCCACTTCCCACCTGCCCCTGTGTTATTGCATCTTGAGTCTAGAAAAGCTTATGATAAATATAAAACTCTTCTTCAATCCAAACTTGAAGAAATTGAGCATGTACCTACATCAGTCTCTCACCACACTCATCTCTAGTTCCGTTTTAGACTGGGTTCCCTCAGAAGCAACCCCCAGTTCAACGATTTGAGTGCAAGTAGTTTATTTGGAGGTGTTCCTAACATAGTAGAGGGGTGAAAGAGTTAGACAGGAAAGAGAAGGAAGCAATTAATTGGTTTGTTCTCTAGCTGTGGGTTACCATTGGTGGATAAGGCATTTAATCCCTACCTCTAGGACTCTGAGAGCCAACACTGAACAATAGGCTTCAATTATCCCACTCAAGGGCTGAGAGAGTTGGCACATTTATGCATTTTATTAGTTTCTTAGAGTTCCTGTAACAAACCACCACAAATGTGATGGCTTAATGCAAATTTATTATGCAACAGTTCTGGAAGTCAGAAGTCCAAAATGGGTCGTACTGGGACAAATTCAAGGTGACAGCAGAGCTGCATCTGAAGGCTCCATGGGAGAATGTTTCCTTGTCTCTTCCTCTTCAGCTTTTAGAGGCCATTTGCCTCCCTTTGCAAATAGAAGGTGTGTCCCCTTTATCTTCAAAGCCAGCATCAGAGTATCTTCAAATTTCTCTCTGACTATGACCTCCTTCTTCCACTTTTAAGGAAGAATCCATAGGATAAGATTGAGCCCATCTGGAAAATCCCTCAGCCCTTGAGTGGGATAACTGAAGTGTATGTTTAATGTTGGCTCTCAGAGTCCTGGAGGTGGGGATTAAGTGCCTTATCCAACAATGGTAATCCACAGCTAGAAAACAAACTAATTAGTAGCTTCCTTCTCTTTCCTGTCTAATCTTTTCACCCCCTATTATGTCAGGAACACCTCCAAATAAACTACTTACACTCAAGTCCTTGAATTGGGGATAGTTTCTGGGGGAACCCAGTCTAAAATGAAACTTGATATGAGTTTCGTGAGAGACTGATGGAGGTACGTGCTCAAATTCTTCAAGTTTGGATTGAAGAAGAAGAGTTTTATATTTATCATAAGCTTCCATCTCAAGATCATCACTTAATCACATCTGGAAAGTATCTTTGCCATGTGAGGCAACTTATTTAGATTTTGGGGATTAGGCTGTGGACATCTTTGGGTGGGCCTTTACTCTGTCAACTGCATACATCTCCTCTCATCAGTCATTAGTTGAAGACCGATTCCAAGGATAGCACTAGCACTTCATCCTGCTACTCGGGTAAGTCAAGCAGGCTCTGGTAGTCAGGGAAAGCTCACAGGAAAAGAAATGCAGGTGCCAGCAACAGGAAATTAGGAAGTGTGCAGCAAAGTGAGAAGGTGAGGGATAGAGATGGGGATCAGCCACCATCTGCTGCAAAAGGCACAAACACTTTTTTTCTTTTTTTTTTTAGCTTTTGTTTTGTTTTAAGAGAGGAAGGAAGGGAGACAGGACAAAAATCACAGGGCCTATGCAAAGTTAATGTTTATATACAAGAAAAGGTTATATAAGTGTGGAAGGGAGATGCAGAGTTCAACAAGCAAGCCACTGTATTTTTTAACTCTATAGTAAAAGAGAAACACAACTCTGAAGAATCAAAAAACTTTCCCCCTTGGAAAGCGATGTATTAAAAGAAACAGAAAATATTTTAGAAAATGTTCATGTTCTTAATGTGATTCAATAGTTCACTGTTCCTTTTGAGAAGATGATGGTGGCAGCAGCATAGTTTTTAAATCTTTCCAAATACTCACATCCAAATAAATAGGGTAACTATATAACAAAACCAAAAACTCATGAATAATTTTTACAAAAAAAAAAACAGGTAATGAAGTATATCACAGAGCACAATATACAAGTAGATGAAGACAAATTACCAACAGGCATAAATCTGCATACAACAACTTCTGTGCAAGAGGAAGTAGAGGGATGCAATGGGACATCTGACAGAGATGAGAACAAGAGAACCCTCAAAATAGCTAAGAGGAACTCACTGCAGCACACAGTGGGCCAAATGGGTTCAGCAGCTGAACCTGGGAGGGGTATTCCAGCCTCCATAAATTTTCAAAACTAAGCCACCATGGCTTCCTCCCAGGGAGCCAACACTGTATAGAAATTGCTGGGAGTGGCATCAAAATAGAAAAGAAAGAATAGTAATAATAAAGATGAAGAAAAGAAAAGGTTACTAAAAGGTAGAAAGAAAAACAGTTCAAAAAGCAAGCTACTATATTTTTTTAACTCTCTAAAGAGAAAAAGCAAAACAGAAAATAGAGCCCTCTCAAAGTAGAAAAACTACCCTGTGTCATTCCTCCTTCTAAAAGTTTGGAAAAAAAAAACTAAGAAACAGGAAAGTGGTGAGGTCAAATCCCATACGAAGTTATTAAAAGAAAAGAGAATAAAGAACAGAATAATTTTCCTACAAACAATGAAAGCATGCCAAAAAGACATGTCCACAGAATAGATTCTTAAATTAAGTAACACAAGATATGAAAGAACAACATAAGTTGGAATCCAAAAAACTCAAAACGAGGCAACAATTCAGAAAAGAATTAGAAATAAAGAAACTCATTTTAGAAACAAAGGCTAAACAATAAGGAACACAAGAATGACTCAACTCAACAGATAATGCCTTTATAAAAAGAGAAGGTGAAAATAAGACTTTTAAAAATGCACAATAAATTAATAGATAAAAAGGATTGAAAGTAACGAATATTGAAAGTAGGCCAAGAAGATTTAATATATGGTTAACAGAAACTCCTTATGAAGAAAATCAAAGCAGGAGAATACTAACAAGTATAATTTTTTAAAAAGCCTCGAATAAAAAAATAATGTTCTCCTAAGACCACTATGTGTGTAATGTGGAACAAAGTAATTGTGGAATCATCTACTTCTACCAATTGCTATGTCTTTGAGAATTATAATTCTCCAGTTCTCCATGTAAAGAAAGGAAATACAGATAAAATATAAAGTTAGGTCAAAGACTCTGGAGAGTTGGATAGAATTGGAGACCATTAGGCTAAGTGAAGTAACTCAGGAATGGAAAACCAAACATCATATGTTCTCACTCATAATTGGGAGATAAGCTGTGAGGATGCAACAACAAAGGAATGATACAATGGTCTTTGGGGACTCTGGGAAAAGGGTGGGTGGGGCATGAGGAATAAAAGGCTATACATTGGGTACAGTGTACACTGCTTCGGTGATGCGTGCACCCAAATCTCACAGATCACCACTAAAGAACTTATTCATGTAACCAAGCACCACCTCGTCCCCAAAAACGTATTGAAATTAAAAAAATAGCCATTTAACACTGACTAGTTTCCTAATATCTATATCCAGCTGAACCACCCTGGGTAATGAAAAATGTCTATGTGTTCCTTCTATATCTGCCCTGATTCTTCTGACTTCAGGGAAAGAAAAGAGGTAGTACAAAAACCAAGTAGTAGTAGTAGAACCACCTTCTAAAGAGGACCCAAACAAGACAACAATTGTCCAAGGATGACAAAAGGTTTTAGGGCAGCCATAGTCAAAGACACAATTGACAAGGAAATTTGTTACCTCTGTGGCATACGACAATTTAGCATAACAATTATAACTGTTACTGATAATGTATACCAAGTCATATCAGAATTATAGGAGTTTCCCATGATCTTGGAACACATATCAATAACACAGTTATACAACTACAGCCCAAACGAAACCAATCACCATTTCATATTTGACAACGCTTCCTGTGTAATTTTTATACTAAATATGCCAAATTATGTCATTTTTGGATTCTAGGGAACCTAATATCTTAAAGGATTAATTAGGTCAGAAAAATACATAATTTTAAATTTGATTTTGGAAAGTCTGTCAAATATTAAAGGTTTAAAACACTTGATATCACAGGTCATTGTAAAATAAGTCATTCATTTGACCAAAGTGATAACTCAAGGATTTCAAAAAAAAAAAGGTAAGAACCTTTATTCTTTGGGAGAGGAGACTTAATTTTCAAAACAATAAACCCTAATGAAACAGCATGAAGCCTATTAAACTTGTTTTTCAAAATTTTATCAACAGTCTATAAAAGTTTAATCTTGACCATAAGATATAACTTCCATAAGCCTTTTATAAGCTTTATAACATTTATTAAGGAGTCAGTTAATGCTTCAAGAAAACCTTGTTAATCTGACTCAAGAGCCCATATGCTGGTCTTGCATCAGTGTGCCTTTGACATTAATGATTAACTTATAGAGAAACTGAACTTATTTTATCTCTCAAAATTGGCCATTACAATCTTACATCCCTACCTCTTCTGTGATAGTCCCAGGGCCTCAAGGAGTTGAATAGCTTTAATTTCTGGCCCTGTGTTTCAGGAATACAGTTTATTTTGATTGGCATCTTCTACTGGGTGTGAAAATGAGGCTTTCATTTTGGTCAGTGTTTAAGATTTAGCAGGACTTGGTGTCCTTTTTAGACCCAGGAGTCAAAGCCCTGTAACTCAATGTCACAAGGACTTTAAAAGCACATACAGAAAGATACATGAATGTAATAACCTTAATTAAAATTTTTTGTTTCATTCTTCATCCTAAGCACACCAAAACTTAATAATAATGGCATAGGAATAGTTTTTATAAACCATAAAATCTGGTAGTCCAGTTACCAAAAGGCAAAAGAAAAGACCTTCTGCCCTCCACAGAACATTATGTTGGAAGAAAACATTTCCTTTAGATCTTTCAGAAAACATTGTTAGCATCAGGCCACAACAAACAGAACTCAAGGTAACAAATTTATATGAACTGAAAATGAGTTGAAGGGGAGTATTACTATTTTGCATCCTTTAAAAGGGAAGAGAAAACTGAAAATGGTGAGATGCAATAAAAGTTGAACTTTGAGTTTAAAAAATTAAAATATATTATAATTTGTTAAGAGTAAAACAATCCCTTGGCTGGGTGTGGTGGCTCACACCTGTAATTCCAGCACTTTGGGAGGCCGAGGCGGGCGGATCATGAGGTCAGGAGATCGAGACCATCCTGGCTGACATGGTGAAACCCCGTCTCTACTAAAAATACAAAAAATTAGCAGGTGTGGTGGCAGGCGCCTGTAGTCCCAGCTACTCGGGAGGCTGAGGCAGGAGAATTGCTTGAAACTGGGAGGTGGAGGTTGCAGTGAGTGGAGATCGCGCCACTGCACTCCAGCCTGGGTGACAGAGTGAGACTCCTTAAAAAAAAAAAAAGAAAGAGTAAAACAATCCCTTAAGAAAATTTCATTGTTCTAACCAAATATTTAGTGTGTAAGTGTTTTTTTCTTACATCAAGCCTAATCTCTAGAAAGACCATTACAATTTCCCTTTAATTATAGACAACTTTAACATATAAAAGTTTTTTGTAATATATAAATTCTCTTATTGTGACTTACACAGACTGTTCATGACATGTTTGGACTTTCTGGTTTGTGCTGAACATCCCTTTTCTTTAAACAACCTGTCATTTTATTCTAGGACTAAACTTACCATAAATGATTCTTTCTCATATAAAATTATGTCTCTTTAAGCTTTCTTACAGGAAAAAAAAAACCTCTTTATTTTTAAAACTTTCTTCATATCTATTTCCTGGTTCCTTTTGCCTTGTTTTATACATAACCTTTAAATAAGCTTTGAATTAGACAAAAATTTTTCACCTTTTAAAAAATGACACACTTTTGATTTTACAAAGAATGCTTTCCTACAATATATTATTGGAAAATACCCAAATAATGGAATATCTATTATTTAATATAACTTTAGATTCTAAATTATAATGAGTTTGTCTACAAGTATTTATCCCATTACATTTGCCCAATTATTTTATTTTAATCATTTACCTAGATTGTTTATGGAAATTGCAATAGTCATTATTTAAAGTTATGGAACTGCCATTGCAAAATTATAACTGGGGCAGTAAAAAAGATCTGACCTAACTGACTCCACCTTGCTTCTAACCTCCAACCTGTCCTTGTTTATTCCTGTGCATAGGCCAAACTAACTTTGGGAGGAACTTAGTTTATAGTTTAGCTTTGAAACAAAGATGGTAACAGTCCTTTTCCAAAACATACCTTACTGCCTGTGGACTAGACCTCCTAAAGCCACAAGACAAGAAGTTATGGTAATCATACTAAATTCAAGATGTAGCTATTTTCATTAAACCAATATCAATGTCTTATTTATTAAAAATTACATAAGCAAAGATAATTCTGTATTAGGTTGGGTTTATAGTTTTGTAACCCCTGTGCCAAATTTTGACACCTTATAGAATTTGGCAGGGATAAGTAGGAAATTGCTTGAATAATAAACACAAACAAAAATGTATGCTGGCAATTTGTAAGACATTTCTAATATTAATTTAGCAATAATTTTAAAGCTAGCTTATTTATTAAAGATTTTACTTAAGTTATGTAAACTTGAAAAAGCATTTGACTAGTCCTTTTTCCTGATAACATATTTGATTCAAGCACTTTTATTTTCATAAGCCAATTAATTAGAGTTCATATTTTCAGTAGTGAAACATCATGTACACAATGCATAAATACATAGATGTATTAGGTATGCTGACAGAAGTACACTTTACAGATTCTTAAAGATCTTTTTTCCCTATCTTAAGACTTTCAAATTTTTTTTTGTTTCTTTGAGACGGAGTTTCACTGTGTTGTCCAGGCTGGAGTGTAGTGGCGTGATCTCAGCTCACTGCAACCTCTGCTTCCCAAGTTCAAACAATTCTTGTACCTCAGCCTCCTGAGTAGCTGGGATTACAAGCATGTGCCACCACACCTGGCTAATTTTTTTGTATTTTTAGTAGAGATGAGGTTTCACCATGTTGGCCAGGCTGGTCTTGAACTCCTGACCTCAAGTGATCCACTTGCCTCAGACTCCCAAAGTGCTGGGATTACGGGAGTAAGCCACTGTGCCCAGCCTCAATTTCTTGATAACCTGTTTTACTACCCTAGGCAGTTGTCAGCTAACTAGCCTTAAATTTGCATATTAAAGGAAACAGGTGAAAATCAAACAGCAAAATTTACATTATAAGGTACTGAAAGAAAAAGTCTCCTGTGCTAGAAGGAAGTTAAAATGGATTTAATTGCCAATTCAACATAAAATTACATAAATTATAAAGGCCTTTTAAATATGCACACACACAAACACACACACACACAAAATCTTATAGCTTTTACTTCAGAACTTAAGCCATGAGGCAAACACAAATTCACCTGCTTGCAAACAAACAGCTTGCTGAGTCCAAACAGTGCTTTGTATCTTAATAGAAAAATAACAGCAGATTTAAAGCTGGCAGAAAGGAAAATAGGGAAAAAAGAGAACTTAGGAACTCTATAGTTTGCAGGTTGACCTTAGTGCTCTTTTTCATTAACATATATATGCACAAATACCATATTACTTCCATTTCACATAAACTCTGGCAAGTGGAGGTGCCATAAAACCTATGGAGTGCTTGAAAGGGGATCATTCTCCTTGTTTTCTCCTCATTCTTAGATTATTATTTTCTCATTTTTTTTCTTAAAATAACTGAGCTGTGGCCTAGCGTTTTTGTGTGGTGATGTGTGCTGCTTGCACTCAAGACTCCACAGTGTGTTACCATTGAGTCATTTTCACCCTCTTAAGTGTTTCAGTTTCTCTCTCCAGAGGTCTATGACCTGTGAGAGGACTCAAAACGCCAGGTGACCAGCCCTTATATGCATTTCCTGGATGAGCCTTTTTAAAAAATAATTTTTGTTGGGTGTTTCCCTGTAGGGCTGCTGCACAGGGGTTCAACCCCCCTAACCCCTTGCCCAGATACACCCACAAGGCCTCTGGTCACTCAGCTGAGTCAAGTATGTACTACAGTTAATTTTGTGTAGTTTAATACTGCCTTTACATTTGTTTATATTTTTCTGAACTTCAAATTGCACCATGTATGGTGTGTGTTTGCTTGTGTCAGTTTTGATAAATAACTTTTTATATTTTGTTATATGTTATATGCTCATGACATAACTTTTTCTTAATTTTTTTGTTATCTCTAGGCTAAGTGGTTCATCTGAGTTTTTTCAAATCGTCACAAATCTCCAAAAAAAATTCCAATATATGTATTGAAAAAAATCCACATATAAGTCAACCTGCACATTTCAAACATTTCAAACCTGTGTTTTCAATGGTCAACTGCAATTTGGGTAAAGTGTATGGATTCCTGTAAATTCCTTTAAAATGCATTTTAAAAGATGAATTAAATGGATGGGTAAAGGTACAGATAGAAGGATAGTTATATTGTTACTATAGTAAAATGTTAATGGTAGAATCAAGATGGTGTGCATTAGTGTTTGCTGTAAAATGAATTCAAACTTTGTTGTATGTTGTAAATAAAATGTTGGGAGAAAAGATGCTTTCACTTGTAAGTGCAAATAAAAACTAATTTTATTTTTAAAAATGCTAAATAATACATTCTAATATTATTAGTGACAGTGTAGATATATAAGAACTCATGTTTTTTTAATTTTTGTGGTGAGTGTATAAATTAGTATAAACTATTTAGAAGATAGCTTAAAATTATTGTATATATTAAAATAGTAAAGTGGCTGCCAACTTTGTATTCTTACTTCCAAGAATTTACTCCATGGGAATTATCACACAAGTGTGCAAAGATGTAATCAAGACATAAGTCTTGATTATAACAGAAAAAATATAAGCAAATTAAATGACCTGTTAGATGATTAATTGAACATCCATACAACTAAATACTAGGTAAGCATTGTTAATCATAATATAGATCTATTAATATATTTCTTAAAGAAGACGGTCCCCTCATATTGTTTAGTGACGAGGATTACAGGAATACATAAATGGTACAATCCCAGTTTTGGTTAATGCATACATATCCATATACTCATTTACATATATTCATGAACATATACATCTATATATGTATTTAGACACAAAGGGCTCATTAAAAGAATATTCATCAAAATGTCAAAAATATTAGCTCCAAGAGATAATAATGAACCTGATTTTTTATTTTCTTCTTTGTACTTGTTTGCAATTTTTACAATGAACTCATAATCCTTTACAAAAGCACTAATTATTATTTGAGGTTGTGTAGGGGGGAGTAAGACAGAAGGAGAAGGAAATATAGTCCAATAATGAAATAAAATGAAGCAGCCTTTATGTGTTTGTATGGATTGATCTCCAAGATTTTTTATGTGATCATTATAGACTGAAGTGTGTTACACCAAATTTCATGCTGAACTTCTAATACCCAATACCTAATAATGTGACTATGTTTATAAATAGGGTCTTTAAAGAGGTAACTAAGTTAAAATGAAGTCAGTAATGTAGGCCCTTATCGAATATGATTTATGTCCTTGTAAGAAGAGGAATTTTGTACAGATATTGACACAGATTCTAACTTGACCAAACTTCAGTCAGGCTCCCTAACCTTCTCCTAGGCCCATCTGTGCACCTCCTTGTAAAATCTGCTTTATCCAAAAACTCATTTAGTAAGAACCCCTCTCCCCCAGTAGCTGATCAACCGTGACATCTGATCAAGTTCCTCATCCTCCACTATCCCACAGGTAATAAATCACCTTGTTCTGTTTTTAGCAAGAATCCTGTGAAGTTGGTTTAGCTGAAATCTTCCTCACCCCTGATGTTTCCTTTTAGTAATTTTCCATCCATTGACCCCCACCCTGCTCCTTGGCTATAAATTCCCACTTGCCCATGCTGTGTTTGGAATTAAGTCCAATCTTTCTCCCAGGCTGCAAAATCTCATTGTGGTGTTACCTATACCTATTGCAATGGTCCTGAATAAAGTCTTCTTCACTGTGCTTTAATAAGTATTATTATTATTATTATTTTTGCATTTCTCATTTTCTTTGTAACATATTAAGTGTGTTTGCTTTATGTTCTCTGTTTTACAATTTCAAGATCTGAACTTTAGTTTTTTATTTTATTTTACATTCCAGGGTACATAACCTGCAGGATGTGCAGGTTTGTTACATAAGTAAACACAGGTAAACATGTGCCATGGTGGTTTGCTGCACCTATTAACCCATCACCTAGGTATTAAGCTCAGTATACACTAACTACTTTTCTTGATGCTCTCCCTCCCCCAACCCCCACCGACAGGCCCCAGGGTGTGTTGTTCCCCTCCCTGTGTCCATGTGTTCTCACTGTTCACCTCCCACTTATAAGTGAGAACATGTGGCCTTTGGTTTTCTGTTCCTGTGTTAGTTTGCTGAGGATAATGGCTTCCAGATCCAACCATGTTCCTGCAAAGGACATGATCTTGTTCCTTTTTATGGCTGCATAGTATCCCATGATGTATATGTACCACATTTTCAATCTATCCATCTGACAAAGGTCTAATATCCAGAGTATACAAAGAACTTAAACAAATTTACAAGAAAAAAAAAACCCCATTAAAAAGTGGGCAAAGGACATGAACAGATACTTCTCAAAAGAAGTACAGCCAACAAACATATGAAAAAAAGCTCAACATCCCTGATCATTAGAGAAATGCAAATCAAAACCGCAATGAGATACCATCTCACACCAGTCAGAATGGTGATTACTAAAAAGTCAAAAAACAACAGATGCTGGTGAGGCTGTGGAGAAATAAGAACAGTTTTACACTGTTGGTAGGAATGTAAATTAGAACAACCATTATGGAAGACAGTGTGGTGATTTCTCAAGGACATAGAACCAGAAATACCATTTGACCCAGCAATTCCATTACTGGGTATATACCCAAAGGAATATAAATCATTCAATTATAAAGATACATGCACATATATGTTCATTGCAGCACTATTCACAAACAGCAAAGACATGGAATCAACCCAAATGCCCATCAACAAGCATTATAAAATAATTTTTTTCTTTAACAATATGCATACAGGAAGAACACCATGTGAACATGAAGACAACCACCTACAAGCCAAAGAGAGAGGCCTCAGAGGAAACAACCATGCTAACATCTTCTTATACTCTAGCCCCAAGAAATGTGAGAAAATAAATTTCTGTTGTTTAAGCCATTCTGTTCAATCTGTGGTAGTTTGTTATTGCAGCCTTAGCAGATTAATACAGTGATAAAAGCAAAAACTGTATCAATATATATAGCAGTGGCTTTCAAATTTTCAATATATATATAGCAGTGGCTTTCAAAATTTCAAATTTTTCACAATCTACAATATGAAATTAATTTTACCACTCTACCCAGTATGCATAGACAGACATAGCTGGAACAAAGAACAAAATTTTTTCTTGCTAATGTATGTTGATATTTTTACTTGTTTGATTGTATTCCATCATTTCATATTAAGAAAGACACAATAACTGATTTTGCAACTGATGAACTGGCCAAATGTTAAAAAATGCTAGATAAGAAATACTATTATTTGTTAAAACAACAACAAAGGCCCCAGCAAACTAGATTCTTTGGATAGAGGCAGAAGGGGCATTTGTGAGCATCTATTTTTTAACTTTTTTTTTTTCCAAAATAAAATCTTATGAGAAAATCCAATGTATCAAACAGATAAATGCTGAGTTACTTTGGTAGACAGTGGTGGGGAGAGAAGTGGAGCCTTCCTACTTATCCCTGACAGCCCTGATGCAGCTCAACAGCACCAATGGCTCTTGGGTACAGGACTTAAAAACCAAATATTTATTCCACTCCTCTCATTATTTAGAAAGGGGGACATTGGGGTAAGGGACAAAGCTGTTAGGAGGGCCAGGTGCAGTGGCCCATACCTGTAATCCCAACACTTTGGGAGGCTGAGGTGAGAGGATCACTTGAGCCCAGGAGTTCTAGATCAGCCTGGGCAACATAGAAGACCCTGTCTCTATAAAAATTTTTTTTAAATTTAAAAAATTTGAAAGATGTTAGGTGATATGGTTTGTGTCCCCACCCAAATCTCATCTTGAATAGTAGCTCCCATAATTCCCACATGTGTGGGAGGGACCAGGTAGGAGGTAATTGAATCGTGGGGACAGTTTGCCCCATACTGTTCTTGTGATAGTGACTAAGTCTCACAAGTTCTGATGATTTTTATAGGGAGTTTCCCCTTTTGCTTGGCTCTCATTTCTTCCTTGCTTGCTGCCATGTAAGACATACCTTTTCTCCTTCTGTGATGATTGTGAGGCCTCCCCACCCATGTGGAACTGTGAGTCCATTAAACCTCTTTTTCTTTATAAATTACCCAGTCTCGGGTATGTCTTTATCAGCAGCGTGAAAACAGACTAATACATTAGGAGATTGAGATTGCAAGTTCTAAGCGAGGATTGTATAGATATAGATGTACCATCATTCTTCAATAATTGGGGAAGTGAGAATCTCAAATATAAAAGAGGTCCATCAATAACATCCATCTCTTCTTTCCATTAAAATAAGAAATATAAAAGTAGAAATAATGCTTGGTAAATGTGACACATCTCCAGTAGGCTCATATACTAACTTAAATCTTGTGCTGTTCCATTGCCCTCTGCTGGATGTTCTTAGTATCTGTGGCCTCAAAACTAGAAGTTCTAGTAGTGGTAGTAGTCACAGCAATAGTGATTATTATCATTATTGTCATTTTAGCAGCAGCCATGTTGAGGTCAAGCACTGTGCCACATGCTTTACATCCAAATCCTCCTAACAACTCTATGGCTAGATAATGCTCTCTCATTTTGTAGATGTGGAACCTGGGGGTTCAGAGGTAAATAAACAAACCAAGGTTACACAACTAAAAGTAAGAGACCCGGGAATTAAATATTGGTTCTAAAGCCTAGGCCTTAATTACTTGCTGTTCATTAAACTTTCAATCTGTCAGCTGTGTTGGTGATAAAACTGGAATGATATTACTAGTTGGGATCTTTTGATTCACTGATTATTAACAATGGAATCACAACGATCTTTATTCTAAAAAGCCAAAAATTATTATCTTCCTAAAATTACCAAAAAGGAAAAGCTTACTCCTCAACAGAGCAGGAGAGCATGTTTTCAGAGTTTCTCAAAGTGTGATTCAGGAAACTCCTGCATTGGAATCACATGAGGTGCTACTTCAGGGCAGAAAATCCTATGCACCAGGATGTATTTTGGAGGTAGAGAGGACAGAGCTTGTTCCTGAGAGCTGGGATATGTGTTAGTGGAGTGAGTGTAGAGAGAAAGAGGAACAAAAGATGGCTCCTAAAATTTTTGGCTCAGGACAAATTTTGAGGAGAGTAGTGGCATTAACTGAGATGAGAAAGATTATTAGAGGAGCAAGGGTTTTAATTGTTAGTTCAGTTGTGGCAGTTACTTTTTTGGCAGCAGATATAAAACCAGGAGTTTGGGTTTAGATATTATATTTATGTTGCCATATAGGTAACCAAATAAAAATGGTAGAGCTAACTACAAATAACTTTTAAAAATTCAGATCTATATTTAAGATCTATTCATGTTGTTTCACGTGTATCTCTTTCTAATTGCTGCATAATCCTTTGTAAGTCTATCAGTAGTAAGAGACCAGATTACTTCCAACTCCCGCCACCACAACCAACACAGCAGTGAGCATCCTCCTATACAATCCTTTAAGGTCCTCTGCATGTATTCTTTTGTGGTATAAACTCAGGAGTGAGGTATACTCAATTGGATTCGATACTGCCAGGTTACTCCCTAAAATGGCTGTGCTGGTCTATACCCTATCAGCAGTGCACAAGAGTTCCTCTACCTTCACATTTCTTTGAATGCTAATAACTATCCAGCCTAATTTTTCACTAGATAAAGAGGCATCTTATTGTTTTAATACATATCTCTCTGATAAGTTTGAGTATCTTTACACACTCGTTGGACTTTTGGGTTTCTGTAAATTGCCTATTAATATTTCATTGTTTTTCTTTCTTTGCCATGTGATAACTACATATTTATGGGATATATAGTAGTATTTCAATATATGTATACAATGTGTAATGATCAAGTCAGGGTAATTAAGCATATTCATTATCTCAAACATTTATGATGTGAACATTCAAAATAAAAATCCTCTCTTCTAGCTTTTTAAAAAATACACAATATTTCCCTTACAGTGCTACAGAACACTAGAACTTATTCCTCCTCTTTAGCTATAATTTCGTATCTGTTAACGAACTTCTCCGTATCCTCTCCTCCCCACTACTCTTCCTTCCCCACTACTCTTCCTTCCCCACTACCCTTCCCAGACTCTAAAAACCACAATTATACTCTCTATGAGCTCTTTTTTGTTTTTTTGGCTCCTACATATGAGTGAGAACATGTGGTGTTTATCCTTCTGAGCCATCTTATTTCAGTTAACATGCCCTCCAGGTTCATCCATGTTGCCACAAATTAGAAGATTTCATTCTTTTTTATGGCCAAGTAGAATTCCATTTTGTGTATATACACCACCTTATCCATTCATCTTTTGATGGACATTTCATATCTTGACTATTTTTAACAGTGCTACAATAAACATGAAGGTGCAGGAATCTCTCTGATACATAGATTTTCTTTCCTCCGGATAAATACCCAGTAGTGAGATTGCTGGACTTTCTTAGCACTCATGTTAAAAATCATTTGAACATATAGGTGAGAAGTTATTCCTGGGCTCAAAAACAAACAAACAACAACAGACAACAGATAAGGATACAGCATGGGCCGGGCACGGTTGCTCACGCCTGTAATCCCAGCACTTTGTGAGGCTGAGGTGCGTGGATCACCTGAGGTCAAGGGTTCAAGACCAGCCTGACCGACAGGGAGAAACCCCCGTCTCTACTAAAAATACAACATTAACTGGGCGTGCTAGCGCATGCCTGTAATCCCAGCTACTCAGGAGGTGGAGGCAGGAGAATCGCTTGAACCCAGGACGCAGAGGTTGCAGTGAGCCAAGATCGCACCATTACACTCCAGCCTGGGCAACAAGAGTGAAACTCTGTCTCAAAAAAACAAAAACAAAAAACCAGCATGATTTCAGGAGCAGAAAGAGAATAACTTAAAAACCAGCATAATGAGAAAGTTAGGAAGCTTCTTACCAAAGCATCTGGAAGTATGCAAGAAATTCTTGTGAACTAAAATTTTCGTGCTGTACTAGCAAACACTACAACTCACTTATTCCATCTTTCTGTATTTTGGGACCCAATTATCCACTTCTCTTCATTCCCTATCCCACCCCTTTTCTTCCTAGCGTCTGCTAACCACCTTTATACTCTCCACCTTCCTGAGATTCCTTTTGTGTGTATGTGTGTGATGGAGTCTCTTTCTGTTGCCCAGGTTGGAGTATACAGGCACAATCCGGGCTCACTGCAACCTCTGCCTCCAGAGTTCAAGGGATTCTTGGGCCTCAGCCTCCCGAGTAGCTGAGACTACAGGCACGCGTCACCACGCATGGCTAATTTTTTGTGTTTTTAGTAGAGACGGGGTTTCACCATGTTGGTCAGGCTGGTCTCGAACTCCTGGCCTCAAGTGATCCGTGCAACTCGGCCTCCCAAAGTGCTGGGATTACAGGCCTGAGCCACCACACCTGGCCAAGATTTTCTTTTTTGTTCCTACATGTAAGTGAGGACATGTAATATTTGTCATTCTGTTCCTGGCTTATTTCACTTAATATACAGACCTGAAATCTCATCCATTTTTTCTGCAGTGGAGAGGATTTTAGTCCTTTTTAGGCTGAATAATACTTCATTGTATGTGTATACCAGTTTAATTGACACAAATTTCTAAAAAGCAAATATTTTTAAAATGTCTCAGAATGTGAAACTTTAGGGATACTGTGCCCATTTTATTCTTTTCTATTTCCCATTTTATGGATATGCAAGTGTATAATAAAACAGCAATCAATGGGTGTATAAATCTATAACTTCAACAAATGTAAAATGAAAATGCTAAGTGGTGGCTGGGCGCTGTTGCTCACACCTGTAATCCCAGCACTTTGGGAGGCCGAAGCGGGCGGATCACCTGAGGTCGGGAGTTCAAGACCAGTCTGACCAACATGGAGAAACAGTCTGTACTAAAAAAAAAAAAAAAAAAAAAAAACAAAGTAGCTGGGTGTGATAGTGCATGCCTGTAATCCCAGCTACTTGAAAGGCTAAGAGAGGAGAATCGCTTGAATACGGGAGGCAGAGGTTGCAGTAAGCCGATATCATGCCATTGCACTCCAGCCTGGGCAACAACAGTGAAACTCTGTCTCAAAAAAAAAAAAAAAGAAAAAAGAAAAAAGAAAAAAAGAAAATGCCAAATGGTAAGAAAAAACAGCATAATAAAAATTTGTATGGTGTTGAAGAACAATGCATTTGAAGATAATATTTGAAGAAATCATATTACAATTAACTTCTGTTCTTACTCATTGGTTTGATGCCTCTAAAAACTTCATCACTGGAACCACCTCTGGTGCTTTAAAAAAAAAAAAAAAAAAAAAAAAAAAAATCCGCATACCCACACAGGTGCAAGTAAATCAGAATCTCAGGTCATGAGACCCAGGCCTCATCATTTGTAAGTGCCCCGGGTGATTTGATTCAAAGCCAAGATTGAGGACCCGTGACATGGATCTCTACACATAATCTGCCTAAATAGATTCTCTACAAGCAGTTTATAAAGAAGTTCCACATGAACTCTGGAAGAGGATATGAATTTGATGTACAGTATGTGCTCACTTAACATCTTTGAAAGTCTCTTGGAAACTTCACCTTTAAGCAAAATTATGGATAGTGAAACCACTTATTCCTCATCAACATTACAACTAAACAACTTTGAACAAAACAATGGTGTTGGAGGACCGGCTGTACATTGTTTCTATAAAGTCAATTTTCAGGGAATTCCAAAATGAAGTGAGGACTTCCTGTATATAAAAAGATGGTTGTGATTCCACATGGATGACAGGGTTATTGCTCAGAAACTAAAGGAGGCCGCCCAGGTATAGAGGATTCAGTCATGAGGTTTATGCTACACAAAAGATCCCAGAATACTCACCCATTCCAGTCAAAGACATAATGAAAAAAGCAATATTCACATAGGAAAAGTGGAAAGGAATAAAAGCCATCAAGCAACAAAAATAATGGGACTAAGGGGCAGGATTTGCAGATGTAGAGATTTAATGTGGTTGCCCTTTCTTACCCACACAAGAATAAGGATGGAACAGATCATGAGATTCGACTGTTCTGCTGCGCAGCCTCCACAGGGCGCTTTGAATGTCCCTGTTTCTCAGGCTGTAGATAAAAGAGTTCAGCATGGGGGTGCCCACAGCATACATCACTGACGCCACCACACCATTCCTGGGGGTGGTGACACAGCTGAAGTTAGGTACACGCCAATGCCTGTTCCATAAAATAAGCAAACAACTGCCAGGTGAGAGCCACAGATGGAGAAGGCTTTATACTTCCCATCTGACGATGAAATTCTTAGAATGGAGGGGACAATTTTATAGTAAGACAAAAGGATCCCTGAAATGGGAAGAAAACTGAACAGAATACTATCTAAATATATAAATATGCTATTGATGATGCCGTCAGAACAGGCAAGGTTGAGAAGTTGAGATGGATCACAGAAAAAATTAGAGATTTCCACATTCTTGAAGAAGGTGAATTGTAACACAATCCAACTGTGCAGCTGGGAATCCAACAGGCTAAGGAAAAAAGAAACCAAAACTAAGAAGACACAGAGGTGAGGATTCATGATGACTGGGTAGTGCAGGGGTGACAGATGGCCACAAATTGGTCATAGGCCATCACAGTCAGGAGCATGTCTTCTATACATGCAAAAAGGACAAAGAAAGACATCTGTGTCAGGCAGCCCGCTTAAGAGATGACTCTGCTATGCGACTGCATGTCCACAATCATCTTGGGAACCATGGCCGAGGTGAAACCAATGTCAGCCCAGGAGAGGTTGGAGAGGAAGAAGTACATGGGGGTGTGGAGGTGGGAGTCAGAGCTGACAGCCAGGATGATGAGCAGGTTCCTCAGCACCGTGACCAGGTACATGGACAGGGACAGCCCAGCGAGGACGGGCTGCAGTTCTGGATCCTCTGAGAGTCCCTGGAGAAGGAATTCTGAGACACTTGTGAGATTCTATGGCTCTGTGTGACTTGGACACCTCTTTTTTTGAGAAGAAAAGAGGATTGGAAAAATAAAAGATAAAAACCAGCCCTTAATGCTGTGTGTATATTTTGGATACAAGCAATTCACAAGGAACATTTTCACATTTGAGGACCATACACCGTCAGCAATATTTCTCAGTTGTGACAAACCCAGAAATCTCAGAATTATTACATGATTTACTTTTTTGCTATTCAACTCTTTCTGTACATACTTTAGAGCAAATCCACTGAAGAATGTTAGAAAACCAAAATGTAATATATAACAAATCCGTGATCTCAGTAAAATATGGCCTACTCATTTCAGAAAAAATAAAATGCAAATAAAAATGTTCTTCTCTCTTTAAGAAAAAGATCTGTCTAATTGAAAGAAATTCAGAAGCAGTGAAATACACCTTTTTTATTCTGACACTGTGCTACAAATTCCTTTGATGTAGAATATTTAAAAGGACGATACAAGAGCTAGGACAGCATTATCTAAAAACGAAATCAAACCTTATACAGTTCTTAATCGGAAGACCTTTTAACATGCCAGTTACTTTTCATATTAATTATCATCCTTAGGTTTTCTGACATCATTTCTTCATAAAAGTACATGCACACTCAAATATGGGAGCTGTGTTTCCAAATTAATTGAATATATAACTCTTGGCCGAGCGTGATGGCTCACACCTGTAATCCCAGCACTTTGGGAGGCCGAGGCTGATGGATCACCTGAGGTCAGGAGTTCCAGACCAGCCTGGCGAACATGGTGAAACCAGTCTCTAGTGAAAATAAATTAGCCAGGCGTGGTGGCAGGTAACCCTAGCTACTCAGGAGGCTGAAGCAGGAGAATCCCTTAGAACCTGGAAGGCAGAGATTGTACACCCTGTGATATTATTTTTGATATCCTAGAGAGATATTGCTCCTGACATCAGAGTGGGCGTACACCCTGTGATATTATTTGTAATATCCTAGAAAGATATTGCTCCTAATATCACAGTGGGTGTACACCCTGTGATATTAATTGTAATATCCTACAGAACTATTACTCCTAATAATACAGTGGGTGTACACCCTGTGATATTATTCATAATATCTTACAGAGATACAACTCCTGATATCACAGTGAGTGTACACCATGTTTGTACACCCTGTGATCTTATTTGTAACAACTTAGAAAAATATTACAGCTAATATCAAAGTGGGTGTACACCCTGTGATTTGTTATATACTAGGTAGATATCACTCCTAATATCACAGTGAGTGTACACCATATGTGTACACCCTCTGAAATTATTCATAATACCCTAGGAAGATATTACTCCTAATATCACAGTGGGTGTACACCCTGTGATATTATTTGTAATAAGCTAGAGAGATTTGACTCCTAATATTACAGTGGGTGTACACTGTGATATAATTTGTAATGTCCTAGGAAGATATTACTCCTAATATCAAAGTGGGTGTACACCATGTGTGTATACTCTGTGATATAATTCGTAATATCCCAGAGAGATATTTCTCCTAATATCACAGTGGGTGTACACTCTGTGATATTATTTGTAATATCCTAGAGAGATATTGCTCCCAATATCAGAGTGGGTGTACACCCTGTGATACTATTCATAATATCTTAGAGATATATTACCTCTAATATCACAGTGGCTGTACACCCTGTGATATTATTCATAATACCCTACAGAGATATTATTCCTAATATTACAGTGCGTGTACACAATGTGTGAAGACCCTGTGATGTTATTCGTAATATCCTAGGGGGATATTACCCTTAATGTCACAGTGGGTGTACACCATGTGTGTACACACTTAGATGTTACTCATAATACCCTAGGGAGAAATTACGCCTAATGTTACAGTGGGTGTACACCATGTGTTTATATTCTGTGATGCTATTCGTAGTATCTTAGAAAGTTATTATTCCTAGTGCCACAGTGGGTGTATACCATGTGTGTACACTCTGTGATGTCATTCGTAATATCCTAGGGAGACAGTTCTCATAACATCACAGTGGGTGTACGTCATGTATGTACACCCTGTGCTATTACTGGTTATGTCCTGGGTAGATATTACTCCTAATATCAGGGTAGGTGCACACCATGGGTGTACATTCCGTGATGTTATTTGTAATATCCTAAGGAGATATCACTCCTTATGTCATAGTGGGTGTACAGCCTGTGATATTATTCGTAATATCCTTGGGACATATTACTCCTGTTATCACAGTGGGTGTACACCCTGTGATAGTATTTGTAATACCCTAGGGAGATATTACCGTATACCCTGTGATACTGCTTGTGATATTTTAGGGAGCTATTTCTCCTAAAGTCAGAGTGGGTGTACACCCTGTAATATTCTTCCTAATATCACAGTGGGTGTACATCATGTGTGATATTTTTTCTAATATCCAGCTGGGGAGAGGATAATATTGCTTCCAATATCACAGAAGGTGTACACCCCCCTGTGATGTTGTTCCTAATATCCAGGGAAGGAGAGGATAACATTATTCCCAATATCACTGGGGGTGTACCACCCCCCGCCGTGATATTGTTCTTAATATCCAGGGGTGGAGAGAATGACATTAATCCCAATATCACAGGGGGTGTACACCACCCCTGTTTGATATTGTTGGTAATATTCCGGGGGGGGGGGGGGGGGCAGAGAATATTACCTCCAATATCGCAAGGTATGTAAACACCCCCTGTGATATTGTTCCTAATGGCCTGTGAAAGAGAAAATATTATTCCCATTATCGCAGGGGGTGTTCACCCCTGATGATATTGTTTTCTAATATCCAGGGAAGGAGAGGATATTACTCCCAATATCACAGGGGGTGTACACCTTTTTGTGATATTGTGTCTAACATCCAGGGAAATAGAGGATGATATTACTCCCAATATCGCAGAGGGTGGACATCCCCCTGGGATATTGTTCCTAATATCCCAATGGGGAGAGGATATTTCTCCCAATATCGAAGGAAATGTATGCCACCCCTGTGATATTGTTCCTAATATCCAGAGAGGAAAAGAATGATATTACTCCCAACACCGTAGGAAATGTATACCCGCGCTGTGATATTTTTCTCAATATCCAGCAGGTGAGAGGATCATATTACTTCCAATATCACAGGGTGAGTACACCCCCTCTGTGATCTTGTTGCTAACATCCAGGTTTGGGGAGGACATTACTCCCAACATCGCAGGGGGAGTACACCCCCCTGTGACCCTGTTAGTAATTTCCTGGGTGGAGAGGATGATATTCCTCCCAATATCGCAGGGGTGTACACCCCACTCTGATATTTTTCTAAATATTCAGGGCGGGGGAGGATAATATTACTCCCAATATCACAGAAGGTATACATCCCTCCTGTGATACTGTTCATAGTATCCAGGGAAAAAGGGATGATACTTTCAAAATAGCCAGGGTTTTCCACGACCCCCGCGCCGTGATGTTGTTCCTAACACCCAAGTGGGCAAAGAATCATATTACTCCAAATATTGCAGGTGGTGTACAACCCCCTTGTAATGTTGTTCCTAATATCCAGGGAAACAGAGAACGATATTACTACCAATATCGCACCAGGTGTACAACCCACTGTGATTTCATTTCTAAAAACCGTGGGTGAGAGGATATTACTTTCAAAATCGCACAGGTGTACACCCTCCACCCCGTGATATTGTTCCTAATATCCAGAGGGAGAGAGGATGATATTACTCTTAATATCACAGGGTGTTTTACAGCAATATGACAGGGGGTGGATACCCCCCTTTGATGTTGTTCCTAATATCCAGGAGGAGAGAGGATGATATTACTCCCAGTATCGCGCGTGATGTAAACCACCCCTGTGATATTACTCCTAATATCCAGGCGGAGAGAGGAAGGTATTACTCCCAATATCGCAGCAGGTATACAACCCCCATGATTTGGTTTTTAACATCCGGGGGCAAAGGATGATATTACCTCCCATGTTGCAGGGAGTGTACACACCCCTGTGATACTCTTCCTAATATCCAGAGGGCGACAGGACGATATTACTCCCAATATCGCAGGGGTGCACCCCCTGTGAAACACTTCCTAATATCCAGAGGGAGAGAGGATGGTATTACTCCCAATACCGTACGGGGTGTACACAGCCCTGTGATACTCTTCCTAATATCCAGAGGGAGAGAGGATGATACTACTGCCAATATAGCAGGGGGTGTACACAACCCTGTGATATTGTTTCTAATATCCAGAGCAAAAGAGGATGATATGACTCTCAATATCGCAGATGGTGTACACCCCTCCTGTAATATTGTTCTTAATACGCTGGGAGGGAGAGGATAAGATTACATTCAATATCGCAGGGAATATACACCCTCCCCCTCTGATACCCTTCCTAATATTCAGGGGAAGAGAGAATAATTTTACTCCCAGTATCGCAGAGGCAGTACACCCCACCTGTGATATTGTTCCTAATATCCAAGGGGGGAGAGGATGATACTACTCCCAATATCGCAGGGGTGTTCACATCCCCAGTTACATTTTTCCTAATATCTAGGGGAGAGACAATTATATGACAGCAAATGTCGCAGGGTCTGTACATCCCTTCCTGATATTGTTCCTAATATCCAGGGGGGAAGAGGATGATATCAAACATCCAAGGGGGTGTACACCTCCCTCCCCCTACGATATTGTTTTAATATTCATGAGGGGAGACCATGATATTACTCCAAATATCGCAGGGGTTGTTCACACCCCCTGTGATATTGTTTCTAATAGCCGGGTGGGGGAGAAAATAATATTACTTCCAATATTGCAGGTGGTGTATACCCCACCTGAAATATTGTACCGAATATCCAAAGAGGGAGAGGATGGTGTTCATACCACTATCGAAGTGTGTGTACACAATTGTTGGAGGGCTCATACTACTCTATTTCAAGGTTTACCACGCTAATCAAGGTGGGGTGAAGGGCAGGCGTGGTGGCTCATGCTTGTAATCCCAACATTTTGGGAGGCTGAGGCAGACAGATCACTTGAGGCCAGGAGTTCGAAACCAGCCTAGCCAAAATGGCAAAACCCTGTCTCTACTATAAATACAAAAATTAGCCAGACGTGGTTGCACATGCCTGTATAATCCCAGTTACTTGTGAGGCTGAGGCACGAGAATCACTTGAACCAGGGAGGCAGACGTTGCAGTGAGCCGAGATCGCGTCGCTGCACTCCAGCCTGGGTGACAGAGCAAGATTCTGTCTCCAAAAAAAAAAGGCGGGGGGGGTGATATAAGCAAAAGAATAGGCACATCAGTAGAACACTACAATAATAATTGTTTCAGGCAAGATTCATTGATGAATGCTAAAATTACTAAATGAAATTTAATGAGAAACTGGATATTTTTATTACCTCAAAATATCTCTCCCAAAATTTACTGATTACTGCTGTGGCAGTTTCTCGGTTTCTCCAGAAAGCAAAGATTAATTCTTTTCCCTTGTGGCTACAAACTTCTATAGACTTAGTGACTCACTTCTAACAATGGAAAGGAATAAATATTAACTATATAGAGTAGAGAAACCTAGCAGACACCACCTTAACTAAGTACTACAGACTTAGTAGTACTAAATGCAATGAGAAAGGCATAACACAAAGGGAAAGACACGTAACTTCTGTGGTATGCTTCCCCAAAATTCATAACCTCAGGCTAATAATGAGGAAACAACGAACAAACAAATGTAAGTTCAGGAGCACTGTACACAATTTCTGACCATTACTCTTCAAAAGTATCAAAGTCATGAAAGACTTTACACAGAGAAACTGTCACAGATTAGAAGAGACAAAGAGATATGACAACTAAATGCAATATAGTATCGTAGTTTAGATTATGAAATAGAAAAAAAAATAGTGGGAAAACTGAGGAAATGTGAATAAAATCTGTAGTTGATAGAATCAGTGTTAATTTTTTAGTAAAATATTAACATACAGAAAGCTGAGGAGTATACAGGACTCTTGTGCTACCTTTGGAACGGTTCTATAAATCTTTATAAAATTATTTTAAAATTAAAAGTTAAAAAAGTTAATACCATTTATTATGTATGTAAATCAGATGTTTTAAAAGACTATAAAACTAAAATTAGAAATAAACTCGAAGTGAAAATTTGTAAGATTATCCATAATCTGAATTTCAAGCTTTTCCAAACAAATCTATTGTTCATCAAAACTCAGTTTTCAATGAGTGCTATAAATCTGAACTCATAAAAACACATTTATACCATCAACATACCAGCTTTTGTTTATACACTGGATAACCATACAAATATTTCAGTTGTAAAAAAGATCCTGAAATTTAAAAGGTTTGACCAAAAAATTATTTATGCCACCTAGTGGTGACTGAGATAAATATGACCACTTAACAACAAATGAATTGAGGGACTGAAGATGCCTATACTTTTGACAAATAAAACAACTGGGAGAAAAATGCTGACAATGTGATAACATTTAATATTTGAGATCATGTAACTTAAAGATACTCAAAAATAAAACATTCCAGTAAAATCGGTTTAAAACATCAATTTAAGAAAGGGGAGCAGCTTTCTGGCTACATGAGCAAGCAGAATATTTTCAAGTATATTAGAGGATGATGTCCATGTTTATTATCTCCATATTATACCATATCAAACACACAATACCTCCAAATCATTATCTTCATTATGGAGATTTTCTTGCAATACAATAATTGATTGGAAAAGGGAGGAAAATAAAGAAAGCAAGGAGGGTATTCTTAAATGATGAGGAGAAAATAAAACAAAACTATGGACAAGATTAGCCATTCCACTTTGTGCAGACTACTGAAAGAACAAAGATGAAGCATGTAGTGGTATAAAGGGAATAAAGGGCTTAGGTTTTCCTCCTTGGCTTGCAGTATGCATCCTAGAGCAGAAAACTTGCCTTTCTAAACTCCTATACCAAGATCTATAAACTGACATGACAGAATAAACTTATTATCCCTTTAAATTCTAGTATTCTACCAGGCAACCACAATAAATATTCCCGAATCCTTAATAAAAAATAATTTTGGTGATATCAATATCAACTTAACACTACAATTAGGAAACAATAGTACTTAAAGAGTTCATGGCACACAGTAAGCGCTTCATAAATATTAACTATTAGCAGAACAGGAAAAGGTGAGAGAAAACTAGCACACAGTATTTTCTAATCCTAGTTTTGAGACTATTACACACTTAATACCTTCCTCATAAATGTAAACCAAAAATAATCTGTCATCATTCTATATAAGACAGATGTCTTCACTTATTGTTACTTAGGGGAAATCAAATCATAACCTTTTAATAAGACACAAGAAAAACTCTCTTTGCACTGATTTTTATTAAACAAGTAAGGCTGGTAGTGGAACATATTTTTATTTAATGCATAAACATATAAGTCCCTTATTAGAGAAACTGTATATATTGATGAATATGGTCAATGGTCACATCTATGGGTTAATTCTTTAAAAATCAGAACCAATAATTAGGATAGATTTTATGCTCTCTTCATTACATTGTGAAGTGTCTTGTGTAGTCATATTCTATTGTTGGAATGACAGCTTGTACAAATTTCAAGAAAATAAGAAGATACCTAAAGGTTTTTAGCTAAGGAAAATAAGATTTGTAAATAGTTCTATGTTTTAAGCCCATGTTGTAATTATCCATTTTATTAAGCCATTAATTTCTCAAAAAAACCCCACAAAATCTTAAATTAAGTCTATTAAAGAATTCAACTATGCAAATTTGTGTCTATTTAACATGAGGCTCTTTAAGACTACCTGACCACTCATTCGATTATTGAATTTGAAACTTCTTAATGAGTAGGTGTTCATATAAGCACAATTACTTTGACATAAAAAGGACAAAGCTATACATGTTTAAATGAGTACAAAATGTACTCATTTACTAGACTCCTTTAAGTTTGCTAGAGTTATGTCAGAAAATGAGGCAGAATAGACTATAATGAAGTACTATAGCAAAAGAGAAAAAAATTAAATAAAAATCCTGTATAGTAGACTGATTCTAGGTTAGTGTATGTATTTGCCAAAGACTGAGCTCTACTGGACTGTCTTTAATTAAATTCTGAAATTTTTTTATGTTCATTGCACTTAAAAACATTAGGAGCTTACTTTTCATTGGGGGAAACCAATTACTATTATGAATTATATATAGACAGTCTTCCAAGTTGCTACCTAGCATCCAGCAGAGATGTGCCAGTTAGGCATAATAGGACTTCAGGAGTAAATATGGTTTGGACTGGAAGTTTTTGGTTTGTTTCAATATCAAATCAGTTCAAAGTTCTTCTTAGGGACACACTTTATTAGCAATGCCCCACAGTCTGATTAGACGTGGCATCTTAGTCTCCACATCTAATCTAACACATAGTAGCCGAAACCACCACCAAGTCAAGTATTAACCTAGCATCAAACTAATTCAAGCTATCTGGCATGTAAATCATTGATTTTGACTGTTTTTGATAAATCTATGCTATGAGTACATGTACTTTAGGATCCAACAGTTTGCTTGGGCATTAACTTGAATGTATTACTTTTGTCAATCCAAGAAAACTGAGTAGGAAAACTATAGTAAGATACAAGAAAGGTGCTACTGTCTTGAGAAAAATGAACGTACTATATTTTAAGAATATCTAAAGCACTTCACGTAGTACATTACTTTTAATTAACGTATTTGTTTAAGCTGAATTATTTGCTTCAGAGACACCTCAGATTGACACAACCTAATTTTACTTTTACCTGATGGGAAAGTACATTTTTGGTAACATGTTAAACTGGAAATGTACATAAGAAAAAGATACTCATATTATTATTCTAAATTAGTAGTTACCTCTGTAACAAGGGTGAGCTACTGCTACACATGGGGACATGTTCTAATCAACTAAGCAAGGCATAACTATCACAATATAACATTTTCTAAATAAATGAAAGACTTCTACTAGGATTTTCAGATGAGAAGTTAAAACAAGTTATAGCTACTGTATCATTAAGGTTACACTAAATTTCTCAAAAAAAAAATCGTTAACAGCCATTTTGCCACTAATCTTACATACAGGGAAGGATACATATGAACTCCAAGTTCTCCCCCTCCTTCTGCAACAGTCTCAATGATTTTCTTCATCACCTCAGCATGCCTAGAAGCCAAAAAAAAAAAAAATTGTTAATGTAGATCGATTAGACCGAAAGAAGAAAAACATATTTTCATTTGTAAAGAAATCGACCCTATTACTCTCAGTGAATTAATTTTTAATAGTTATATTATAAACTATCTCCCCCACCACTCCCCAATAACTATAAAATATTTATTAAAATAGTTAAATTATAAAATATCTCCCCTCCACTTCCGAAACACAAAAGATAACAGATTGTTATGCCATGCCAACAGTTTTACCAGGGGAGGGCATAATCTTAAAAAGCTATGGTAGTCACAGCAGACACCATGGCATTAGTTAGTGTTCTGATAATTGGGAGAGACAAGGAAGGCAGAAAACCAGAGATGAGGAAATCATTCCAGGAGAAAATGTGGAATGATAGCTGTTTGCTCTAAGAAACAAGAGTCATATCAGGCAAATTAAAAAAAAAAAAAAAAAGACACATGGTATCAGTTGGACAAAAAAGCAAAGAGGTATCTATAATCTTGTGATCTGGGCTGTTTATTTAGCTGAGAATAAGCCAAAACTGAGAGGGTTTAAGAAAAGCTAATTGGTTAGAGTTGAGAGGTTTGTATTTGTTTCTTTGTCCTAATAGGTATTCTAAAATTTATCCAATTCTATGTAAAAATAAATTTTTTGGCTTATAAGAAGAAAGGTATTTATTTATATGAAGTTTTTGTCCTATCTATACATCTTTTCATGGCTAACTGTTCTCTCTCCTGTACTATAGAAAAGAGTGATATCAAAGTTAGTATCTAGGCACAGAAACCAAGAAAAAGATAATTTTTAAAGAAACAGTCTTTTTAACATACCTTGGCTTAAATAATGCTGCTTCAGTTTTTACGACTATAATCTTCATGACAGAGACAGTCAACTTAGAATATGAGAGTAAATGTATGATTCCAGAGGATTTGAAGGCACAATCTGAGGCAGCCCATGGAATGGTCTAAAATGTCCTTGAAGTTTTATTTTATAGGCACTCAGATTTTTTGAAATACTTATATCCCATTCCACAATACAGTCATCTATTTTATTAAAATGTTTAACATAATTACCAGTTATTTTTCCCCCAACTGAGTAAAGTTTATACCTCAGAGAGATACGCTTCAGTTTGATAAGCACCATCCTAAGACCTTAAACCATAAGAGGAATCAAGAGAATAACTCTAAAAACTGAAAACTTTTTAGATTACATAATTCAAAACTAAAACTAATGGCTCCTAAATTATTTTTCATAGTTAGCAAAGTTTCAGACATAATAAAACTGAAAAAATGAGCAAGGTCTTCCACGGAGTTAAAGTTTGAGAGTAAAGAGGTTGCAGAATATGAGAAGAAAATATTAAAGGTTGTTTTTAACTAGAGGGAAGAGAAAACAAAATGTTTCATCTAACTAGTCAACAGAATATGAGTTTCACTGAAAAATATTGTTACTAGTATGTTACCAGTATTTTCCAGTCAACTGGGAAAGTTATCTATTAGAAATAACCAACCTAAAGAAATTGGCATGTAGTAACTGTTTTTTAAGAAAAATTCTGAACTAATCATGTATATAGGTTCAGCTTCACAGATTTGGCTCTGTGAAAAAACACTGATACAAAGAAAATCCCAACTTATAAAATGCACTTGACTTGCTAAGGCTGACAAGCTCTCAACTGAAGAACATACATCCATATATCTCCCTTCACTAATCAATAAAAGAAAGCAAATAGGTCACCTAGAAAAATCACAAGGTTAACTCCACAGTCTACATTCACAGAAAGGCAGTCACAACACAGCAAACCATATCTAAATGACTATTTCTGAGTCAAAAACAGAATCTTCCAAACTGTTCTGGAAGCTAAAAAGTGTAGTAAAATCACAAAGATCCATCTATTCTATAAACACCCACAGAGAACAAAAAAATTCTTAACATATTAAACTTAAAACAAATTGGTAAGTTTTTTTTCCTTTTTCTTATATATTTAAGCACAAGAAAATTTCTAAGGAGGACAAGAGAGAATTTTACTTTTTAGTAAGAAAATTTTTTTCTGTTAGGGTTCTATGTTTAAAGATTCTCAAGTAATAAATCCATGAAATATACAATCACATCAAAAAATATATTTATCTCTACATATACAGACCTGCATGGGTGAACTGAACACATGGGAGGTGGTGGCAGATGAGGGTGATTTTCAATGGTCACTGTTTTCTTCACATGATCCTGACTGATGTCTTCATACATGTGCTCAACTGTTAAAGGCTGCCGTTGCTGAAAGCATAAAAAATGCTTTGAAATTACTATTTAAGGCCGGGTGCAGTGGCTCACGCCTGTAATCCCAGCACTGTGGGAGACTGAGGTGGGCGGATCACATGGTCAGGAGATCGAGACCATCCTGGCTAACATGGTGAAACACCGTCTCTACTAAGAATATAAAAAATTAGCCGGGCAGGGTGGTGGGCGCCTGTGGTCCCAGCTACTCAGGAGGCTGAGGCAGGAGAATGGCGTAAACCCGGGAGGCAGAGCTTGCAATGAGCTGAGATTGCGCCACTGCACTCCAGCCTGGGCGACAGAGCGAGACTCCATCTCAAAAAAAAAAAAAAAAAAAAAAAAAAAAAAAAAAAAAAAAAAGAAATTACTATTTAGAAACTTTCAGCCTAAATCTCAAGGTTTATAATATATTTAGTTCTCCATCTCACATCACTTGCAATTTAGAATTCTAGACTGTTTAGAATGATTTCTGGGAAATTTTACAATTTATTAATATCAAGGGAGGGACAGGAAGGAGTCACAGCCAAGCTCTGTGACAGCTACCCCCAATGCAGAAAAAAAATCTCACAAAAAGACAAGTTTGTGGCTATCAAAACATTTTATAACTTTGTGGCTCATCTTTTAGACTGACTTTATTTTCTTGTTTCCCATGTATAGCCATAAGAATGACAGGTTAAACAAGTTGATTTCCTGTCAATTATCCTTTAATTCAATTAAGTAGATGAGTTTTCTGTCTTAAGGGGAAAAATACATACATACAACAATCCACTCTCTTCACATGTGACATGGTCATTCTGTAAATGCCTATATATCCAACTGATGTAATCCCAAACAAAATTTAATAAAATAAACCAAGTTAAATTTCCCTCACATTTTGAAGGCATAAGCCTTCAAAAAAGGAATATGTAATAGATTATTTCTGTTTATGTCTTAGCATTATTGTTACACTGAATAATTCATAGTTCATTCAAAATAAGAAAGAATCAAGTTCAACATTAATCATAAAACTGTAAAACAGATGATTTCCAAAATGTGAAACACTGCAATAAATACTCATGGACCTAATGAAGAAGAAATTAAAACCCAACAATTTAAAATATTGATATTAAAATATAATGCTTTTCATTTTTACCTCATCATAGCCAAACAACCATAATCGTGGAGTCTGGTAATATTTATCATAAGTGATGTAAAGGTCATAAGTTCTGGTTTGCAAAATAGCATCTTCACCGCCAGCATCAGTTTTGGCTTTACAAGCTTCTACTATTTTCCTTGTATCTAGGGTAGCCTGAAAATAATAAAAGAGAAAAATTTACAACCATTAAATCGGTATGAATGTGACATTCTAGAAAACTTATTTTTTCCATTCTATATTTTGTTTTCTTAAGAGTAAATGAACTTGGAACTCAAAGCTACGTTTTATATGCTATAATCAATATGAACAAATTAGAATGTCTTTGAAAGATCAATATATTATTAGTAAGAACATGCATCCCCAAGTTCATCCATTAAAAATTAACTAAAGAAAACTCAATTTACAAACCTCATCTGTTTCCAACAATCCACTCTCTTCATATTCTGTTATAAAAAAACAACAAAAGATTAATCAAGTTCAAGTTCAAGAAAATTCCCTAAACCAATTTAAGTATTACTTCATAGTATCATTCAAAAACTGGGGTTTTGCCTTTGTTTTTAAGTGAAGATATTGAATAGATAGATATAAGTGAGCTAATTCTATACTTCCAAAGGCGAAAGCCCAGAGAAAGCCAGCATGTTTAAGGCTTGACATAATAATACTGTAGAGTCCTCAGTGGCTCCACAGTGTACACAAGCCTACTTCTGTAACTGCGTAGTCATCGGTGACCTCTTCTTTGCTGAATCCAGTGGTAAATTCCCAGTTTTCATCTTAATTGACCTATCAGGAACATGTGGCATGATTTAGTCCCTTCTCCTTGGAACATACTTTCTTTCCTTGGCTTTTAAAATATTTTCCTGGCTTTCCTCCCTCATCACTGAGTGCTGTTTCAGTATCTTCTATGCTGGTTCCTCTTCATCACCTCTACTTTAAAAAGAACCATAAAATCAAACGCTGCAGTAACCAAGGGCTCAGTTTCTGGACCTTGTCTCTCCTCTAACCACACTTATTTCTGTAACGATTTCATCCAGACTCAATGACTTCAAATACTGATGACTTTCAAATTTATTCCCTGCCTGCGGACTTGGATTATTTATTTTACGTCTCTACTAAATAACTAATGAACACTGCAAATATCACATGTCTGAAACTGAGTTCCTGACTCCCTCTCCAAAGCTAATCACTTTTGATTTTTCCACATCTCAGTTAATGGTATCTTTCTAGAAGCTCAGGTCAAAAACCTTGGAGTCACCCTTGACTATTCCACTTGTCACATATGACATCCAATCCAGCAGCAAATCTCTTTGGCTCAACCCTCAAAGTATTCCAGCATTCTACTGTTTCTCATCCCTACCAATGTTACGACCCTAGCCCAAGCCACCATCATTTCTTGCCTAGATTATCAAACAGCCTCCTGTTGTCCCTTTCTCCCTTCAGTCTATTCTCACCACTGCACAGTGATTCTGTTGAAATGTCACTCCTCTACTTGAAAAACAAACAAACAAACAAAACCCTCCAATGGCTTGTCTCACTCTGAGTAATGTCAAGACCTTATAGAATCTGGTCCCTGGTTACCTCTCTGACTCCACCCTTTACTACTCTCCCTTCTCTCCTATCTGGACATAAGCATACCTTACAATATTTTACATAAGCCAAACGTGTTCCCACCTCAGTACCTTTGCACTCTTCCCTCAAATACCTAGTTTCATTCACTTCCTTCCAGGCTTTATTTAAATGGCGTGTACTTTCAATTAGGTTTTTCTTGACCAATTTATTTAAAAATTGCAATACTCATTCCCACCCCAAGATTCTCTAACCCCTTTCTTCCTTTATTTTTTCCTTAACACTTATAACTAATACTGTATATATTTTGCTTATCTATTTTTTGTCTCCACTGATTAGAATATAAACTCCATGAAATCATGTCTACTGCTTTATCTCCAACACCAAGGACAATACCTGATAAATACTGTACTGCCCAATAAATATTTGTTCAATAAATGAAAATTACCTTTATATTAGATACCATTAACACAACTGTTGAGCAAAATTACATATATAGCAATTCTTTAACTCTATCTAGGGGGAATATAATAAACATACTAAATGACTATCAGATATTTAAGGCAATCCCACAGCTTGTACTTTGAAAACAGTGCTTTACTCGAAGGGTTCTATGCTACCCCACCACCCCAACTTGGTCAACTATGTCATTCAGAGACAGATGAAATTCAGAAACAATATTTGTCCAAGAAAGTGATGTCAGTTTCTGACAACTATGAGACATCCAGGGGGAAATGAAACTGAAATACATCTGAAGTTGAGAATATCTAGGCTACCTCTAGATATGGAAGTCCCTAGCATACAGATGGTATGTGAGGCTGCTGTGATCAATTTTGGTTACAAGTAATTCATTCAGATTTCCTTAAGGAACAGCAGTTTACCATGAAAATAAGGACAAGAATCTCACTAAAATTTAGGAACAGACATAGCTAGGTTTCATGGGGAATTGAAAGTAATTTTGAAAACAAACAGAAAGGTACTTTTGATCTAGCAAGCATCACTTGCCATTATGGTGTTTCAACTCTACTTGGCACCATCTTCTACTTCTGCATGCTACAAAACACAATCTATCTCACTCTAAAGTCTATGTATTTTTGGCATTCAGCTGCCTTACAGCCTTCAATGCCTGCCTTTTTTTCATATTCCTTTCCTTTTTCCAACTTCTTACACATGCACCCTATTTACATATATAAATATATTCATATTTCAACTCTCACAAAGTACTGGATGTAATTTATACTCTATCTTTCTTGTTGCACAAATTTTCATGCCAAACTACAGAATGCCATTATAGAAGAAAAAATCTGGGAGTACAGAGAGTAAGCAAGGGGAAAAAAAAAAGAAACCCACGGAACAGTAACATTTAATAGCTGAGGGAAAGAAAAAGAATCATAGAAGATGACTAGAAGAAAGAGTCCAGGAAAGAGTAAGAAAACCCAGTGTTATAGAAACCAAGAGAGAAAAAAAAAAGAGGAAGATATGGTTAACAGAATCAATGCAGAAAAGGTAAGTGTAATAAAGATAAACTGGATTTAACAAAGAGGTCACCCTGGTGACAGCAATTTTTTCATCTACTTTTAAATATCTGAGGTTTCAAATGTATTGAAAAAGATTATCATGCTCATGAAATACAAAGCTTTGAATAACCATGTGCTCACAGACCCATACTGCTCTGTTCTAGTGGGTTTCTCTCTCTTTTAAGAATGATTCACTAATGCAGTGATTCTCAACTGGCAACTCTAGGAGGAGGACTTTTCAGAATCTTGGGAAACTGATGGGATTCTGTGTAGTTCAAAAGGCCCCATTAGCCAAGCACAGTGGCTCACACCTGTAATCCCAGCACTTTGGGGAGGCCGAGGTGGGCGATCATGAGGTTAAGAGATCGAGACCATCCTGGCCAACATGGTGAAATCCCGTCTCTACTAAAAATACCAAAATTAGCTGGGTGTGGTGGCATGCACCTGTAGTCCCAGTTACTCAGGAGGCAGAGGCAAGAGAATCACCTGAACCTGGGAGACGGCGGTTGCAGTGAGCAGAGATCGCACCACTGCACTCCAGCCTGGCGAGAGTGAGACTCCGTCTCAAAAAAAGAAAAAAAAAAGGCCCCATTGAAACTCACTATCTTCAGGTTTTAATAGAAAGATGCTATCAAAGAGGGAAAAGAAAATACAAAATGCATAATAAGCAAACTTTGTTCTGCTCTGAAATAATTCAGTTAGGAATTAATATCTTGCAGCCGTATCCAGTATTAAATATTTATGACTAATAGTTATTCCAATAAAAATGATATTGTCCAAGACTATGTTTGGAGTAAAATAGAAGAGTCCAAGATCAAGATAAGTTTTACACTAATGAAATTTATGAACTAAACATATATAAAACACTCACTAGGCTGCTAAATGCTAAACTTACAACTCAATGAAGAATTCTTAATCCACATAAATTACAAATATTCTAAATCAATATTCTAGTGGAACTGAAGCAAATCTAGAACAGGAATACCTTCCATATCTGCAGCTTCTCCTTCATCTTCATCTTCTTCCTCTTCACATAGTGCTGAGCAATCTTGAAGCCTTATATTGTCCTTTGAAATTAATTATATTTAAAATCACTTAAGTATATACATTAATTTGAACACTGAACACCCATGTGCTAGCACAGTGGTAACCACTGTGAAAATAAGAATGACAAGGCAGTTCTTGTCCACAAAAACCTTAAACTCCAATGAAGATAATGAATTCATATATCAGTCATTAAAAGTAACGTGCTAAGTGCTGTGACTGAAAAATAACAAAGGTTATTATGGGAGCAGTAAGAGTCATCTAAGCTATTTAAAAATAATTGCCAGTTGCACTTCCAATAAAACAGTATTTTTGGTTAATCAATTCATTAGTATTAGAAAATCAGTTCAAAATTATATTAACTTGTGCACTTATAAGGGGAAAAAGTGCACATATCTGTAAATCAAATATAAGCTAAAATATAAATCAAACACTATTACATTCTAATTTGTTAACAATATCTTAGCTGAATTAGGCAAGTTATCAGACTTTACAGTTATTAAAATGCACAAGATATCAGTTCAATTTCTTAACTATATTAGCTCTAAAGTGAAAGAATATTGATGGACAGGTTTAACATCTGGGTATCGTTTTCACAAAATTAATATTCTGAAAATCTGAAGTCAACATAATAAGTGGATAAACTGAATATTTAGTTTTACCTAGGTTACATTTTACTTAGGGGTGGTTTAATTTAACACTAGAAACTTAAGTCATATGTTTAAAACTTAAATCATTCTTACACCCAAAATTGAAACCACAAAACCACAAAACCATCAGTGTCGGAGTAATTATTATATGAGCTAATATTTAACAAATTAATCATTAAGAAAAAGTTTCATCATATTGGTGATATTTATACTTGATAAAGTAGAATAGAAATTGACAACCAAGATTAATACTTCTGCTTGGATGGCAAGTATTCTAAGTTACAAAAAATACTAAAGGAATTACCATAAGCCCGTCCAAGAAAAACACTACTATCTACACTACTGTGCCATTTATCATTCCCAAAGTCTGAAGCATATATAGTAATGGTCAGAGTAAACAAGATCTTCTAAAACAGCAAAGCAATTTGTGTTATTTCTCCGTAAGTCATTCAAACACTCCAAAAAGTCTAATTTCAAAATGATGAATTCTCAGGCCAAAGAACTAAATCTTAAAGCATAAAACTGTAAATAAAAAAACAAAACAAACAAAAAAAAAACTTGTCTTCGTTTCTATCACTTTCTGTTAAGCCCCAGTAACAAATCTAGAAAGATCCAAATGACAAAAACACACAAAGAATATCTTTAGTAACTGTTGTAGCAAAAGTGTCATAAGACTAGGAACACAATTATTCCATTCAAATAGTCTATCCTCTAAGTGATTTGATGGTTAAAAAAATAATTAAGACAAGGGTGAAAGCATTTTATATTATTTTTTCATATCATTTCAAACAACTACAGGTATATAAAAACATGAAGACAACTGCGGTTGATCTCTCTGAGAAATGAAAAGCTAATCTAATACCTACAACAGCCTAAAATAACTCAAAATTTCCAAGCAAAAAAACTCTACCCAATTATGTTTTACCCCCATAAATCATGCAATAAAACTTAACAGATTAAGCTTCTATTCATTCAAAATGTCATGAATTTGAATGATGCAAGCTAAAGTTTGCTTTCAAATTTTCAAAAACAAATAAACCCCAAATTACCAGTAATTGAAGAAAATACAGAGAGAATGATTAAATTGCTTATGGCACTATTTAAGCTATAAAATTTAAATGTTAATATATCATTAGCATCTACTAGTAAGCAAGTAGTTAATTCCACCCCAACATTCTCCACTTATATGACATTTGGTACTAAATACATTTTAAAACAAAAAAGTCATCTCTTTTAAACTAGCCTAGAAGTTGCTCCAGTCAGTGAAAATTAGTAGTTTGTACAAGTTACAATCTAAAAGCTGTTTTACTTAACCATACTACAAATTAAGGAAAATAAGAGATGCATTAGGCAGCAGTAGTGTTTTGGTGTGTTGAGACAGAAAAATGAATGGGGAAGAAAACAGCTGGAATTTAAAAGAGCTTGATAATAAAAAACCAGGGTTTTTATAAGAAAGATATGGTGATTATATATGTGTGTGTATAGATAGATAGATAGGCAAATAACTACTCATTAAATTTAAAAATATAACTAATTAACCAGTACCTTATTTTCCAGTGTGATCTCTTTAACGGCTTCCGTTATTCCTGTAATACCTATGTAAAATTCGGCAGAAAAGAATAACTAAAATTAAACTGTAAACACCCTATTTACTTATTAAAGCAATATAAAAATGCTGAAAATTCTCACAATTTCTCTGAAATAAGGAGGCAAATAATAGTAGTATCTTTACAAATGAACTCTAATGAGAATAGTCACAATGGCACCTCCTCAAATTTTGAAAAACTCATTAATATTTTACCATGAATTACTTTCCTTGTTTGAATCTCTATCACAACACTTTCTGAGAAACAGAACAGTTTGGCCAGGTGCGGTGGATCACGCCTGTAATCCCAATGCTTTGGGAAGCTGGGGCGGGTGGATCATCTGAGGTCGGAAGTTCAAGACCAGCCTAGCCAACATGGTGAAACCGTTTCTACTAAAAATACAAAAGTTAGCTCAGCGTGGTGGCGTGTGCCTGTAGTCCCCGCTACTTGGGAGGCTGAGACAGGAGAATCGCTTGGACCCGGAAGGTGGAGGTTGCAATGAGCCGAAATCGCACCATTGCACTCCAGCCTGGGCGACAAGAGCGAAACTCCGTCTCAGGGAAAAAAAAAAAAGGAAAGACAAGAGTTTAAAAAAACTACAGGACTCGTATGTACATTTTAATTAAACTTGCATCAAAATTTTCTCAAAAAGCTATTAGTTATCTTAATATAGGCTGATTATCCCTTATCTGAAGTGCTTGGGACCAGAAGTATTTCTGATTTTTTTAGATTTTGGAATATTTGCATAAATACTTACTGGTCAAGTATCCCTAATACAAAAATTCAAAATGCTCTAATGAGCATTTTATTTGAGCATCATATCAGTGCTCAAAAAGTTTTGGCTTTTGGAACATTTCATTTGGATTTTTGGATTAGGGATACTCAATCTGTTTGTTATTTGCTTCAGAAATGTAGGATACCCAAAGGTAGTAATATCATATCACATTTATATGTGGCTTTCTACTATTTCCACATCTTATTTAATCCTCACAATGACTATCTTATGAGGACGTTACAGTAATAATGTCTTCCTATGAAGAAATGAAGTCACTGGAGAGATGACTTGCTTGAGTGTTATACCCAGTCAAATGATGAAATTGGGATTAAAATCCATACAAGCTAACTTTTGGTTCAATTCTCTTGCACTCTACGGGGCAAATACCTCAAAACCTACTTGTCTCAAAGAAAGCCTTAAGAAGGTGGCAGCACCACCAGTCAGCTAGATAACATTTCTACTTCAAAGTACCTGTCAATGTTAACAAAATAGTTTAACAAGAATAAGAAATATAGTAAAACAATAGCATCTAAAGTTACTAAAGAAAAAACCTAAGTACAGAATATGCTTAGCTCCTTTGTTAATCTTCTAAAATTTTGAGATGTCTGTTCAACATGCCTAAACAAAATAAATAGCTCACTTTCACAAATAAAATAGGTCAAAATCCACAGGTCTAGCACAAAGCTTTTACTTCAGTTTTTCTAGAAATTACTATATAATAGGTATGACTATTTCATAACAGTAAAACCCAAATTTTAACATACGAATTGACTGCGGAACATAAAAACAAAGCAAATCAACCTCTTTAATTTGTCAAAATATAATAAGTAGTACGCCATTAAAACACTTCTAGAAGTAGGATACAGTTGACAAAGAAAAAGAAAGCTCAAATGACTCTAATGAGAGTAATACTCTAAAGGGTTATGGTAATTAATTTTATGTCAACTTGGCTAGGTTGTGGCACCCAGATGTTTGGTCAAACACCATTCTAGATATTGCTGAAGGTATTTTTGAGATGTGATGAACATTTAAGTAAGTAGACTGGATAAAGCAGATTACCCTCTACAAGATAGGGGGATATCATCCAATTAGTTGAAGGCCTTGTAAGAAAAAGACTGAGGTCCTCCAGAAGAAGGAATTCAGCCTCCAGAACGCTTTAGGACTAAAGCTGCAATATCAACACTCCCTGAATCTCTAGTCTGCCAGTGTGCCCTGCAGAATTCAGACTTGCCAGCCCATATAATCAGATGAGTCAATTCCTCTAAAAAAAACACAAAAAAACAAAAAACAACAACAACAAACAAAAAAAAACCTATCTACCTATATCTATACCTATACCTATGCAATAGTCCTCACTTATCTGTGGGGAATACATTCCAAGACCCCCAGAGGGTGTCTGAAAGCACAGATAGTACCAAACCCTACCTACGCTGTACATGACAGTCGACCTGATAATCGAGTTGGCTATTAAGTGACTAATGGCTGGGTAGCATATACAGCATGCATACACTAGACAATGGGATGATTCACCTCTTGGGCAGAACGGATCAGGATAGCAGATTTTATCATGCTACTCCCAACAGTGGGGACAAAAATTAAAACTGATGAATTATTTCTGGAATTTGGCACTTAATATTTTTGGACCATGGTTGACTACATAACTGAAACCACAGAAAGCAAAACCTACTCTGTATACATCCTATGGGTTGTTTCTCTAGAGAACCATGACTAATACACAAGCTAATAGAAGAAAACGCCCAGGAAAAGCAAGGATAAAGCAAGGGAAACTGAGTTGAAAAAGGAACCAGTATCTGGCCTCATAAGTCACTAACTTGACATCAAAAACAATGCACAATCAATGGATCCAGTCAGTCAACAGAGAATTTCCTACTGATGTGTTGCCAACATCTTCCAGGCATGGAAAAGTCAAAGCAGAAGAGTTAAAAGACTTTCACTACTCAGTGGGGCGGGGGGAAAGAAGGATGATTTTTGAAATTACTTTTAAAAGTTTTTCAATCTGTTATTTCCTTTAGGCTTTGATATAGCACTCGACTCATTAATAAGCCAATAAATTTCAGATCAAGGAGCCCAAGTCCTGAATCTTTGCCTATAACTCCATAAGGAAAGAGATGGCAGTATCCTTTATTCAGAGTAGGGGAGAAACTGACCTAAGAAGGAACTTTTACCTGGGCAGATACTTAGCCCTCTGTCTACTGCAGTGAGTCTCAACTGAAGGCAGCAATTTTTCCCCCAACAGAACATTCAGCAATTTCTGGAGGCATTTTTGGTTGTTAAAACTGAGGGATGCTACTGGTATCCAGTGGTTACAGGCCAGAGATACTGGTAAGCATTCTACAATGCACAGAAAATAATTATCCATTCCAAAAAACAGTGCCAAGGTTGAGAAACCCTGTTCTATTACTACTAAGGATATACCTCCTAATCTCTAGGACTCGAAGGGAGAAAAACATATTTAGTATCATGGACTTAAACTTAGAGCACATTTTCCATTCCAAAAAACAGTGCCAAGGTTGAGAAACCCTGTTTTATTACTACTACTAAGGATATAACTCCTAACCTCTAGGACTCAAAGGGAGAAAAATTTGTTTTTAGTATCATGGATTTAAACTTAGAGCACATTTTCTTCATCAAAACTAAGTAATAAATGGTAGTTAGCTTCAGCAGCATATGATAATATGCATGTACATAGTTATATAAATATAGTGGCAAAACAGTGTTTTAGGACTTAGAATAAAAAAGTATATTCAGGGTTTCAAATAACTCATAGAAACACTTATAAAAACCTTGCATTCAACTCATTTAACAAATATTTACTGAACAACTTCTACATCATACACTGTGATAGATACTGAGAATTCAACAATGAATCTTTACCTTCATGGAGCTTACAGTACTGAAAATTTCTTTTAGTCGTTATTTAACAAATAATTATTAAATACTTAATAGATGTCAGTTCTCTGGGTAAATGTGAATACAGTATAGTTCCTGTCATAGAGGAGCACATAATCCAGCAATGGAATGACAATGACATGTAAGCAAGAGACTGTAAAGCAAAGTAGTATGCATATTCAGCATCTCTGACGGTCTTTTTTTTCCCTCTCTGTATTTAGAAACTAAGAAAATAATATTTTCAAATTGCAATGGAAGTAGCAGGTATTATAGAAATTTGGCATACTCTGGCCGGGCGCAGTGGCTCATGCCTGTAATCCTAGCACTTTGGGAGGCCGAGGCAGCCAGATGACGAGGTCAAGAGATGGAGACCATCATGACCAACATGGTGAAACCCCATCTCTACTAAAAATACAAAAATTAGCTGGGCGTGGGGGTGCACACCTGTAGTCCCAGCTACTCGGGAGGCTGAGGCAGGAGAATCGCTTGAACCCGGGAGGTGGAGGTTGCAGTGAGCAAAGATCGCACTCCAGCCTGGTGACAGAGCAAGACTCTTGTCTCAAAAAAAGAAATAAATTTGGCATACTCTAAAGGCTTCTTTTTTAAAATTTGTCCTCCTGCTTTTTTCATGTAAGTCTATTGGGACAAAACTATGCCTTATGTATCCTCTTTTTTAAATCAAGGCTATTATAAAAGATTGTGAAAGAGTTTAATTTAAACTAAATATATGTCATTTTATTCTCCTCTTACCTGTGTTGTGATATGTATCTACCCATCCGCCATCACCATCATCTTCTTCAATGATAGCTTCCAATTCATCTGAATATTCCATCTGTTTGCACCGCTTATAGCACGGCACTATAAAAAAAATGGTAAATACAGTTAACTAGCACGTAATCTGCTAACCATAAATCCATTAGAAAGAAGAGAGCTTAGTCCATAAAATAGGGTGTTTATACCACCAAAGTACTAAGTGAATATTTCACTTTTAAAGGTGATTAAGAGTTACATTCAGCTCATAGACACATAATTATTTGGCTACATTTACCTTTTCCTAAATTGCTTTGTCAGAAGACAAGTAGAAAAGCTCTATTGGGAATGTTCTATGCATTCCTTTACCATGATGGTCTGTGAAGAACAGCAGGCTGATGTCAGAGATACATATCATAGTTCAATTTCAGTCTAATGAATAATAATACCTTATTTTAATGGCTTTACTTTCAGAACATGGAGCTACCAGCTATCATAGTCAGTGGTGGTAAAGGTGAACTCTTGTTTTCAAGGCTAAAGTAACTTTCAATATAAATTTTATAATTCATATTTAAGTTCCAGTTATTCACAATGGATAAAACAGTTTAAAATTCACCAACCTTCTGATTTTTACTTCTTTATACCACACTAGTAAGTTGTTCATACAGCAAATGTGTCAATTAACAGGTATTATTATTCATAAGCCTAAGATTGGGTAATTATATGGTAAAAGCATTATGGTATAAGGTCAACAAATTGCTTTTTAATCTCCTGATTTTTTTAAAACAATCAGGATATAAATTATCAGCCTTTGTAAAAAGAAATATGCTGTAGAAAAGAAAAAACTGCTGTTCTGTTCACTTTATTTTCCCTTTCCTATAATGAGTAAATTGGAACAGAAATCAATGTATTGTTTTGTGATTAGTTAGGAACTATAACAACCTTTTGATGTTGTTTTTAAATTTAACTTCATAAATAAAACACTACCTGTTTCAGCCAGGCGCGGTGGCTCACACCTGTAATCCCAGCACTTTGGGAGGCCAAGGTGGGCAGGTCACCTGAGGTCAGGAGGTCGAGACCAGCCTGACCAACATGGCAAAACCCTGTCTCTACTAAAAATACAAAAATTAGCCGGGCGTGGTGGCAGGCCTGTAATCCCAACTACTTGGGAGGCTGAGGCAGGAGAATCGCTTGAACCTGTGAGCCAAAATCAGGCCACTGCACTCTAGCCTGGGCAACAAAGTGAGACTCTGTCTCAAAACAACCAAAAAAAAAAAAAAAAAAACCACTACCTGTTTCAAAATATTTTTGTGTCCTTCAATGACACAACGGATAATAACATCGTCAGCTCTGAGCTTTTAGATGTCATAGGTAGTATGAATTTCATTTGCCATGCAAAATTTCAGTCTAAAGAAGATTAAAATCAAATACCTAGAAAGATTATTATGAAGCCAACTTCAAAAAAATCCACTTAGAAGTCTAACTTTCCTTAGGGCCCTCTTCCTTCGTATCTTGACAACTATATGTTTTTGGCAAAAAGAAATAACAGAAAGAGGTGATAAAACTAAGGAAAAAATTTTCAAGCAATAGAAAAACCGAGAGCTTCATTTTAATATACCTCTACGCAAAATTTATTCATATATGCAACATAATTCTTACCATTTTTGGTTACCAAAAATTGTTTGCCTGTTGGTAGGTATGCCTTCACTTTCAATTCTTCCCCTGTAGCCCTTTAAAAACAGTGAAAAGCACCAAAATACAAAACATATTTTAATAGGCAAATATACAGCAGAAAGTATTGCATATAAATCTCAAAATGATATAATCCATAATTCTCAGAAAATTGGTTTAAAATTGATTTGGGAAGGACTCCATTAAGTAATACATGTCAGGGCATGGAGAAAAGCACAACAATAATCTAAGTGAAACATACTAAGAGATGCAGATAGACCCAAGAGAATTTGGATTAAATATTAGACAAAAAAGGTAGAATAATATAGAACTATTAAGCAACTATTATGTTTGCCTCTAAACAACAATAAAATATGCTGCTCCTCAGTGAGTTGTAGCCCACTGTATAATCTCTCACATTTTTAATCCTAAAGTACTGCTGCTCATCTTGAGAACAAGAAAAGGCAGAAAAAAAAGCTGCATGACATTATGTAACACTGTAGGTGGCTGGCAAAATCCCTGTTCCTATCACTGGATTAAAATCAGAATTAAGAGATAAAAGATGCTCTGAATCATAAAATGACAATATTAATAATTCTTGAAAACAAAAAACCTTTTATTGAGTGCTTATTGAGTATAGAATTTAAGTCTCCAACATGTTATTTTCAATTAGTCTTCATAACTCTAAACAGTAGAACATATAAATATCCCATTTTATAGTTAAGTAAACTAAAGATTAAACAGATCAAGTTGCTTATGATCACAAAACTTGGTGGGAGAGCAAGGGTCAAAGCCAAGTGACTTCAGGGCTCCTACTCTTAAACACTGCTCCCTCTGTGGGTCAGAGCCAACTATCTACAACATTTCTGAGCTGCTCTGGCACCTCTTCTTAAGAATTTGTGGGTCATCTGAAAACGGTGAGAGGTGGAGTGGTATGTGGTGCCTTTCACAAACATATGGCCATAAATTTGGAGTTCAGCTGTCTTTTCAAGCTTCAGTCTAAAGTTCAAACCATAGATCTGGGCACAAGGTAAAGTCAGGAAATGCCCTAATATTATTTGACGGCCTTCTAGACTTCTTTTGACTAGTCCCAAGTGTCAAATTCAACAATGTCATGGCAACACCCGAAGTTCTGAGGAAAGAGTTAAAATAAGGTCATGATAGCACTTGTGCACGTGAAGGCATAAGCATGGAAATAACCTGGCTCTAGTGCTGATTTAAAATGAATTTTTCCTTTGGCCCAGGAATTTAGCCAAAAGTGTGGACACTGAAGTGGGGTATAATTCAGTTCTAAGTTACAATAAAAGTATTTAAATCACTCTAATTCATAAAATGGAATAAAACTACTAGTACCTGCTAAAAAAAGATCCCGTCCATATATACAAGCCCCTACAACAATGCTATAAATCAAATACCTAAACTACTTAATTAAGCTGGTAGAACAAAGAAATCTCAATGAAGAAAATGCTTATCATATAGAAAAAAACCTGAATCAGTTATTTTCACAAAATGAATACTACTGTAAACCTCATTTCCCTATTTGACTTGAAATACATATAAATTATAGACCAGAACCTAGCTAAATATAGTTTTAACAGAAAATCTGGAATACAGAAAGAAAAAAAAACCACCTTTATTAAATCAGAGATCTTCTATGACATGAATTTAATTTTAAATATGGAACAAAAAACACATGTAGGAGAGAAAAATACATAAAAACAAACTTGAAACTTTAGTCTTTTGGTACATAAATAATGCCCTACAAAATAAAGAGTAATTGAAAAAAGCAGTGACAACTGTTTCAGCGACACGGTAAGTATTAAAATGCAGGAGAATACCAGGCCACAGATGAAAGAGTTTGAAGCTAGAAAAACATTATCAATTGGAAACTTATTAATTATAGAATTCCTATCCCCAGTCAAAACTGTACCTTTCAACTACAATTGAAAAACAATTTTTAAGAAAAAAGATATATTAAGTTGAAGCACCTATATACAAACAAGGTGATAATTCCAAACAATCCTAGTTTAAATAAAAGTTCTGCCAATATTGGGATCATTTTTTCAGCTACCAACAGGGAGTCTTTATCGTGAGTACTTGGAAGTAATAAAACACTGTTATTATTCAGAATATTTTAAAATATAGATTGTGAAAACTGCTAAATTGCTTAAGGTACCTTAGTAATTAAAATAAAAGGTATTGAAAAAAAATAAAAACTTAAAGCCTCTTAAAAGCAGATTTATAATGAAGGCCTTAATTGGTATCATAAACCTTTCTTTTAGCTTTAGCCAGTTTCCTAAAGATGGAGCATACTTTTGAACCTAACAGAAAACGTTTATGTTTTATATTTTAAAGAACATAAAACTGCAAAATCTCTGCATTTATTAATGCCACAAACATGTTCAGTAAATTTTGTTAATTTAAAAAAAAAAAACCTGTTCAAAAATTTTTTTTTTTTTTTGAGACGGGAGCCTCTCACTCTGTTGCCCAGGCTGGAGTGCAGTGGCATCATCTCCGGCTCACTGCAAGCTCCACCTCCCAGGTTCACACCATTCTCCTGCCTCAGCCTCCCAAGTAGCTGGGACCACAGACGCCTGCCACCATGCCCAGCTAATATTTTGCATTTTTAGAGATGGGTTTCACCATGTTAGCCAGGATGGTCTCCATCTCCTGACCTCGTGATCTGCCCGCCTCAGCCTCCCAAAGTGCTGGGATTACAGGTGTGAGCCACCGCGCCCTGCCAAAAACCTGATCAAATTTTATTAAACTATTTATTATTCAAAGAACCAGAAGGTCAGACTTAGACACTATAAAGAAAAGAAGTAATAGTAAAGGAAGTAAATGCATTTTTCTCAAATTAGTCCATCATATTGTGCTAACATAGCCAAATAACATAGGTATAACACCCACTTGTTCTTCCTTTATTTTGAAGGGGCATTGTTTAACAGAAGAATCTGCTGGGGGGAAAGTTAAACTGGTCATTCTAATTTTCATCCATTAACCTATTTTGCAAATTGCTATAATTCTGAAGCCATGCATTTTACTAATTTTCTATTCTTTACTCAATATTACTTACCATTGCCATGTTGGACAGTGGTGGACTAGGTGATCTCCAGCTGCCACAAACTATTCAGGATTTAAAAGTAATATGAAAAAAAGGAAAAAGAAAAATCAAACATCACTGAATGTGCAAGGTGGCAAAATACCAAACTGATGGCACTAGGTAACACTGAAATCCAGTAAGCAATAAAAATATAAACAGCAACAAAGCTGCTCTACCAGCCTCAAGATTTATTTTTGATTATGACTAAACTGCAATGTTTTCTAATGTCCATAAAAAAATTCAAATTAATCTTGGAAGAAAAAACAAGTGCTGTTTTTTAAAAATTCAGTTTTTATAATTGGATTAAGTAATGCCAAAAGCAGTATAATGAAATTGATAAATGTAAGGCTATCAGATTTAAATTGTCAAAATCCATTTTAAGGATACAAAAATGTAGACACATTCTTGCCAATGACTGAAAATACAATAAAAATCTGAAAAAAATTACTAAATAGATACAAGTCTATAATGTAAGTCTACTTTATTATATCACTGGGCACACTTCTTCCTCTTCCTCTTTTATTATTTTTAAAAATTTAAGTGATTTTGAAAGCTTTTTTGCACTTCTAAAAGAGAAATGCAGTGCCAAAACAATGGGAAAAAGTTAGAAGCTTTTTGGTCTCACTCTGAAAACACCTACAAAATTAACAAATTGAATTCTCTCTAAAAAACCTTAGACTTCCTAAGCGGGCTGAATATTGTACAAGTTTTTGTTTTTCTTCAGAAATAAAAACCAGATTCAGGGAGATAAACTTTAACCATTTGAGAATTATCAGTTTACACGAACATGAGCTGATCTTACTGGCGAACAGAAATCCTGCTTATTTCTGAGGGCAGAAAATTTAAGTCTGTTAAGCATAACTGCAGTGTCCCAACTCAAGCAGGATGTGCATTGTCAGGCCTCTGAGCCCAAGCTAAGCCATCATATACCCTGTGACCTGCACGTATACATCTAGATGTGCTGAAGCAACTGAAGATCCACAAAAGAAGTGAAAATAGCCTTAATTGATGACACTCCACCATTGTGATTTGTTTCTGCCCCACCCTAACTGATCAAGGTACTTTGTAATCTCCCCCATCCTTAAGAAGGTTCTTTGTAATTCTCCCCATCCTTGAGAATGTATTTTGTGCCATCCACCCCCTGCCCACAAAACATTGCTCCTAACTCCACTGCCTATCCCAAAATCTATAAGAACTAATGATAATCTCACCATCCTTTGCTCTTTTCGGACTCAGCCCGCCTGCACCCAGGTGAAATAAACAGCCTTGTTGCTCACACAAAGCCTGTTTGGTGGTCTCTACACATGGACGCATGTGACACCCACATACTTGCCAAATTACTTCTATTTTGCAACAGCTCTAGCTTAAAATCTTGTATTGTTCATGGGTTTACTACACAGCAAAAAATTACAAAATATTTAATCTCTAATACCTTTGAGAAAGTATGCCTATATAAAATACTCTAGTTTAATTTGAGCATATAATTCTATCAAATAAGAATTCTAAGAATAACCTCTTTTAAGATGAAACATTAACAAGATATAGCAACTGGATTCCTGATAGAAACTTTATGTTTCTGTTCTTTTACTTCGAATAACCTTATTATTTAAACAGCCTAAGTAAAGACAAAAACCAAAATAAAAACAATAGTCTCTTCCCCAAATTTTGAGCACTTCGAGCTCATTGCAACCAGATGCTACATTTAGCTCTGTGGTTATCAGGAACTAATTTATTACCATTAAAAGTAATAATTTAACTAAATGAAAGCAAAATAATTAAAAATAAAAAATTCTTTCATTGTATTGCCTTGAGGTAACAAGACTAACATTTTATCTCATAGTCCCTATAGTATCTTCTATTTAAAAACAAGAACACTAGGAGGCAAGAAAAACGAAAAACAAAAAACAAAACAAAAAAAACACAGACTCACACTGATAATACATGTGTACATCTGCCCTCATTAGCAATGGCCATCATAACTTGCTTCACGTGTTCAAATGATGCAAGATTCAAATTTCTAAATGATCAATATTGCTTGCAATAGCTTTCTCTTAGAGACTAAAAATGTTCTCTTATTATCTTTATTATCAGTATATAATACTGACCAACTCCAACAAGAATCAATATTTACACCTTGGTGAGCAATTCCATTCCTCAAGCTAACCTCAATTAATAGTATTCTACTTAAACAAGTCATACATACATCCAACATTAGTTTTTTCTTTGTTTTTTGACAATACAGTATCAGATACTAGCTGCCCCTCTTTTTAAGCACAATACTGCCACACCTCTGAATGAAAACAAAAAGATAGCTGATGTCTGGCAGAAACTCAGAAACAGCAAGATGAAACAAATGAACAAATCAACTCAGTATATAATATTTACACAAAGCAAATGATGCCTTCCCATTTCCTCCTCCAGGCTCATTCTACTCTAACTCAATCCTGTAATTGTGCTCTATCCCAACCCTGCATTATGTAATAGACAGCCAGCTGGGCTAATTTGGCCTTGGATTTTTTTAGAGAGGAAAATTCATAAATTGATTGATGTTGTAATTAAGTGTAACAGTTATTTATTCTAGGATGAATTCCTGTTTTGAAACTGCTTAATTCTATCCAATGACCACAGACTTTGCATCTCTAACTGCAACTATATATTCAACAATTAGTCATCTTCACAGAGGAAATAAAACCAAAGAGTGCAATAAGAACAGCATACTTTCATCTCCGCTCTTGATTTCAGATAAAGAGCCATGTTCAAATTACACCTCTGTTTGGCAAGAATGTTAATGATATCCTTAAAATCAAAACTTAGTTTTATTTGGCATTTGAGGTAATAAAACCTAAGGCAGAATAGGATCTTTACAGAATGTCTAGCCCACAACCGTTATTTTATAGATGAGGAAACATGAAGCCTCGGCAGGGATAGTTTAACTGATTTCCTCATTAGGAGAAATTACCGTCCCGTCCGGGAGGTGAGGGGCGCCTCTGCCTGGCCGCCCCTACTGGGAAGTGAGGAGCCCCTCTGCCCGGCCGCCCCTACTGGGAAGAGAGGAGCCCCTCTGCCCGGCCAGCCGCCCCATCCGGGAGGGAGGTGGGGGGGTCAGCCCCCCGCCCGGCCAGCCGCCCCGTCCGGGAGGTGAGGGGCACCTCTGCCCGGCCGCCCCTACTGGGAAGTGAGGAGCCCCTCTGCCCGGCCACCACCCCGTCTGGGAGGTGTACTCAACAGCTCATTGAGAACGGGCCATGATGACAATGGCGGTTTTGTGGAATAGAAAGGGGGGAAAGGTGGGGAAAAGATTGAGAAATCGGATGGTTGCCATGTCTGTGTAGAAAGAGGTAGACATTGTAGACTTTTCATTTTGTTCTGTACTAAGAAAAATTCTTCTGCCTTGGGATCCTGTTGATCTGTGACCTTACCCCCAACCCTGTGCTCTCTGAAACATGTGCTGTGTCCACTCAGGGTTGAATGGATTAAGGGTGGTGCAAGATGTGCTTTGTTAAACAGATGCTTGAAGGCAGCATGCTCGTTAAGAGTCATCACCACTCCCTAACCTCAAGTACCCAGGGACACAAACACTGCGGAAGGCCACAGGGTCCTCTGCCTAGGAAAACCAGAGACCTTTGTTCACTTATCTGCTGACCTTCCCTCCACTATTGTCCTGTGACCCTGCCAAATCCCCCTCTGCGAGAAACACCCAAGAATGATCAATTAAAAAAAAAAAAGAAATTACAGAAATAGGTCTAGAAGGCAGGTCTCCTAGGTTATTTCCATACTACCATGTGTCTTCACCAAAAACAAAAGACAATTTTAGAGAAAAGATTAGTTATGCAAACCATTTTTTTTTTTCAGACGGAGTCTCGTTCTGTCGCCCAGGCTGGACTACAGGCGCCCACCATCACGCCCCGCTAATTTTTTATATTTTTAGTAGAGACGGGGTTTCGCCCTGTTAGCCTGTATTCCGCCTGCCTCTGCCTCCTAAAGTGTTGGGATTACAGGCGTGAGCCACCACGCCCAGCACAGAAACCATTCTTAAAACTCACAAGGAGCCGGGCGCAGTGGCTCAAGCCTGTAATCCCGAGGCAGGCGGATCACGAGGTCAAGAGGTCGAGACCATTCTGGCCAACATGGTGAAACCCCATCTCTACTAAAAGTACAAAACTTAGCTGGGCGTGGTGGCGCTCACCTGTATTCCCAGCTACTTGGGAGGCTGAGGCAGGAGAATTGCTTGAACCCAGGAGGCAGAGGCTGCAGTGAGCCAAGATCGCGCCACTGTGCTCCAGCCTGGTGACAGAGGGAGACTCCGTCTCAAGAAAAAAAAATTAAAAAAACCACAAAGATTTGGAACTAGACAAATTCCATCACAACTGAAAATTGAAAGATCAGTTAATTCTCTAGCTCCACACCTTGGACCTTAACAGCAGCAGCCTTATCATAAAATAAGGCTTAAAACGTTTGTTTCAAAACAGTGAATAAAGTTCTATTGCCAAAAAGTGGTGTTTTCATTGGCAGAAAAAAAAAAATTCAAGCTTAAATAAATTGTCTCTTATTAAGAACAACCTAAGTCTGATAAAACCATAATTATTCATAAAATTGGAGCCTGAAAAGGTTTTTAGCCCAGTATTTACTTCTCCACCGACAACGAAATAGAACTCTTAAGAGAAAACAATATCTAAGTAGTAAGCAAAGTTTTCCAATGAAAAGCATGAAAACTCACATTTGATGTAAACAGAACCAAGACACCACAGACATTACAGAGCTTACTGCACAGCTCAATATAACACCAATACAAGTCAAGGATAAGTGACATAGGACTCATTTTGATCCCTTCTTTCACCCTCATTTCTAAATAAAGAGGAACTACAGAGAAATATGAGAAGTGGCAAACTGACGGGGAAGTTACATCTTTTCTTCTATGGGAAGTAGAAATTCCCATAAATCACAGTCATAAAACCTAATTTTACTCAAATCAAAATTAAAGTTCAAGATGTTTTCTTATGAAGCAGAAAAGCCACCTAGTTTAGTATTATTGTAAAATAAAAAGACTTCAGTATATCTTCAGCACTCACCTCTTCTGGGGTAATTACACCTGTTTCCTTAAACTTTGATTCCTAAAAAAAGCAGAAAGAAAAACAATATTATATCATGTTTCACTATCAATTAAATATATTTTGGGGGCAATTATTTGCCTGGTGCCCTTCTAGGCAATAGAGCACATACAAAAAAAAATTAGTCTATCTATCTAATCTATAATCTATCTAATCTACCTATCTACCTACCTCATTGGTATCTATCTATATCTATCTATCTGTTTCACTCACTGGTAATGACCACAGGAATATACAAGTCTAATGTAGGAAACAGACATGAAAATAATTATAATACTATCAGATCAGTGCTATAATAGAGTAAAGCTCTATGTAGAAACATTCTTTTTTTTTTTTTTTAAGATGGAGTTTCACTCCTGTTGCCCAGGCTGGAGTGCAGTGGCGCCATCTTGGCTCACGGCAACCTCCACCTCCCGGGTTCAAGCGATTCTCCTGCCTCAGCCTCCTGCCTGTAGCTGGGATTACAGGCATGTGCCACCATGCCCGGCTAATTTTTGCATTTTTAGTAGAGACAGGGTTTCTCCATGTTTGTCAGGCTGGTCTCGAACTCCTGACCTCAGGTGATCCACCCGCCTCGGCCTCCCAATGTGCTGGGATTACAGGCGTGAGCCACTGCGCCCGGCCAAGCTCTATGTACAAACATTCTAAGATTTAAATAAAAATAAAGCCTTACAGTGATTCTGTGAAATGAACAAATACCTTTATTTTACAGCACAGCAAAAATGTCTTAAAGATGTTTAGACATCTTACAATTCAGCCAGTCTTATTTAAACTGAATAATGTTAGAAACCAAATCTAGAAATTATTTAGCATTTTCCTCTAATTCTCATCTCCACCAAGATACTGACACACTATTCTCTAAATTTTTCTAAACTTTAAGTTATATGTAAGATTTTCTGGTAGAGTCTACAAAAATGAAAACACTCATTTATAAACATTATTCATTCAACAAATGTTTACTATGTGCCAGACACTATTTGAGGCAGTGGGGATATTTGGGGGTGAATAACATAAATACAAATTTATTCTTGCCCTCATAAGGAGTTTCAACTCCAGTTGAGGAAGAAAAGCCAAATGGTAATGAATAACATACCATAAAGAAAAATGAAGCTGAGAGGAATCTGTGGGGTGGCTGGGGAGAGATGGCCATTTAAAATAGAATGGTAAGAGAACAAAGACTTCACTGAATAATGACTTAAAAACCTTAAGGAAAGGAACATGCCATAAGGCTGTTAAGTGCGAAGCGCGTTTCAGATAGAGGGAAGAGCACATGCAAAACCCCAAACCAAGAGTGTGCTTAACAGAATAATAAAGAGATCAGGTTAGCTTAAGCAACAGCAGTCAGGGGATGGAGCAGATGAGATTGGGGCCTCTACCAATTAAGCAGAACCTTAGAGATGATTGTAAGAACTTCAGTGTTTACTGCATGTACATACTCCAAACAAAACATGATTTTTCTTAATTTTTACTTGCTAGGAGAAGGCTATTACTTATTTCCTGAGGATTTTGTTCTTTCTCCTTGCCCTCCCTAAGCAGGAAACTGTAAGGATTCTCTCTGTAAACAACAGTTTGCACAGGAGTATCAAGGAGACGGTCATTCATTCTTTCCTTTTTACTAAAGACATATACCATACATACTGACATGCCAACAGTTCCTTTTCAGTTTGGTGAGCAAGTATGATGGACTCCTGAAAACATAATTCTACATCATACATTTTATATTTCATTTGGGCAGTCTCTTGCTCCTCTCTCCCGGAAACTAAAAAGTTGTACAATGGTGTATTATTAAAATACTGTATACCTAGGTAGATATGATATTCTGAAAAGTTAACATAATTATGTAAAAGCATTTGATTCAAATGTGAAAATTATTTTCCAATCTTAGTTTGACTGAATAATCTTAAAATGACTTTCACAGTAAACAAATGTAAGCAAAGCAACAGTTGAAATTCTCATTTATAATCGCTGGTTTATTTCTTACTTGGCCAATAAGTTATTCTTTTAAAAGGAGCTTTACAAAAACGTATTTTAAAAAGTATAGACCTAGTACTTCCCTTTGTCATGGAAAGGGAGCAAAGCAAAACTCTCCACTATTCTTAGCATATTAAGGTATTTCACCCCCACACTGAGATTGGTACATTCTAACTGAAAGCTTAAAAACAACTAGAAAAAAAAAACAAAAACTAAGCAAGAACTTCCCATTAATTTACTATTCTTGCTCACTTTTCAGAAAGCAAAAATGAAGTTACAACAAAACACTCCAAAAGAGTTATAAAAGAAAAGCTTGAAGGCAGTTGTAGAAATTTACCTTTAAAAAAAAAATCAGTCACTACTGTAACAGCTAATGTGTCACAATTTTTTACTTTAAAAATGCTGTACTGTTGCCAATATATTTTTAAAAATTATACAGCCAGGAAGGTCAAACCGTGCCTTGTTATCACTAATAACCAGCTACGGCTATCTGAAAAGCTTGGGAAAAAGGTTTTGCTCGTTAGATGGGTTCAAGGTTACTGAATGAGATAATGTTGCCAATTTCACCTCCTTCCTCTGAAATCTAAACGAGTTGGGATCGCAGTCACAACTTCCCCACTACAGCGGACTTTCATGAAACTTAAAGGAAAAGTGACCTCACCTCAGGTCTCTTTTGACCTCTGTGTGTCAAACACTAAATTCATTTTTTAAAGAGAAGCAAAATCCTTGCTTAAAAAGGCTAAAAGACTTCCAGTGTTTGGATTTAACGTTCTTCAATCTACTCAGCCTCCGAACACCCTTCCAACCCGACGTACCCGACCGCGCAGAGTTATGACGGGAGAAGGCAGGAACACGCAGAGCGTCGCTCCAAGTTTACCCCTGAGGAGTCAGAAAGCCCTAACGAACAGCCGGTTAAGACTACGGGTGGGGGCTGCACACTTCCCTGTGTCTCGAGCCCTACTGCCTTCCTACACCTTGCCCCGCCGGAGAAAGCGGGGACTCCTGCGGCGCCTGGTCCCTGAAAAGTCGAGCATGTGCCTGACAGCTCCCGGCAACCCTGGCCTGGCTTACCTTGAGGACCGGGGTCAGGTACTCAGCCACTTCCAGTGCCTTTCCCTTCACAGTATTAATCACATTCTGCATCCTGGGGCCGGAGTAGCGGCCGGCCCCGCGACGGGATGGAAAGTGCAGCCGTGTCAGGGGCCAGGGAGTCAGAAAATGTCCTCGCTGCCACCGACTCGCATCAGCACCCGGCTGGCAGCACCCGAGGGGACGGGACGCGACGCGACGGGACGGGCGGGACGAGGGGGCGGGGCGGCAGGCACAGCGCGCGAAGACGGGGTGCGCGATCCTCGCACCCCAGGCAGCCCGCGACGGACCGGACCCAGCTGTCACCCAGCCGCGAGGGAGGGCAGCGGGGCCGAAGGGAGACCTGAGGTGAGAAGCGGACGCACACGCACCCCTCGCCCTCTGCGAGCTGTCTGTCCTCGCTTTGCTTCACTCGCGCCCCTTCCGGCTTCCCTTCCTTCTCACTCTCTTGCCGTAGCTGCGCCGCCACCGGGGCCTCACGTGACACTAGACTCTCCCGGCACGTGACGTGAGAAAGGGGCCGGGCTGGGGCGGGATAAGCCGCTTCTCCCCTCCTTCCGGAAGCGTAACACTGAACGTGCCTGCGCAATGGGTGTCGGGTCCGCTTTTTCCCAATCCGGACGTAATCGTGGTTTTTGTTCTGCAATAGGCGGCTTAGAGGGAGGGGCTTTTTCGCCTATACCTACTGTAGCTTCTCCACGTATGGACCCTAAAGGCTACTGCTGCTACTACGGGGCTAGACAGTTACTGTCTCAGCTCTAGGATGTGCGTTCTTCCACTAGAAGCTCTTCTGAGGGAGGTAACCGCGCCCCGCGGGCAAGGAATTGCGCCTGCGTCTGAGGGGAGGGTGCGCCAGTGAAGAGCCCTACTGCGCATGTGTGACTAGAAGGGTAGTCCCTGACTGTGAAGGGAAATCTGGCCCCCTCCTGTCGGGGAGGCGTCCTGTAGGCGTGCGCCCAATGGGGCTGTCAGTATTGGCATTTCTCCCCACTCCCCGCAGGCTCTATGCGCTATTCCTACAGTACGCTGGGAGGCTTTGGGCAAGTTACTTACCCAACCTGGGGTTTAGTGTCCTCAGCCTATCAAAAGAGGGCCTTAGATTCATTGATTTCTACGATCTCCTCCATTTCAAACACTAACTAGTTCAGTAAAACTTTACAGCAGTGTTTCAGATATTTCCATTTTGGTCGTTATTGTAATGAAGTCTGTCCTAATAAGCTTTTTCCTCCGAGGGAAAAGAGGAGGAAAATACAATTCTGAAAGCCTTATCTTACAGCAAAATTATTTACTAATAAGAGTAAAAGCGAGGCCGGGCGCGGTGGCTCACGCCTGTAATCCCAGCACTTTGGGAGGCAGAGGCGGGCGGATCACAGTCAGGAGTTCGAGACCAGCCTGGCCAACATAGTGAAACCCCGTCTCTACTAAAAATACAAAAATTAGCCGGGCGTGGTGGCGGGCGCTTGTAGTCCCAGCTATTCTGGAGGCTGACGCAGGAGAATCGCTTGAGTCCGGTAGGTAGGGGTTGCAGTGAGCCAAGACCGCGCCGTTGCACTCCAGCCTGGGTGACAGAGCGAGACTCCGTCTCAAAATACATAAATAAATAAAATTTAAAAATAAAATTCAAAATTGCTTTGAAGAATTCTTTTCTGCTGTTGCAAAGTGTCATTTGCTCACCTGCTACCTTTGTCAGCAGGTCTAATCTGGTTCTACGTTTTCTGTCTCCAGAGTACTCCCTCTTATCAGATTTTCACTTTCCTTTTGTCATAGTTTCTTTATGCCTCAACTTTCTTGGTGCTGATATAGTCATAGCCAAAATTTTTTAAAAATTCCTTTTTTGTCCTCACGATCAATGGTATTTGCGTTTAGGGTCTGCCAACAAGGTCGTTCATGAAAGTGTTTTTCTCTTTAAGGTAATTAAAAAACAGTGGAATGGAAAAACAGTGCTGTAGTCATCCTGTAATATGCTCCTTGTCAACAATGTATACATTCCTGCTAGGTGCCATATTCATTGCTTTAAGCTCAAGTCGCATCTTACTAGTGAAGTATTCTGCCAATGAAGGTAAGTTAAGACTTGGTATATGCATGGAGCACTTCCATCTAATCACACATCTCTCTCTTGCCTTTGGTTCTGTTATATATAACATGGAAATAATAATGCCTTTTGCTTCATGTGAGTGATAAAGCATATTTAAATTTGATTATTTAACCTTGCATTCCTCAACAAGAAAAAATGTTTGATAATGGATGAAATGTGAGTCAATCAGATACAAAAATCAAACCCTTTGGTGAAGAACCAGTCGTAACATTTGACTGTTAATTCAATCAACAGGTGTTTCTGGACCTATAGCAAAATGTGTAATTGCGCCTTATTTTGAAGTAGAAGGATATATTTGTTTGGTCACTTGGCATTTGTGAGGTACTTACTATTGTAATTATTGTATCAATGGTAAGGTGTCAGCATTATATTGTGCGGTCATATTGTATCAACAGTATAAATTATAAGCTTTGATAAGTATGTATTTAAGAAATCTTTTTTTATGTAGGGATTTAAGCAAACACTTTAATTCCACAAAACTGTATTGAGTACTTCTTACTAGTTATTGAGTGAAGGGGTGGGTTGCCCCTCCACATCTGTGGGTGTTTCTCGTTAGGTGGAACGAGAGACTTGGAAAAGAAAGGGACATAGACAAAGTATAGAGAAAGAAAAAAGGGGGCCCAGGGGACCGGCGCTCAGCACACGGAGGATCTCTGCCAGCCTCTGAGTTCCATTAGTATTTATTGATCATTATTGGGTGTTTCTCGGAGAGTGGGATGTGGCAGGATCATAGGATAGTAGTGGAGAGAGGGTCAACAGGTAAACACGTGAACAAAGGTCTCTGCATCATAAACAAGGTAAAGAATTAAGTGCTTTGCTTTAGATATGTATACACATAAACATTTCAATGCCTTAAAGAGCAGTATTGTTGCCCGCATGTCCCACCTCCAGCCCTAAGGCGGTTTTCCCCTATCTCAGTAGATGGAATATACAATCGGGTTTTACTCCGAGACATTCCATTGCCCAGGGACGAGCAGGAGACAGATGCCTTCCTCTTGTCTCAACTGCAAAGAGGCGTTCCTTCCTCTTTTACTAATCCTCCTCAGCACAGACCCTTTACAGGTGTCGGGCTGGGGGACGGTCAGGTCTTTCCCTTCCCACGAGGCCATATTTCAGACTATCACATGGGGAGAAACCTTGGACAATACCTGGCTTTCCTAGGCAGAGGTCGCTGCGGCTTTCCACAGTGTTTTGTGTCCCTGCGTACTTGAGATTAGGGAGTGGTGATGACTCTTAACGAGCATGCTGCCTTCAAGCATTTGTTTAACAAAGCACATCTTGCACAGCCCTTAATCCATTTAACCCTGAGTTGACACAGCACCTGTTTCAGGGAGCACAGGGTTGGGGGTAAGGTTACAGATTGCAGAACAAAATGGAGTCTCCTATGTCTACTTCTTTCTACACAGACACAGTAACAATCTGATCTCTCTTTTCCCCACAATTGAGGACACATACAATCATGATATGACCTTTAATGGTCTACTACTTGGAGAGTCAGATGTGTACCCAAGTCTCTACTGCAGTTAACATTTACCTGCCAGGCACTAGGCTAAGTATTAGCAGCAGGTTCAAAGTGCATAAGATATAGACCTTGTCCTCAAGACTTAGTTTATTAGGAGAGACATGAATGTAAACACATCATGAAAATCCATTATAATAACTGCAATAATTGATATATCCTGAAGATGCAGAGATTGTCTAGAGGATAAAGTTATATATTCTGTTTGGTAGGGGATGATGTGGAGTTCAAATGGATCAGAGAACACTTCGCTGATTAGAAGTCAGTTGATCCACTAGAAGTCAAGGTGAACAAGGGGATTCAAAACAGAGGCAACAGCCTGTAAAAGGGAACAGAGGCATAAAAAAGCAGGATATGTTGTGAGAATATGTAGTTTGAAATTACCAAGCAAAAAGTTTAAGGACTCGTAGCCAGGCACAGTGGCTCATGCTGTAATCCCAGCACTTTAGGAGGCCAAGGCCGGCGGATCACTTGAGGTCAGGAATTTGAGACCAGGCTGGCCAACATGGTGAAACCCATCTCTACTAGAAATACAAAAAATTAGCTGGGTTTGTTGGCGTGTGCCTGTAATCCCAGCTATGAGGGAGACTGAAGCAGGAGAATGAACCCGGGAGGCAGAGATTGCAGTGAGCCGAGATCATGCCACTGCACTCCAGCCTGGGCAACAGAGCAAAACTGTCTCAAGAAAAAAGAAAAAAAAAAGTTTAAGGACTCAGAAGAAAGAGAAGGAGTGGTTGGCTGGAGAGAGGTTGGTAAGTCTCAGATTTTTAAGGACTTCATATTCCATGGTAAGGAGCTGGGACCTTAGTCTCTAGGCCAGTCTGAGGGATAAGGGATACTTGAAGGATTATAAATAGGAGAGTAAAATGAGGGACTGTTATGGTAGCTGGATGGCAGTGGAAAAGACAGGAAGCTCAATAGCCAGTTAAGGGGTTATTGCAAAGTAAAGCCATAGGTGATGAAGACTAACTTAGTGTTTTGGAAGTAGTAAGATAAATAAGGAGTATTCAGAACATAGAAAAGACAGGATTTGGAGAATGTATTGAATATGAAAATTAAAAAAGATAACATATAGCTCCAAGGTTTCTGGTTTGAATGCTGAGTGGATTGATGCTGTTCTTAGCTGAGATGGAGACTATTAGGAGGAAGAGTAGGTTGGGCAGAGTTTGAAAAGATTGTAGTTGAAGAGGTCAGGAGCTATGTCCCTACTGCAGTTTTCTGCAGTATCTGGCATGTCATGCACATGAGGGAAATACCAATTATATGAATAAATAGGAGGTAGGTTTTCGTTTGGATATTTATAGTGGGCAATAAGTTAAATGTTCTAGAATATAGATTTGGGGACATTAATGTCAAATTGATATTTAAAACTTAAGGAACAGAGAGAGGACTCATGCAGAATGAGAAAATAAAGAGGGCCAAACTCCGAGGAATGCCAGCATTTAAGTGACATGCGGACACCAGAAAAGCATTAAGGAGACATCATTAGCGAGATGGGATAACTAAATGCACATGACTCATAGAAAGGAAAGAAAGTTTGAAGACTGAGAAAGAATGGCAACATCATGATAAGCTAAAGATTAAAGGATACCCTTTAGAGTTAAGAATGAGAATATGTTTGATAATCTCAGAAAGGAGTTAGTTTCAGATATCAGATTACTTGGAGATAAGACCTGAATGGAAAGTGAGTAAAGGGCAGATAAAGAACGTTGATACTGTTTCAGGGAGAGATGGAGAAGGTATGGTAGCTAGAGGAAGTAGTATTTTATATTTTGTTTTTCAGATGCGAGAGTTTTGAGCATGTTTGTAGGCCAAGGGCAGTAAGCCAGTTAGTAGAGAGGAAGATAAAAAAGATACACTGGGTGTGGTGGCTCACGCCTATAATCCCAGCACTTTGGGAGGCCGAGGCGGGTGGATCACGAGGTCAGGAGATCAAGACCATCCTGGCTAACACAGTGAAACCCCATCTCCACTAAAAATACAAAAAATTAGCCGGGCGTGGTGGCGGGCACCTGTAGTCCCAGCTGCTTGGGAGGCTGAGGCAGGAGAATGACGTGAACCTGGGAGGTGGAGCTTGCAGTGAGCTGAGATCACGCCATTGCACTCCAGCCTGGGCAACAGAGCAAGACTCTGTCTCAAAAAACAAAAAACAAAAACAGACAAACAAACAAAAAGATACACTAAAGCCAAAGGAAATGGAGCCAAGTATCTGAGAAGGGAAGATTTGTTTTGAGTTGGAGTCTCGCTCTGTCTGGAGTGCACTGGCGCGATCTCAGCTCACTGCAACCTCCACCTCCCAGGTTCAAGCATTCTCTTGCCTCAGCCTCCCGAATAGCTGAGATTACAGGCATGTGCCACCATGCTCAGCTATTTTTTTGTATTTTTAGTAGATACGTGGTTTCACCATGTTGACCAGACGTGGTTTTACCATGTTGGCCACTCCTGACCTCAAGTGATCCACCTGCCTCGGCCTCCCAAAGTGCTGGGATTACAGGCATGAGCCACTGCACCCAGCTAGAAGGGAGGGTTTTAAAGGGGACATTGGATTAATAGTCGGGCCTTAGCCCCTTCCTCTGGGGCTGAAGGGAAACCAGTGAATGCCATGTAGAAAGGTATGTTAGTGTGGGCAGGAGATGTGTGGAGGGAAATCACATACCATGTTGTCATATGGTCTGGGATCGGCCGTGAAAGGACTGCAAGAAAACCACTGAAAAGCAAGAACAAGCTAAAGAACAGTGACAAGGGTTTGAAAGTTATAATCCAAAGTCCCCCCTTCTTATATGCACATGTTGGCTTATGTGTATCATGATGGATCATGAGAAGTATCATTGGAGGATAACAGAGTGTGAGTTAAGTCTAGCATTTAACTGAGAAAAAGGAGATGTTTTGACTATGCTTTGAATGATGGGGTAAAGTTGAACAGGCAGATATTTAAATTCAGGTGAACATTTATTAAGTGCCTGCTAAGTGCCAGGTATATGAACGTGACAAACATGGTCCATTTCTTGTAAGGATCTTCCATTCCATTTCACTTCACACACTTCCAATGAGACAAGTAGGGCCACAGAGGTTTAGAGGTAGTGCTATAAGAACAGAGATGAATAAAGAATTGATTCTGATTAGTTTGAGAAGGTCAAGGGAAACCACAGGAGAGTGGAAGAAAGTGTTCTGGATAGACAGTGTCCACTTGGCTTTTTTTCCCTACATTTGGCCAATTTTGGTTTAATGTGACTGAGAGAAGCAAGCAAATGTCTTCAAAAGTGGGGAAAATGCATTCCTGAAAATAGTACCCAATAAAGTTTATGTTTATCCTTGGCAAAATTGTAAAGCGAGTTGTTTGTAAGCATTTAGAAGAGACAGGTAACAGTTAAGATGAAGTCATACCAACCAAACCTCACTTCCTAATTCTATTGATTTGCAGTTTAGGATGTAGCTTTCCAACTCATCAGTGGGTTTGGATGTGTCCAAGTATTTCCTCTCGGCCCTAAAGGTAGCAGAGCCCTAGGCCAGTTGCCTCTTGCCTTAGATAGTTTCCTTCTTTACCTCAGTGTACCATTTATCCCAGAGTGCCAAACAAATATTAATGTTTTCTGTGTGTACCGTGATATAAAACAGATTGGAAAACTCTTAAGGGGATGTCATAGACAGAGTGTACCTCAATTTTAGCAAGGCAAAGAAATCACAAGAAGAATTATGAGCTGAGTAATAATTCAGCAGGTCAGTTCATAGCTGTTGCATGAGTCGGTGTTGATTGATGGTCAATTTAGCAGGCAGCCTCTGATGCCATGCCACAGAGCTTTCTTTGCCCTTAGTCCTAGCCTCCTTAATGTATTAGCAACTTGGATGAAGACATGAGAGGCTGTTTAACAAATTCAAGGATAATAAAAAGCCAAATGGGATAGGGATAGCTAATACATTAGGTGAATTGATTAAAAAATCCAAAGGAGCAAAGGCAACTGGAAGAAACTTAATATAACCAGTAGTAAATCCAGCTTTTAAATTTTAAAACAATTATGTTATACTGTATATAAACATACATGGAATAAAATATATAGTTAAAAAACATTTCTGTTACATTTCAGAAAACAAGTATGATTATCTTCCAACTACTGTGAATGTGTGCTCAGAACTGGTGAAGCTAGTTTTCTGTGTGCTTGTGTCATTCTGTGTTATAAAGAAAGGTAAGTCTTGAAATGGTACTATATACTTGTTAATCATAGGACCAAAAAATGTTAGAACTGGAAGGAACATTTTGTATCATTTAGCTTAGTCCATTAAATTTTATATGAGGAAGCTAAGATACAAACATAAGTATGTTTTAGAGGTGGAGAAACAAGCTCAAAGAGAAAGTGTTAATGCAGAGCTGCATAGGAAGGGGAGGAGCTGGGACACCAACTCATGTTTCCTAATGCCCTTCCTATTACTCTATCTTGTTACTTGTTCTGTGATAGTTTCATACAGTAAGTTAGTTTTTATTCAAATTAAAGATTTTCTAAATCGTGCTAACTTGAGATGTATCATATTTCAAAATAGTTCCCATTTCCTGCAGGGAAGGTAGCATAGTGCACAGGCATCAAAGAGACTGTTCTGGGGCAGATTATTTTCTCTGAGCTCCAGTTTTCTGAGCTATCACATAGGGATACTAATTCCTTTCTCAAATGTAAAGTATATAGCCTTCCATGGAATGTATATGCTGTTTAATATACATTAATTCTTCACCTTAGTTCCCCAATTATTGCGCCTCCGCTCCCTCCCTCTGCCTCTTTCATATACCTTCACACATGAGGTAAACGTAAACTTTAGAGCATTGAAGTGTTTGCCCAGCAAGATGTCTTTTCATATTCCAGGGTTTCAAACTTTGCAGTTTCTCGTTAGTGACTACTTTTCTTAATCTCATAAAACTCAATGCATTATTTGCAGGGCCTTAAACTGCCTTTGTTTTCTTTTTGTTTTACATTCTCTCTGCTACAGTGCCTAAGTTTTTAGAAACCTAGAGATGGAATAATAACTGACAGGATTACTAAAAGTTAACTTTCTCTAGTTCCATATATATAAATTTCGATTTAGTATCCCCCTTTCCTGATTTGCCCTGGGGGGCAAAAATTCCAGTATGAAGCCTTGATTTTTTTTTTTTTAACTTATTTTAACTTGTTGATCTCCCTGTTGGCCTTATGCTCTTACAGCAGCAAGAGAAACCACATATTTATTCTGAGTTGCCTTAAGTAATACTTCTGTTATCTCAAATTAACAGGAATTAGGATAACCAGTAGTCCTAAGGTTGTTGCTGATTGTCAGTGATGAAACTGGTGGGTTGAAGAGAGACAGTAATGAAATGGAGGCACGTTTATAAAGCTCCCTTTAAAGAATTGTATCAGTAATCAAGTGCAGTGTAATTTCTCTAAAAATGTGGGCATTCTCATCAAGGTCATTTACACCGTGTTTCTTTCTAAGATCATCAAAGTAGAAATTTGAAATATGCTTCCTGGAAGGAATTCTCTGATTTCATGAAGTGGTCCATTCCTGCCTTTCTTTATTTCCTGGATAACTTGATTGTCTTCTATGTCCTGTCCTATCTTCAACCAGTAAGTAAATATGAAAAAGAAAATACCATTGAAAAGATACAGAGAAATAAATCCCAGAATTTTTTTTTTTTTATCATTTTTGTTGGCATTGTTAGTTTCTCATTGTCCTCACTGGCCTTCCTGAGATTTCCCCAGAATTATCTGAGTCCTGAATTATCAATATGCGTGCCAGGTTCTCTTAAATGGTCAAGATTACTGTATTAAACTGGGCTGACTACCATGGGGGAGTTGCTCCCTAGACCAAGAAATCTGAAGCCACCTCTTTTTATGTAACCCTAATTAGTATGCCTATTTTCTGAGACGTCCTGTGGCCACTAACCTCTAATTATCTCAGCATCCAGGACCTCATCCAAGAAAACTTCCCTGATTAACTCAGAAAGTTAAACACTCAATGTACCTTTCTTACACCTGTTTTAATGTAGTTTATATGAATTTTATTTGTATGGTTTTCTTTTCTGTTAGTCATGTCATTTAACCAACAAATTCTTCAAGGGTAGGGATCATGTCCTCCCAACTAGAAATGCCATCTATAACTGATAATGCTGGAAATACTTCTCATCTTTCTTGGCATCCTTTGTGTCAGTTTAGAAAGCCATTAGTAATCCGAGCTGGAGTTTGGTTTTTCTGCTTTCACTTATTACTCAGTTTGGGTCACAATAGGTCACATGTATATTTCCCTTTAATATTTTATAAAATGAAGATTTCTATTGCCTTTATTGCCAAAATGTGTTTTAAATTTCTTTAAAAAGTAAATTCAGGCATTTGATTATAAATAGGATTTCTATTGCTACCAGTCTTCTCTGTGAAGTTTCTTAAATATAAGCAAATCAGAGTGGGATGAAAAGGAGGGCTCAAGATAGAACTGTATTAGCCTGTTCTCACACTGCTAATAAACACATACCCAAGACTAGGTAATTTATAAAGGAAAGAGGTTTAATGGACGCACAGTTCCACAAGGCTGGGGAGGCCTCACAGTCATGGCGGAAGGCGAAAGAGGAGCAAAGTCATGTCTTACATGGCAGCAGGCAGGAGAGCTTGTGCTGGGGAACTCTCATTTATAAAACCGTCAGATCTCATGAGACTTACTCAGTACCATGAGAACAGTATGGGTGAAACCTCCGCCATGATTCAGTTATCTCCACCTGGCTTGGCCCTTGACATATGGGGATTACAATTCAAGGTGAGATTTGGGTGGGACACAGCCAAACCCTATCAAGAATTATAGTAGAAAACAGGTGTTTGACTTTCCACAGTTTTTTTTTTTTTTTTTTTTTTTTTTTTTTGAGACGGAGTCTTGCTCTGTCGCCCAGGCCGGACTACGGACTGCAGTGGCGCAATCTCGGCTCACTGCAAGCTCCGCTTCCCGGGTTCACGCCATTCTCCTGCCTCAGCCTCCCGAGTAGCTGGGACTACAGGCGCCCGCCACCGCGCCCGGCTAATTTTTTGTATTTTTAGTAGAGACGGGGTTTCACCTTGTTAGCCAGGATGGTCTCGATCTCCTGACCTCATGATCCACCCGCCTCGGCCTCCCAAAGTGCTGGGATTACAGGCGTGAGCCACCGTGCCCGGCCGACTTTCCACAGTTTAGAAGCTGTGTAACTAGGCAGGCCCAACTGCTTTAAGTTTCAGTTACCCCCTCTATGAAATAAATAATAATAATAATAATAATATACTAGTTCAAAGGCAGGGAACTGGGCCAGGTGATCACCTGAAGTTTTCTTTGGCTCTGTAATGCATGTTGCTAATAAGTGTCCAGTCCACCTAGGATCTGTTCTCTCCTAAATTCTTCCATTTTTGAGAATTGCTGTCCCCAACAAAATTATGCAAATTCAATACATTTTATTGTATTTTATCACAGATTCACTCTAAATTTGTGTCTCTTTTCTGTGTCCCCCAGTACCAAAGCAAAATGGCAACTTCCTTATTTTTCTTCCAGCTTATTGTTTTGCTCTTCCTTCCTGATTGTGAACAACCATATATCTTACAGAATAAAACACATGCATACTCTGTGTATTGCTGTGCCTGAGCCTATTGAAGGAATTAAATAGAGATGCATGGAATGTTTGGGCCAAAGAGCTCTGATGTTTTTATTTTATCCTCTTGCATGGAAAGAGTATTCAGAATTTTCAGAATTCATCAAGCCGTCAGGCTGCATGGTTAGGCACTTTTGCACTGCCCTTAATGTGATTGATCAAGGCCACTATTTCCACACTTCACAGCCACTTTCCTCTTTTCCTCTTACTCATCTCCTAACTAGGGGTTCACAGGCATTTGCCTACAGAGAAGTACACTGAGAAAACCTTAAAATGGTGGTTCCCATAAGAATGTAATAGAAAAACAACAATGTTATATTCTTGGAGTTGTTGCCATTTTTCATTGAGTTTTATCTTTAATTTAGCTTCATATTAGCCATGTTTGTTTTAATTAGTGGGTATATATGACTGTTAATATCTTTTGGGGTTTAATCACCTTAAAGTGATAGCAAGCAGGAAGGCAGGGTGAAGTACATCCTAAGATTTGCATTAAAAAATTATTAACTATTGTCAGATCTAATTATGGGCAGCAATGATGGAATTTCATGCTTTCTGAGCATAATGTATACATGTTCAGATTAATACTCTCATGTGTGAAATAGGACTGAATTCGTAAAAACAAATGGTTTTAAAATCTGGCTGATACATTTCTAAGTGTTTAGAACAACTTGAATCAGTGCGCAGGGCTGTCAAGTATGAGTTTGGTATTGAGTTACTGCAGTTCAACCAGGAAAATTGATACAATTCCTAGAATGGTAAAGATGCTTAAAAAAATCTATACTTCAGTTTTCTTACTATATTAATGGGCCATACAGTACCTGCCTTCTATGTGACCGTAGAAACAGTGTTAAAAATCCATAAGGCGCTTTGAGAACTTTGAAAAGTAGGCTTCATAAGCATAGCAACTGTCATTTCTAAACCTAAACCTTTAGAATTTATAAGTAATTTCAGATCTGTATATAAAGATTATTTACACAGGCAATGCCTGGACAATAATTTGATCATATCTACGTAAATTTGACAAGCGACAAAACTGGAATTTAATCCTTAGTTGAAATTGCTACCTTAATAACCCCTCTGTTTTTTGACCAAAAAGCTTTTTTTGTCAGGTGAACTGCCAAGCTAAGACATTTCTGAGGTCAGTACTTCATTTGGATTGTAACTCTATCTTCTCTTTCTTTCTAGGCCATGGCTGTTATCTTCTCAAATTTTAGCATTATAACAACAGCTCTTCTATTCAGGATAGTGCTGAAGTAAGTAACTTGCTGTGAAAACATATATCATACTTTAAAATAACATAGCCCGGTTTCAAATGATATACCCAGAACACTGAGCCGTCAGAATCCCAAAGCCAGGATTTTGTTCCTAATTGACTTTGTGTACTGGGCACGTTTAAGCCATGTAGAAAGCAGCTCCAGTGCTAGTCCATCTAAATCCTCTGTGATCAGATGAATGAAAATGTCTTGAGCATCTTAAAAATAAGATAATTGACTGTGTTATAATTAGTATTTTCATATTTAGTGCCAGATTTTCAACAAAGAATTAATGAGCTTTTTATGCAAAATCTTTCTGCACTAATAGGGAAGCAAATGGTTCCTAAGATTGTTAATATATTTGTAATTTGTAGTTTGGAGATGATAGATAATGGCCAATTTTTTATTAAACTATTTGAGATGAGGACGTGATTTAAGCACTAATTAGCAGAGTGTGTGAAGAATCTAGTCAAAATTATAGTTAAGAAGGATAGTTTTTTAAACTTTTAAAAATGTTATCACCAGTTTTTACTATCTCCAAGAGGACCGTTGAATAGTATAAACATTTTTAAGTAAATTAAGCTCTCTTCAAAGCAAAAGCCAGAGTGTCCTAAGGCAGGAAGATGATACAGGATCTGGATACTTAACTTCAGTTTAATTTCTTACTTAATGATAATGATTAAAAAATAAAATTAATTTCTTATTAGATTTGTTTTTTTTAAATTTTACATTATCTTTTTGATTTATTGATTCTCAGTGTGCTGTGTGATAGTATGTTCTTTCATAATTTGTGTATATGAAAGGGTGACTGGCTTGGTACAAAGATTTAATTTGTTGAGTCCATGATATACTTAATATATAAATTATATAAGATTCCTGATGTATTTTCTTTTACCCTGAGGAAACATTTAATTTGATAGTTAATGTGAGAGATAAGGAAAAAGTGAACATTACATTTAGCCCAGTTTAAATGTTAGAGTACATCGAAGTTTGTTCTACGTATCTGTCAATTTATTTGTGAATTGTGAAAATAATTCTTTAACTAAAAAAAAGATATTCCAAAAACATTTTGAAGTCTTTGAAATCAGTTTGAATCTCACTTTGTAGTATAAAAAGTTGACTTTTGAGAAAAGGTAAGCAAGCAATAATATTTGTATATTGATTCCTGTGATAGATTAGCGATGTACTTCTGTGAAGATAAAATGGTTCCAAGACCATTTCCATATTCCAAGATGATAAAAGGATCACGATTTAATAAGGGAGTACAGGTCTCAAAAACATGTATTTTTAAAGTGTTTGTCATTTACTTTAAATGAGTACAGATGGTATTATACTGAAGTTGTATAATATAAAAATATTACATCAAAATTACATCAATTTCAAACTGAATTTACTAAAGACTAAAAGTATGTATTGCCTGACTTGAAATTGGCCAGTAGCTTTAGTCCTATCCTATAATAAGTATTCCTTGTTAAATTTTTAAGCATTTAACTATTTGTATTAAGAAAGTTCATTCTAAGTTTAAATCTAAATCTATTTATACTATACATTTTAAATATTTGCTTTTAATACTAGTTATAATATTGATTGCATTTTGCTAATTTTAATAATAACTAACACTGGTATGAATTAAAGTTCAAAAAAAATTTCTACATACTTTCTTATTTTCAGAGGAATAATAATGATTCTTAGACATATATTTGCTTTGTTGTTAACATCTCTCTGTTTTGAGTCCTTGGAAAATAACGTGCTAATAATCTAATATTGTCTTTTATGAGAATGCCTTTTAAGTATTTTATTACTTTTTTTTTTTTTTTTTTTGAGACAGAGTCTTACTCTGTCACCCAGGCTGGAGTGCAGTGGCACCGTCTTGGCTCATTGCAACCTCCTCTTCCCGTCTTCAAGCAATTCTTGTTCCTCAGCCTCCCAAGTAGCTGGGAATATAGGTGCACACCACCACGCCCAGCTAATTTTTGTATTTTTAGTAGAGACAGAGTTTCACCATTTTGGCCAGGCTGGCCTCAAACTCCTGACCTCAGGTGATCTGCCCACCTTGGCCTCCCAAAGTGCTGGGATTACAGGTGTGAGCCACTACGCCTGGCCTTATTACATTTTTTAACTCTTTTTTCTAATTGTGAAAAAAAGAAAAAAAATTTGCCATCTTAATTTTTTTTTTTGGCAGTGGGGGTGGGTACGGAGTCTTGCTCTGTCGCCAGGCTGGAGTGCAGGGTTGCAATCTCAGCTCACTGCAACCTCCGCCTCCTGGGTTCAAGTGATTCCCCTGCCTCAGCCTCCCCAGTAGCTGGTGTTACAGGCACGTGCCACCACGCCTGGCTAATTTTTTGTATTTTAGTAGAGACAGGGTTTCACCTGTTGGCCAAGATGGTGTTGATCTCCTGACCTTGTGATCCACCTGCCTTGGCCTCTCAAAGTGTTGGGATTACAGGCGTGAGCCACCGCGTCCAGCCCATCTTAACAATTTTTAAGCATACAGTTTAGTAGTGTTAAGTCTATTCATGTTGTGAAGTAGATGTTGAACTCTTTCACCTTACAAATTTGAAACTCTAAGTCCATTAAACAACTCTCCTTTCCCCGCCTCACCCTAACCCCTGATAACTACCATTTCACTCTCTTTTTTTCTTTGAATTTGACTACTTTAGATTCCTCATATGAATAGAATCATACAGTATTTGTCTTTTGGGACTGGCTTATTTCACTTAGCTTAGCATATTGTCTTCACGGTTCATCCATGTAGCATGTGACAGGATTTCCTTCCAATTTTTAAAGCTGAAAAATATCTCATTGATGTATGTGCTTTTATTACATTTTGAAGTCAACTTAACTTTGTTCTATTTTGATCTTTTTGGAGTTGGTGGTGTGCATTGGTTTTCCCTATTTAATTTACTCTTTGTGAATCATTTGATGGTCTTTTTGCCCTTTGTGATTAAATTTTGACCTAGGAGTAGCAGCTTAATAGTTCTATCACATATTCTTTGTTTGCCACTTTTCATTTAGAATATTAAATCTGTTGTCTTATACTTGATTGTATCAGAACTATCAAATACCTTTCCCATACAGGTAAAGAATACAAGGCTACAAAATAAAATAGAATAATTTTTAAAAAAAATTTTTTAAGAAAAAAAAAAATAATTTTTAAAAATTCTTAAAAAGAATATGAGGCTACAAAAGCAGGCAAAAGTAAGTCTGGTAACTACTGCAGGGATTACTTGGAGGAATTTGAAAGTGGGAAAAAAAATATTATCATCTAAATGTCCTATTGTCTTTTCTAAAAAGAATAAAATACCTAAAGGCATTCTCATAAAAGACAATATTAGATTATTAGCATGTTATTTTCCAAGGATTCAAACTTTATGTGAATGTATAGATTTGTTCTTTGAAGTATAAGCCACAATATTAGATTATTAGCATGTTATTTTCCAAGGATTCAAACTTTATGTGAATGTATAGATTTGTTCTTTGAAGTATAAGCCACTGGTTCATGGTAGAAACTGGTAGCAGGCATTATGCCTTGTAGCTTGCTTCCCTGGTTTGCTTGTAACCTAAGCAAAGTTGCACAATTTTGTTTGCTTTAGCTTTGGGAAATAATACCAACCTAAACATTGAGATTGGAGGCAAAGGATAACCAAGACCAGCACTTATTTTTACCTAAAAAATGTATATAAGTTTCTCTGATTTCCTCAAAGAGAAGGTATGGAAAAAAATTATTTAAAAATACATTTTGAAACATGGTGGATGTCTAGGAAGTAAGGGTAAAGTTTAGTTACTGTCTGAAACAGCAGAAGAACAAAGAGAAGTGCCACTCAGTAGTAGTACAAGCATTTCTCCAGAATCATTCATTCAGTTGATAAATTTTCTCTGTGACTTCTCATTATAAATCTGCCCCTTGTCACTCTCTTTGTGCTACTAAGAAATGTGTTTTGTACAGTTTCTTGAGAAAACAATTATGTGAGTCTTTCCATTTAATTGTCTTCATACCCTGCACTAGTTTACTACCACCAAATATAGAAGTGCTCTTATCTGACACAATTTGAACCTATTGGTTAGTTGCTAGGAAAACTTATAGTGATGAATCATATACATAAGTATATATAGAAAATATCTAAACAATTTATTTTAACTTAGAATATGTAAATATACATGTATTCATCATTCTTCTAATGTTGAACTAAAGCCCCCCCTTTGAGTATGTTACTGATTGAAGTTCCTTAGCTCACCTATATGTTATTAGAAAACAGCTTTTTATCTTCTGAATGATTTACCTTCACTTAGTCTTCCCAAAGTGTTCAACTTAGTTTTCATAAAAACAGCTTCTTGTCTTTTACTCATAGTTTATCATTTATGTAATCTTTATGTAGTGACAACAGTGAGGTCACCTGGCAAAAACATGTTTAGGAACAGAGATTCTGTGGGCAAACAATTCACTTGGGAGGAGAGGCCCTCAGGAAGAGTAGCCTTCTAGCCACAGGCATTCGGCTCTGAGCATCCATTACTATGTTTTACCGAGGCAGTGGAGAGATGAGTGAAGTGAGCTTCCACTGTTTTGTATCAGTTAAACTGAAGAACAAATTGGGCCTAGCAGACTCAGTTGTCATTTCAGATTGTCAGCTGACTTTACAGGGTAATTTATTAAGCTTTATTTTCTTTCCTAAAAATCTACCATTTTTAATTTTTAGCTTAATCCTTAATAAATTTTACGTTCCTTAGAGCATTACCTTGAATGAGTAATTGTTTACAGAAGGTGTTGTTTAGCTTAAGGATTTCTTTCTTTTTTCTTAATATTAGTGAAAAATGTATAGCTCTAGAAAACTTTTAAAGGAACTATAGATTATATCATTGCCTCACTTATATGCGATTTGCAATAATTAATTATGGAATTTTTTTTGTAAAATGGACACCCATTTTTTATCTCTGTGGTCATTCTATTTGTTTTCTGCTACTTAATGTGTATCAGCTGCACCTTCAGAAATTTAAGTGGTTAGTTCACAGTTTCTCACCTGATGGCATAAGGCTGCGCTAACGCCATCAGTAAGTTCTAGATCAGGCTATTTGAAAATTACATACATATGAGAAAGCATATAATAGTGTGCACAGGTATGCTGCTATCTAGGCTAGTCTGTGCATTTAGCAGTTTCAGAGCATGAAGCTTTATATGCACACAACTTCCTATATGTGCATCCTGGAAACTTAGAATTATACTTAGGAGGTGTGATGATGCAGAAGGAAGACATACAAAACCATGGATCCGATCCCTTCTTTAGTGTTTAAGTACATGACCTTAGGGAAATCTGTTAGGTTAACTGTTTCCTCCCTTAGAGCGGAAATGCCTAAGTGTATGGTAGGTGCTCAATAAATGCTCCAATGATATAAAAATTCTCACTTCTGGTTCCCACCTATTGCTTTACACTTCTGCATTTTTTATGTTCCTCTTTTTTTCTCGGTGTTCCCCTTCTTTGCCTAACTAACTGATCTTCAAACATCAAGATTTTGTTCCCCCAAGAGGCCTCCTGACAACGCCAATGAAAGTGAGATATTCCTCTTTGTCAACATTGTACATTCTTGTTGCCTTTGCATAGAGACTCTTCCCTCTGCCTGGATATATCACCACCTCCTTTTTCACATGATAAACTTCAATTAATTTTTCATCTTCTAGCTCAAGTGTCATTTCCTCTTTGAAGCAATACCTGACTATTTACAGATTGTAGTGTTCCTCAGTTTACTCCACTTGTCCCATTAATCACTTTTCACACATACTGAAATCATTTAGTTTCATTGTTTTCTCACTGTTAAAGCATAAATTCCTTGAACATGGAGATAAGTCATCTTTATCGCCCCAGGTTGCCTGGCACGTAGTAGCTGCTTATTAAACATCTGTTGAATAGAATGAATCAGCAAAATGGAATAATAATAGTACATGTCCTTTATTTCTCACAAGTTTGTTGCTAAGGAAAATAAACAAAGGATTGTTAGGACTTTGTAAACTGAAATACTGCCCAAAATAACATTTTTCTTTGGCTTGTCAGCCAGCAGTTTGCTGTTTAATGCTCTACGATTAGGACATGGATCTAGAGCTAACCTTCTCCTTTAAATCTTTTTTGGGTTATGGACACCTTTAAAGATTTGACAAAGCTTTGCAGGATCTCCTGCATAGGGGGAAATTCATCTGTACACAACATTTCTGAAGCTCATCTACATTCTTTCTGGTTCTGGGAAACCAGGTTGAGAATCTCTGCTGTAACTTTATAGTACAATAAAAGTTACTGTGCCAGAGGTCCAGGATACCTCTAGAGGTAGAAAGGAGGCCATGTTAAACTTGTAGGTTAAAAGGAAACCTACACAGAAGGGAAATGACTTGAGCAGCCTTAGGGGATAGGTGTTATAAAAATGAATTAAAACATTAAATTTGAGAGACAGGCACCAACAGTTTTTCTCTGAACTTGAGTGGTAGGAAATGCTAGCAAAAACTGGGTCCAGTTTATTCAACCAAATACTCAAGTGTCTGAGTTTTCAGTAGAAACTATTGATATGGGGGGAAAACAGTAGTAAAATCTTTTTTTTCATCTTTGAACAGGAGGCGTCTAAACTGGATCCAGTGGGCTTCCCTCCTGACTTTATTTTTGTCTATTGTGGCCTTGACTGCCGGGACTAAAACTTTACAGCACAACTTGGCAGGACGTGGATTTCATCACGATGCCTTTTTCAGCCCTTCCAATTCCTGCCTTCTTTTCAGAAGTGAGTGTCCCAGAAAAGACAATTGTACAGCAAAGGAATGGACTTTTCCTGAAGCTAAATGGAACACCACAGCCAGAGTTTTCAGTCACATCCGTCTTGGCATGGGCCATGTTCTTATTATAGTCCAGTGTTTTATTTCTTCAATGGCTAATATCTATAATGAAAAGATACTGAAGGAAGGGAACCAGCTCACTGAAAGCATCTTCATACAGAACAGCAAACTCTATTTCTTTGGCATTCTGTTTAATGGGCTGACTCTGGGCCTTCAGAGGAGTAACCGTGATCAGATTAAGAACTGTGGATTTTTTTATGGCCACAGTGCATTTTCAGTAGCCCTTATTTTTGTAACTGCATTCCAGGGCCTTTCAGTGGCTTTCATTCTGAAGTTCCTGGATAACATGTTCCATGTCTTGATGGCCCAGGTTACCACTGTCATTATCACAACAGTGTCTGTCCTGGTCTTTGACTTCAGGCCCTCCCTGGAATTTTTCTTGGAAGCCCCATCAGTCCTTCTCTCTATATTTATTTATAATGCCAGCAAGCCTCAAGTTCCGGAATACGCACCTAGGCAAGAAAGGATCCGAGATCTAAGTGGCAATCTTTGGGAGCGTTCCAGTGGGGTAAGTTTGTGAGGGTGTTCCTTTTTGCTTGTTCTTCCCAAATTTAAAGCATAGTTAATTCAAGGAAAAAAATAAAATCAGTACTGATTTGTCAAAGAATGTATTGGATCTCTGACTTTTAAAACCGAATCAACAAACATTCCTTTTACTCCTGATGTTTGCAAGGGCTCATAATCAATGCTGTCAGGTGTAGAGAAAAAGTATAAGTCAATCTCAAGGACCTTATGTGTTACTTCATAGAATACTATAGAATTATACACCTGGAAGATACCTCACAGGTTGTCTTGTCCTGTCTGCATAGTTTTACAAGAAACAGGCAAAATGGTTTACAGATAATAAATGAAAGAACTGGTACACCTATGTCTGACTCCAAGTCCCTTTCTCTTTCTTTTCCACCATAGTTAGGGAAAATAAGCTCATTTGTGAGAGAAGTTGGCCTTTCGTATTAGTAAGTCCTGTTGAATAGAAAGCCTGGCTCCTCAGTCCTCCCTGTGGTTATTCATAAGCCAGTATGCCAGAAGGGCAGGGTTTGTTTATTTCACTAGAAAGGTAGTTTTCAAGAGGATCCTTGCAAGGCGAGTAGGAGGAAAATATTTTCTAGAAAAATGCTTATGCAATTATTCCGAATATCTCCCAGTTGCTTGCAATTGTTTTGGAAGGCTCTGTCAATCATTTTATTGGCAAGTTAATGATCTCTTTGAAGATTCAATTAAGGAGTTAAATATACGTTTAAATAAGTGAAATAGACATCTAGCTTTAGATTTACAATTTTCTTGAGCACACAAAATATGAAATATTTTATACAGTGAACATTTCACTCTTTGGGAAAAATAATCTATTGCTTAATAACATTCATAGCAGAGCTTCCCTGGGTGTAATGCCTCTGTCATGATTCAACAGATTCTAAAGATGAAAAAATTAGGATCTTGAGTTTCGGATACCCTGCTCTTAGCCAGAGTGTATATCCAGAAGTCTTGTATTCTTTTCCAACAGCCGATAATGCCATTTGCTCTAATTTTTAAGCAAAAGAAAATCTATATAGGTAACAAGGCCTATGAAGACCTATTTCTGTAACCTTTAATCATTTTTCTGCAAGACCAGCAGGTGGTGCTCCTCACTTTGCTCATGTTAGCTTTGAAATTTTGAGTACTGAGTACACTTCACTTTTTTATCCTCTCATACTTCTATAGTTAACTTTCCAAGAACATAAGTATTTATTTAATTTGACCAGATTATATCTATAGCTTAATGAGGTAAGACCAGTGATTTGTTAGTAAGGTTTTCCCTTTAAAAATGCTACATTTCCAGTTTTGTTCTAATTACTGCTTTCATGTTTCCTTTTAGGATGGAGAAGAACTAGAAAGACTTACCAAACCCAAGAGTGATGAGTCAGATGAAGATACTTTCTAACTGGTACCCACATAGTTTGCAGCTCTCTTGAACCTTATTTTCACATTTTCAGTGTTTGTAATATTTATCTTTTCACTTTGATAAACCAGAAATGTTTCTAAATCCTAATATTCTTTGCATATATCTAGCTACTCCCTAAATGGTTCCATCCAAGGCTTAGAGTACCCAAAGGCTAAGAAATTCTAAAGAACTGATACAGGAGTAACAATATGAAGAATTCATTAATATCTCAGTACTTGATAAATCAGAAAGTTATATGTGCAGATTATTTTCCTTGGCCTTCAAGCTTCCAAAAAACTTGTAATAATCATGTTAGCTATAGCTTGTATATACACATAGAGATCAATTTGCCAAATATTCACAATCATGTAGTTCTAGTTTACATGCCAAAGTCTTCCCTTTTTAACATTATAAAAGCTAGGTTGTCTCTTGAATTTTGAGGCCCTAGAGATAGTCATTTTGCAAGTAAAGAGCAACGGGACCCTTTCTAAAAACGTTGGTTGAAGGACCTAAATACCTGGCCATACCATAGATTTGGGATGATGTAGTCTGTGCTAAATATTTTGCTGAAGAAGCAGTTTCTCAGACACAACATCTCAGAATTTTAATTTTTAGAAATTCATGGGAAATTGGATTTTTGTAATAATCTTTTGATGTTTTAAACATTGGTTCCCTAGTCACCATAGTTACCACTTGTATTTTAAGTCATTTAAACAAGCCACGGTGGGGCTTTTTTCTCCTCAGTTTGAGGAGAAAAATCTTGATGTCATTACTCCTGAATTATTACATTTTGGAGAATAAGAGGGCATTTTATTTTATTAGTTACTAATTCAAGCTGTGACTATTGTATATCTTTCCAAGAGTTGAAATGCTGGCTTCAGAATCATACCAGATTGTCAGTGAAGCTGATGCCTAGGAACTTTTAAAGGGATCCTTTCAAAAGGATCACTTAGCAAACACATGTTGACTTTTAACTGATGTATGAATATTAATACTCTAAAAATAGAAAGACCAGTAATATATAAGTCACTTTACAGTGCTACTTCACACTTAAAAGTGCATGGTATTTTTCATGGTATTTTGCATGCAGCCAGTTAACTCTCGTAGATAGAGAAGTCAGGTGATAGATGATATTAAAAATTAGCAAACAAAAGTGACTTGCTCAGGGTCATGCAGCTGGGTGATGATAGAAGAGTGGGCTTTAACTGGCAGGCCTGTATGTTTACAGACTACCATACTGTAAATATGAGCTTTATGGTGTCATTCTCAGAAACTTACACATTTCTGCTCTCCTTTCTCCTAAGTTTCATGCAGATGAATATAAGGTAATATACTATTATATAATTCATTTGTGATATCCACAATAATATGACTGGCAAGAATTGGTGGAAATTTGTAATTAAAATAATTATTAAACCTATGTCTTGTGTTGCCACTCTGTCATTTAGGGTGGGATGTAGAGTACTTTTAATCTTAAAAAATAGAGTGAGACAAAAACCTACACAACTTTTAAAACTTTCTCTTTAAGTAGATCTTTACTTCTAACAATAACAAAGGCATTTTCATCAGTTATGTGAAATACGAAGATTATATCTATTATGGCGATTTATTTTAAAGGTAAGGGAAATGAGGTACAGCAGGACCTTTCTAGGAAATGTGGCATACAAAACATTTTTATCTCATAAAACATAAAAATTACAAAAATATTCTTACAAAGGTATCACATACAGAATACATTAAATAGCAGATTTCAGTAGTGCATGGAGATTGATTTTCTTATTTACGATTACTTTTTTTCCTCACCTTCCTCTTTGGAAAGCATTTTTTGCACAAAGTTAAGTTTACTTATGTTAACTTGCCACTTAATGAGAGAGGAAGAGAAAGAGTGAGAGCACAAGATCATGTGCTGGAACTAAAAATGTTCTATTCAACCCAGCAATCCCTCTACTGGGTACCTACCCAAAGGAAAATAAATCGTTTTATCAAAAAGACACTTGCAGTGGTATGTTTATCACAGCAGTATTCACAGTAACAAAATCATGGACTCAACCTAAGTGTCCATCAGTGGTGCCTGGAATAAGAAAATGTGGTACATATACACCATGGAATACTTTGCAGCCATAAAAAATAATGAAACCATGTGCTTTAAAGCCACATGGATGCAGCTGGAAGCCATTATCCTAACTGAAATAATTCAGAAACAGAAAATCAAATACCACATGTTCTCACTTATAAGTGGGAGCTAAACAGTGGGTACATGTGGACACAGGATTCCAAAGTGAGAAGGGTGGTGTATTAGTCCATTCTCATGCTGCTACAAAGAAATACCCGAGACTGGGTAATCTATAAAGAAAAGGGGTTTAAATGACTCGCAGTTCTGCATGGCTGGGGAGGAGGCCTCAGGAAACTCACAAGCATGGCTGAAGGCGAAACAGAAGCAAGCACCTTCTTCACAAGGCAGCAGGAGAGAGAGTGCCAACAGGGGAAATGGCAGATGCTTATAAAACCATCAGATCTCATGAGAACTTACTATCATGAGAACAGCATGGGGGAAACTGCCCCCATGATTCAATTACCCCCACCTGGTTCCTTCCTCAACACCTGGGGATTATGGGGATTACAATTCAAGATGAGATTTGGGCGGGGACAGAAAGCCTAATCATATCAGATGGGAAGGACATGAGGGTTGACAAAATATGTATTGGGTACAATGTTCACTGTTTGAGTGATGGGTCCACTAGAAGCCCAAACTTCACCATTATGCAATGTACCATATATACGCAATGTAACAAACCTGTACATGTACCCCTTCAATCTGAAATAAAAGTTGTTTTTTTTTTTAAGATGCGAAGTTCTGATATGTATCCACTGGAGGTCTTATGGGCACCACTGGTTTAAGAAGGTCAGAAGTCTGGAAACCATATCCTACATGCCCCTGAAATGAGGATAGTATAACCTGGAGAGGAGCAATTGTCATGTGAAAAAGGAAGTAGACATTTTTCTGCTCTGGAGAATCAAACTACAGTAAGATTTATATGGTAGTGATTATTATTTTATTATAATGAGGACTTTGCCAAAATAGGTTACTTTTCAACAGTTAAAAGAACCTTCCTGAAGAGTAATAGAGAATAGTAGTAAATTATCACTGAAGTTTTTAGGAAGAGATTGTGTCATCAGGATGTTTTAGAAGAGATTCCTTCATGAGTGTAGAAGTTGGACTGATTTCTAAAGTCCCTTTCTATTTTTAGATTCTCTTCTGCACAGTTATGACCTACACATAATGCACTGAATCTGTTCCCTTGATAGTTTCTGCATAGGCTTTGGTTGTGCCACAAGTGTGGCCTGCAGTGAATGACCTGGTCTAACTCTGTCATTGGTCCTAGGACTGAACTGTCCAGGAATATGCCTAATCCTGAGGGAAAGCATCAATATGGCTGTTGGTTATAGAGAGAAAGATGGCTTAGACTCAAGATCTCAAATCCTTGTCCAGCTGCATCTTGCTGCCGTGGGTTTTCAAGATCCACATACAGAGGGGATAACTTGACAAATTACTCTATAACTCTAAGGCTTTTTTTGCTTCTGAAGTCCCATGTGGAAGCCTTGTCACTTGTAAGCTGGACTAGACTGGGTAGATCTGCAGAGAATCTTTTTGCTTTTCTTTATAGACCCAATAGGCTCGATTAAATAGGCCATATCCTCCTTGGCTCCTTTTTCCTTTACCTATATTCTGATTTTTCCCATGAACATCTACCTTTCCTGTGGGGAGAAGAGGCAGAGGAAGTCAAGCTCAATGAAGTGTGATATTTTTTTCTCTAAAACCTAGAGCAGAGTTTCTTAAACTTCCTTTTAACGGAAAAACAAATGTCATAAATGTCAGCATGGACTTTTTTCTACTTTACTGTTATTTAAATACGTACAAACATAATATGAAGTATAAACTGCTTATGCTTTTTATCTGAAAACCGAAACATTTACAAATTAAAATACAAAGCTTTACAACCAATAAATTTCTATTTCAAATATGAATGTAATGAGAAAGTGACATTTTGCTCAAATAGAATCATAACAGACCCCCAACAGTCCTGCAGAACTTCTGCCCTCACTTGCTGTTTTAATTCCTTCAAGTACCACCCTATGGCTGTCAAGATAACAGACTTGTTGACTTTGCAAATCATGCATTTTGTCCTGCTGTGGATTTATCAACTCATGTTCCTAACAATCCCATATGGATGCTACTAACTCCCATTGGCCTTGGTGCCCTGGAAAGATTTTTAAAATATCAGCTTTATGTGTTCCCTGAAGTTCTGAAAGAACTCACTAGTAAAATTGCCTAGGCTTGGCACTTTTTTGAGATACTTTATTTTTCCCTCTCACAACATTCTCTCTCTCTCTTCCTTTTGCTCTTCTTGGTTCACTCTTGATCATTTGTTTTGCTAAAAAAAATCAGCCATTCATACAGATTTTTGAATTTATTTGCATAGGAGTTTATGATTTATTCTCATAATCCTTTGAATTTCCCATTGGTGTAGTTCTGTTTTATTTCTCATTCTTAATTTTTTGTCTGAAAGTTTTTTCTATTATTTTGTAAAAATATAGGTCCTAACTAGCTATTTCTAATTATTTTTTTCCATTTTTATTGTGGTAAAATGCACAGCATAAAATTTCGTGTCTTAACCATGGTAAGTGTACAGTTCAGTAGTTATTAAGCACATTTTTATATTTATATTATGCAACCATCACCACTGTCTACCTCCAGAACCCTTTTCATGTTGCAAAACTGAAACTCTATACCCATTAAACAGTAACTCCCCATTCCTCCCTGCCCTCAGTCTATGGCAGCCAACATCCCACTTCCTGTCTTTATGTTTTTGACTATTCTAAATACCTCATTTATAAGTGGAATCATACAGTATTTGTCCTTTTGTGACTGACTTCTTTTACATAGCATGATGTCCTCAAGGTTCATCAGTGTTGTAGTGTGTCAGAATCTCCTTGCTTTTTAAGACAGAATAATATGTCATTTTATGTATATGCTACATTTCTTTATCCATTCATCCATCAATGGACACCTGGGTTGCTTACAGCAATTTAGCTCTTGTGAATAATGATGCTATGAACATAAGTGTACAAATAATCTCTTAGAGATCTTGCTTTCAATTCTTTTGAGTATATATACATGAAAAGTGGGGAAAGGACTTGAATAGGCAGTTCTCCAAAGAAGATATACAAATGACCAACGAGCACATGAAAAGATGATCAACATCACTAATTATTAGGGAAAGACAGATCAAATCTACCATGAGATATCACATCACACCCATTAAAATGGCCACTAAAACATACACACACACAACAGAAAACAACAAGTGTTAGTATGTGGTGAACTTGGAACCCTTGTATACTGTTGGTGGGAATGTTGGTGGGTATAGCTGATGTGTGTATATATATATATATACACACACATACACACACACACACACACACACACACACACACCTGGATGTGGAATTACTGTATTATATGGTAATTATTTATAAATTAAAGGGTACATTTTTAATTTTTTGAGGATCTGACATACTGTTTTCCTTAGAAGCTCTATCATTTTACATTCCCTCCAACAGTATACAAGGGTTCCAAGTTCCTCATATACTCACCAACACTTGTTGTTTTCTGTTTTTGTTTTTGTTTATTTAATGGCCATGGTAATGGGTGTGATGATGTAGACTTGATTTCCCTTGCGCTAATAATTAGTGATGTTGAGCATCTTTTTATGTGCTTGTTGGTCATTTGTATATCTTCTTTGGAGAAATGCCTATTTAAGTCCTTTGTCCACTTTTGAATCTGGTTGTTTGTTTTGTTGCCATTGTTGAGTTTTAGGAGTTCTCTATATATCTTGATATTAATCCCCTATCAGATATATTATTTGCAAATATTTTTCCTAATTCTGTGTCTTGCCTTTTTACTCTGTTGATAGTATGTTTTGATGTACAAAATTTTTAAATTTTAATGAAGTCCAAATTGTCTATTTTTTCTTCTATTGCCTGTGCCTTTGGTGTCATATCCAAGAGATCATTGCCAAATTGAATGTTGTGAAAATTTTTCCTTGTGTTTTCTATTGAGCTTTATAGTTTTAGGTCTCATACTTAGGTCTTGTATACATTTTGAGTTTATGTGAGTTTATTTTTGTACATGGTGTTAGGTAAGGGTCCAGCTTCATTCTTTGGCATGTGGACATCCAATTTTCTCAACACTCTTTGTTGAAAAGACTGTCTGTTCCCCCACTGATTGGTATTGTTATCCTCGTCAATAATCATTTGACTACATATGTGAGGGTTTATTTCTGGAATCTTTGTTCTATTCCATTGGTCTGTATGTCTGTCTTTATGACAGTACTGTACTCTTTTGATTACTATAGATTTGTAGTCAATTTTGAAATCTAGAAGTATAAGTCCTTGGCTTTATTCTTCATTTTCAAGATTGTTTTGGCTATGCAGGGTCCCTTGATATTCTATATGAATTTTACGATGGGTTTTTCTATTTCTGCAAAAAAAAAGTATTAAGATTTTGATATGGATTGCATTAAATCTGTAGATCATTTTAGTTAATATTGACAGCTTAATAAAATTGTCTTCCAATTTACGTATATCTTTTCATTTATTTATGTCTTTAATTTTCAGAAATGTTTTGTAGCCTTCGTTGTACAGGTCTTTTACCTCCATGGTTAAGTTAATTTCCAAGTAATCTATTCTGTTCTTTTTGTTTTTGTTTTTGTTTTGAGACAGAATATCACTCTGTCACCCAGGCTGGAGCGCAGTGGCCTGATCTTGGCCCACTGCAACTTTCACCTCCCAGGTTCAAGAGATTTTCCTGCCTCAGCCTCCCGAGTAACAGATTACAGGCAGGTACCACCGTGCCCAGCTAATTTTTAGTAGAGATGGGGTTTCACCATGTTGGCCAGGCTGGTTTTGAACTCCTGACCTGAAGTGATCCACCCACCTTAGCTTCCCCAAGTGCTTGGATTACAGGCATGAGCCACCGCACTCAGCCAAGTAATTTATTCTTTTTGCTGCTATTATAAACAGAATTGTTTTCTTAATTTGCTGTTTGGATTGTTCATTGTTAGTATATAGAAATGCAACAGATTTTTTGTGTTGACTTTGTATCCTGATACTTTGCTAAATTCATTTATTAGTTCTAGTGGTGGTTTTGTGGAATCTTTAGGGTTTTCTGCACATAAGATCATATCATCTGCAAACAGAGATAATTTTACTTCTTCTCAATTTGAATGCCTTGCATTTTTTTTTCTGCCTAATTGCTCTAGCTAAGACTTCCAGTGCTATGTTTCATAGAAGTGACAAAAGTGGAGATCCTTGCCTTGTTCCTGATTGTAGAGGAAAAGCTTTCAGTCTTTCACCATTGCTTATGATATTTGGGGTGCGTTTTTTACGTATGGATTGTATGGATTGTTTGTTGTATATATGGATTGGATGGATTGGATGTTGTAGTTTTTGTCTACGTTTCTAAGGGTTTTTATCATGAAAGGGAATCAAATGCTTTTTCTGCATGAATTGAGATAATCACATGGTTTTTCTTCATTCTGTTAATGTTACATATTGCATTGATCATTCCAGGAATAAATCCCATTTGGTCATAGTGTATAATCTTTTTAATATGCTGCTGAATTCAGCTTGCTACTGTTTTGTTGAGAATGTGTGTGTGTGTGTGTGTGCATGCGTGCATGTGTGCACGTGTGCACATGCAGTTACTCTAATAAAAGTAAATGTTTTGGAGCATAGGCATAGTGTGTTTTCTGATTCAGAGATTCTATTTTGTTCTAGTAGGACCTTTAATTTTTACCAGTTTCTTCATTCTTACCTTCATCACAAGTTTCCAGAGGATGCTACCTTGGTCCAGATCTCACTCCTTTCCCCAGCAATCTGCCTTTCCCAACATTGGCAGCTTTGATCCTCTGTACCATGAAGTCCCTTCTTTTCAACTCCCCAGAAGTCAGTATTATTAATTAACCAGGTCTCAGGCATGTTCTGAGTTTATCTACACTTGCTCTCTGTGGATGATGAGGATTTTTACATGTTCATAAGAGATATTGGTCTGTAGTTTTGTTCATAAGAGATATTGGTCCGTAGTTTCATTTTCTTGTGGTGTATTTGCCTGGCTTTGGTATCATGGTAATCCTGGCCTCTTAGAATTAGTTAGGGAGTGTTGTCTCCTCTTCAAGTTTTTGAAAATGTTTGAGAAGGATTGGTGTTAGTTCTTTAAATGTTTGTAAAACTCACCAATGAAGCCCTCCAGTCCAGAGCTTTTCTATGTTGATCGTTTTTTTATTACTGATTCAATCTCCTTTCTAAGTCTACTCAGGTTTTCTATTTCTTTGTGACTTGGTTTGGTAGGTTTTATGTTTCTAGGTATTTGTCCATTTCATGTGTGTTATCCAATTTGTTGGTGTACAGTTGCTGATAGTACTCTCTTATAATTCTTTTTATTTCTGTAGAATCAGTAGTAATGGCCCCACTTTCATTTGTATGTTTTAGTAATCTTCTCTCTTTTTTCTTAGTCCATCTACCTAAAGGTTTGTCAATTTTGTTGATCTTTTCAAAGAAACAACTTTTGTTGTTTTTCTGGATTATTTTCCTATTTTCTATTTCATTCATTTCTGCTCAGCTCCGTTCTTCTGCTAGTATGGGGTAATTTTGTTCTTTTTCTAATTCCTTAAGTTGTAAAGTTAGGTTTTTCATTTCAAATCTTGTTTTTTTTTTAAATGTTTCTATAGCTATAAATGTTCTCCTTAGCATTCCTTTTATTGTATCCCATAAGTTTGGTATATATTTCCATTATCATTCATTTCTAAATATTTTAAAATTTCCTTTGTGATTTCTTCTTTGATCCATTGGTTAAGAGTATGTTGTCTAATTTCCTCAAATTTGTGAATTTTTCAGTTTTCCTTCTGTTATTGATTTGTAACTTTATTCTGTTATGGTCAAAGAAGATACTTGTATGACGTCTATCTTTTAAAATCTATTGAGACATAATTTGTGACCTATGTATGTTCTATCCTGGAAAATGCCCCATGTGCACTTCAAAAGAATTTGTATTCTGTTGTTGATATATAGAGTGTTCTGTACATGTCTGTTAAATCTAGGTAATTTATTGTGTTGTTCAAGCCCTCTGTTTCCTTACTTATCTTCTGTCTAGTTGTTCTATCCATTATTGAGAGTGGGATATTGAATTCTGCAAATATTATTGTAGACATTTCTATTTCTCCTTTCAATTCTGTCCATTTTTGCTGTATATTCTTTGATGGTCTGTTATTAGATACGTAAATGTCTACAGTTATATCTTCTTACTATGTTGAACCATTTATTAATATATAATATCCTTCTTTGTCTCTCATAATCATTTTTGATTTAAACTTTATGTCATCTGGCATTAATATAGCCACCACTGCTCTATTTTGGTTATTATTTGCATAGAATACTCTTTTTCATTCTTTCACTTTTAACCTATTTGTGCCTTTAGAACTAAAGTAAATCTCCTGTAGAAAGCAGATAGTTGGATTGTGGTTTTTAAAAAATCCATTCTGCCTATGTATGTCTTTTGTCTATGTCTCTCCAGTTTAACCTATTACATTTAAAGTAATTGCTGATAAAGAGGGACTTACTTTTATCATTTTGCTATTTGTTTTACATATGTCTTAAAGCTGTTTTCCTCTCGTTTTTTGCATTAATGTCTTCTTTTGTGTTAATTTTATTGTGGTGAAACATTTAAATTTCTTTCTCATTTCCTCTTGGCTACTGTCCTTCCTTTTCAACTTACAGAACTTCCTTTAGCACTTCTTACAGGGCAGGTCTAGTGGCAACAAACTCCCTCAGCTTTTGTTCATTGGTGAATGCCTATTTCTCCCTCACTTTTGAAGGACAGTTTTGCCAGATAGAGAATTCGTGGCTAGCAGGTTTTTGTTTTGTTTTGTTTTGTTTTTCCTTTAGCACTTTAAATATATTAGCCCACTGTCTTCTAGTCTTCAGAGTTTCTGATGACAAATCTGCTAATAATCTTATTGGGAATCCCTGTTTATAATGAGTTGCTTTTTTCTTGCTGCTCTCCAAATTCTCTGTTTGTCTTTGTCTTTCAACAGTTTAGACACAATGTATCTCGGTAGGGGTCTCTTTGGGTTCTTGCTACTTGGATTTCATTGAGTTTCTTGGATATTTATACTCATGGCTTTTATCAGATTTGAAAAGTTTTCAGTCATTATTTTTTCAAATACTCTATGTGGCCCTTTCTCTTTTCCTTTTGAACTCTTATAATGAGTGTGTTTGTCTGCTTGAAGATGTTCCATGGGTCCCTTGGTCTCTGTTCAATTTTCTTTAGTCTTTCTGTTCTCAGACTCAATAATTTTCATTGTTGTGTGTTTAGGTTTCCTGATTCTTTATTCCACCTGCTCCAATCTGTCTCTGAGTTCCTCTAGTGAATTTTTTATTTCAGTTTTTGTACCTTTCAGCTCCAGAAAGTTTCCCAAAAGGGAGGAAAGAGAAAAATTGAAGTGGATGGGGAGAAGGAAAAGGGCCCCAGCCTTTTAAATCCCCTAGAAGTCACTTCAATCCAAGAGAAAGTGGCTTAGAACAATGAGAGGAAGTGTAACACCATTAGCTGCCACCATTTTGTCTGCTTTTGTGTGATCAGAAGCAGCAATCAGTGATCAGTGCACAGATATCCAATATTTGGATGACAGGGTAATTTTTTGCAGGATGCTCTCCTGAGTCCTATACCATAAGCTGTTTGCAGGCTATTTTAGGAACACAGGCATAATTACCTGCCTCAGGGGTAAGGAGTGTTGAATGGGAAGCTGTTGCTGTGCTAAGAGCTGTAATTGACCAAAATTTAAGATAATTTACAGTCCAAGCCTTCCCTTGGAAATTGTAAGCAGTGAGTAGACTCCAGAGTTCCAAAACAGCCATATCAAACAGATTCTGCCAGTGCAGTACTGTTGTCTAAGTGGGGAGAGAGATTTCCAGAGCTTCTTGCTCTGTCATCTTCCTAGAATCCTCTCTTTAATTAATTCTTGCTTTATTAAAGTATATCTTGTTTTTTCCTAGGGTTTATGCTCTAATATCTTTTATGTGTAGTTGAAATACATTTTTTTTCTTATTTATTAGTTAATATATTTATAACTAGTAGAATCATTGCTTCAAGTATGTATACCTTAGGCCAATCTTCAAAGACTTTGAAATATAATATTATTATTATCATTATTTTCCAACTATTCTGTTTCGAGTCAAGGGTAGTGTGTTTGAAGTTTTTATTCACAATAACCTCAATTTTTGTTAATGATTAATTTCTAGTTTTTATATCTTTGGTTAAAGGGTGATATCTATAGTCTACCTTTTATAGAATTATGACTATTTCCTTTATAACAAATTTGTGAATGTTTCATGAGCATTTAAACAGAAGATATGCTCTCTGTTTCTTAGCACAAAATTTATTATAAGGTTATTGTTATTTTCCCCTTGTATTTTATTTCTGGCTATTTTTATTTTGTATCATTCACCATTTTTTTTTTTTGGTGCAAAAAGCTTCATGCCAGTTATATCTTAACTGATTTATATATGTCCTTAATAATTGAAAGTTACCACTTTTTCCCATCTAATGCTATTTAATATTAAATTCTATTTGTCAATATTATTATGGATAATACTGTTTGCATTTTTTATAATGTAAATATTATATGACAATATTGCTGATGTTAATATAGTGATACTAATGTTAATATTGGTATCATTAATAATGTTATATTAATTATTGTTACTTGCATATTTTTATTGAATTATTAGGTGTAGTTTGGCCTATCTTTAGTACTCAATAATTTTTTTTGAGAAAGTTGGTATTGGTTTGGTATTTTTAACTGGTCTGAAAGCTTTTTATAATATTTGAAATGTATTACACCTATACTCCTAGTCTGTTTTATTACTAGTGACTAGTTTTGCATTTTTAAAAGCAACTTAGAACTAAATGATGTTATCAAGTTCAAAAAATAAAATTATTAATGTACTGTCTTCACTGAAAGATGAGGAACTTAGGATGTGTTTCCTCCCAACTCCCAGTTTGTCTTAATAAGCTCTGGGTATTTTGTCCAGGTCTACTGTCCTCTATTGCATCAATTCTAAGACTCGTGTTTTAACATATTACTATCTCTGAAATTGGGATGTTTTAAACAATCGCATGTTAAAATAGCTGCTGCCTTGTGATGGTAGTGATTAAGCTGTCTTTGCCTGTGCATGCAGGTATTTGGCATGACTGAATAAGTACAACTTCTTGACATTTCAGTCAACACACCACTTAAGGACCATTTGAGGAGAGAATAAAGGTGTTACTTGTCTGAAAATCTTCCTTTGATGCCTCCTGTTAAGAACAAGAACATGACAGCCTCAAATTATACAGAATGGATATTGATGGCTTAGAGAAAAAGTCCTGGAGACAGCAGAGAAACTCCCTTAAGAAATTAGGCATCATCATCAGTTCTCTCAATGGTGCAGAGAACTATTCTGTGTGGAAAACTTCAGACATCTACAGCAATGAATCAAATAGTGATTCAAAAGATTCTGGCTTGAAATGGGAAAATGTTTTAGGAATAGCTTTATTAATTTATTTAGCTTATTGTTTCCCTTTTATGTTATTAGAGAGTGATACATGATAAATCAGTCTTTAAGCACACTTTAAACAAATATAAAATAAAAATTCTAAGTAATAAAAAGGCATTGTTTTTAGTTAGCAGCGTACTTTCTTAGTGGGATATAAAATTGTGGTGCCACTTGGAATTTATGCTGTCATAATTTGTTAACTTGGAAGTTCCTTTTAAAAAATGTTTTACTATATATAGTTTTTTTTCAAGAATGAATAGTTTGCCTTTTAGTTTATTAATCCCAGTTATCACAACTAATTAAACTTAATTTGTTCATGACATAACTTCCTCATTCATAACTTTTTAATGCTAATTCATCTATCAGCTGGAAGCAGTCTTAAAATAGATTTTTCTTTTCTGAAAAGAGTTTTGACTGATAAATTTCCTGAGGTTTGGTATATATATATATATATATATATATATATATCTATCTATCTATCTATCTATCTATCTATCTTCAGCATCTAATAATTATCTACTAACTCCAGATTTTTTCTATTCATCTTACTACTCAAAGAGGTTTTGCATTTTTTGTTACTTTCTATAGCCATTTAATACAAGGGACAGCTTGTCTGGAAAATGATTTGAGTCACCCTTTTTTTCCATCAGAAATTAATCTTTTTTGTTTCATGTAGAATTACCAAGACGTTAAAGGTTTCCCTGCTCTATTTTAAGTGTGTGTGTGTTTTCTTTGTAGGTAAGCAATTTTTTGAGTGTTTGTATGCCTTTTATATAGGCCCTTTATTTAAGGTTCCTGTGTACTCATATTTAAACAGAGTTTAACATTCCAATTGGGCCTAATATTTGCCAGAAAAAAATAGCATAGATAGAATCTTCCTTACCTAATCCCTCTTTTCCTGACCAATGTTTGAATGCCATCTTTAACTTATTCTAAAGGGCTGGAAGCTACTTCAAGGATGTGGAAGGAAGGCAGGAGCCATAGAAAATTGCAATGAGGGAATTTTGTGGGTGTGTGCTTTTCCTCTACATTGCTTGAAACTCCTGCTTTGAGAGCCAGTTCCACACAGATACAATTACTACTGTCTCCTGTTTGTGAGGAGGGAGTATCAGTTGAATTTTAGTTTCTTCTCTTGTTTTAGATTAAGCCCCCTAATTTGGTGAGAAATCTGGTTAAGTGAAGTTCCTTGAAAGCAGCACACAACTTTTCTCTAAAGCTGTGAAATTGGTAATTAGAATTTTTTATATTTTATACTTATAAATACTATATAATATTTTGTATGTTTTATATTTATGTCTTATACGTTTAACGTACAATATAAACTATTTTAACATTTTAGATTTAATATTTTGTATATATGTTAATATATATATTCTGCCCTGCAAAACCAGACTCCACACAGCATAATCAAATAAACCTTTTATTTACAGGCAAAGGATATAGTACAAGAAGAAAAAGAGAATACAGATGACATCGGGGGTCCAAGAGACATTCCATATTTAAGCTTCATAATGTCCTTATTTGCACACATATACCACACTGCCTTCATTTTCTCCAGCTGATAGATTTGTGTAAGAAATCTTGACTTTGAGAGTTCAATGTCATTCCCAACAGGGTCTTTATGTCTGTCTGGTCATGTTATCAGCCAGTCTTACTTAATGTATTAGGCCAGTTGGAAACCATCATTAAAGAAACTGACCCTGGTGATCACCAGAGTAGTTTCAGACTATAAACAACACATCATAAATCCCACTGCCCTTATCTTGGCCCAAAGACAAAACTGGACATTCTGATGACCCCAGAGATTATGACAGTGTTTTCTGGTCTAATTAAACCATAGTCTTCATATACCTTTACCACGCCTCCTTCCTCCAATTAGGAAGCTAAGTGGGTAAGAAAGAAAAAATAAAGGCAGAGCATAACGATGTCACCCATCTTTGGCCTCTTAGCCGGAGCTGATCCTTACATGGGCAGTAGACTATAAGTGTGTTAATTATTTTTCCTACTGCAGAGCTTCTTCACGTTGGAATGGTGAATAGGTACACATTTCTCAAAGCTCAAAGTGCAAGTCTAGGTATATTCTCTAGTTTCAATCTTGGTGAAATTTTTTTCTATGAATTCATTACTTTTTAGTTTATTTCAGGGAGGGGGTGGTGTTTTTTAATGAATTAATACAAGTGTCAGCATCTTTCATGGACATCCAGACAATTTCTTAAAGATGGGAGAGGTAAAAAATCTTCAGGAGAAACTGTGCCTGAACTGTGAGTATCCAGAAGCCATTGACCATGTTAATGGTGGAGCCAATATGAAGTACTTGCTAAATCATGTGGTGCGTGAAAGGAAGAGCAATGTTATAATTGCATCCTCCTAAAGACTACATAACCATCATCACTCATCATCTCTCCCTGGTCCCTTCCACCTGCCAAACCCCCATAAAAACCCATAATTGATGATACATATTAGTTTATAATTAACGGCGTACCTAACTGTTCTCTACTAGTCTGAGCCTCTGTACAGAGAAATGTCAGTTTTGTATTCCTGGTTCCTGGAAAAGTACATATAGAATAGTATAAATACAATAAATGTTTGAATTATCGTATAACTTGAGTCTAAATTTTAAGTTAGTATCCTGTATTAAGAACTGGGTTGATCAAATGGTTCTTTCTTTGCACATATCAAGGCTTTCGACTATTCCCAACCAGGTCTTCCCAAATTTGGGCATATTCCTGCCTCTGCCTACCCTGTTCTAATTTGGCACTCTAAAGATAGTTCATAAAAAGCAAGCCAAAGATAGAAAAGAGAGCTAAGGCTACAGGAGGAATTTACTCTTTAACATTTGGGGGAAGGAAAATGAGGCTTGTCTACAGCAGGGACTGGCTGTCTTCCAGAAATGGTTTCCCAAGGTGTTCCCTACCTCTCTTTTTCTTGGATATCTTTTTGCATTATAGATAGCCTTGGGAAGGGTGTCACCTTTATCCTATCAGTTCCACCTAATCAACTGTAGTCATCTGAGAGCCAGAATTATTATTGATAGAGGGGCCTGGGAAAGGAGAAAAGGACCAGGAGAGAGGAAGGTATACTTATTGCAGAGGAGAAAAGCCAAAGAACGTTTGCCCATGGGCAGTCTTAGCTATTTAAAATCACCCACTTCTTCATCCGGCTCCCTTGGCATATGTATCAGCCCATGGATTGGGAGGTGTAGGACCATTCTTTTTCTTTCTGGAAGGAAAGCACTGACATTTAAGCTCTGTGCGGTCTGCTCAGGGGCTGCCCAGTTTGTCCAAGCTTTAGGATATTAGAGAGATTACGCATTTGTGGTCTCAAGTTAGGAAACTGTTGAAGAACAAATATGTCCCTTATTAGAGGGCCTCTTTAGATGTTTAGGGTACTCACAATCCTTGCCAACCTGATGTCCTTGGAAGCTCCAGTCTGGCTGTAAGGAGATGATGAGGGGTTCTGTGTGTTGGAGGTGATGACCTCATTGAGTCTCAGCCACAGCAGGGCATTATGCAGGAAAGAATTCAATGGAGTTATTTAATACCTTTCCCTATTCCCACAAAAATCTGGAACTGGGTTCTGAACTGAGAAGTCTGGGTTCCCTGAGAATTGGACATCAGTTCAACCACAGGAAGCCTCTAAATTTAGCACTCTACTCACAGAGGGCCAAGAAAAATTCACAAATGTCACAAACTTAGGAACTTAGGTATCTAGTCTTCTCTGTCATTTTGTAATGAGAAACTGAGGCCCATAGGTAAAACATCTCACCTCCAGTCACACAGGTAAGTACATGGCAGGGCAAGGACAGGCACCCAGTTTTCCCAAGTCCAGTGGCCTTTTCATGATACCCATTTCTGTGTATCATTTCATTGATTTCTGTGACAGCTGGCCCTTTGCCCCTCATCACCAAATCTTAACTCTTTGGACTTTAATAATGTGCAAAATTAAGAGGAAGTCTGGCATCGGGAGCTTTACACAACTCAGAGAGAACTGAGGAAAGTAGTTAGCATGTTAACTGTGCCTCACCTTGACCTGAAGTGAAGAGCACTCACCAAGCCACAACCTGCTATCTGCACACCCCACACCATGAGGTAAAGGACAGCCAAGGAAGAGAAAGGAAAGAAAAGCAATCCGGCAGGGAGATCAGGGAGCGAAACGAACAGAGAAACGAACAGAGGTTTTTTCCAAGGGCCTTCTATTTTTCTACAATCTCCACACATTCAGTACTGAGACACATTAAGAAGGGCCCACTGAGGCCATCATTCACCCTACTCTCGGGCTGCTTCCATCCTCCAGGCTTCTAGAAGTTGAGAAAGTATGAGCTTCATTGTTAATTATATTACAGAAAATGGGACCAGCTGGGTTGCACCCACTCCCCTGTGTCTGGACCTCCTGCCTATGTAGCAGAAAAGGATCTTTCTGCTGAATTAATATTCACCTCAGAGCCCTGGGAGATGTCTGATGAAAAGTAGTTTTTGAAGAGTCTTGTGACAACCAGCAATTTCGGCAAAGCTATGTCCTCAAGAGTCTTCCAGATTTCCCCAACTCTACAGAATGCTTTTCTTTTTAAATACCATAATCCCATAATCTTTCTCAAAAATTATAAAACTGTATTTTATTTTTCTCATTTATTTGGGAGTTTGGTAAGAAACGTTTGGGAAGAAATGCTTTTATGGAGAAACTACTCAGATTTGAAACTACCTAGTTTATACTACCAGAAGACAGAGATTCAGGTTAGCTAGTTTGCTAATCCTCACAGTTTCAGAGATATGCCTTGTATTTTTCCAGATTATAGGCTTTGAGGACATTCACCAATAGCATCCTCCTCTGAATGTATTTTGGTCCTTTTGCTAAGCTATGTCTTATTTTATAGTCCTCCAAATGATGATCTATGACTTCTCTGCCTGCTCATTAGAGGAAGAAAAGCTCAGATGCATTGCTAACTATTATTTCAATGCCAGTGGAACTGGAGAAATGCTTGAAAAAGTAATCTCAGGTTGTAAAAAAGAACTATCTTTTTTTGGTTGCAGGAGCTAGAACCCTATTATTCTGAGAGTAAATTTTCTATTATTCCTATCTAATTCATTTTCTTGGGAGATGAAACTCCCTCTTTTTTTTGGTGGGGAGACAGGGTCTCACTTTGTCACCCAGGATGATGATGATGGAGTGCTGTGGCACGATCACGGCACACTGAAGCCTCGACCTCCTAGGCTCAAGCGATTCTCTCACTTCAGCCTCCTGAATAGCTGGGACCACAGACACACACCACCTTACCCAGCTAATTTTTTGTATTTTTTTGTAGAGACAGGGTTTTGCCGTGTTGCCCAGGCTGGTCTCGAAGTCCTGGGCTCAAGCGACCCGCTCACCTTGGCCTCCCAAAGTGCTGGGATTACAGGTGTGAGCCCCTCACTGCTCCTGGCTCCCTCATTATTATATTTCCTGAAGTTGACATGATTTGGGTCCTTTACTTAGAAATTGTCATCACACAATTTCAGAAAGGTAAAGAAATCCATTTTTATTGGCAACTTTGGGCTATGCTTCATCCTGGCAAAAATTTAAAAGCAGTACACTTCGACGTGGCTCACTTTCCTGCACACCTCAGGCAGCTTGTACAGACTATCCAAGAAAAAATGAGGAGGAAAGTGCTCCATCAAGGAAGAGGGATGAGATGGGAGCATAATTCACACACTAAGAACTGAGTTCTAAAGTCACTTGAGCTTTCTGGAGCTCAGTTACCTGTAAAACAAGGAAGAATGAATGGTCTTTATGGAAAATGAATGGCAGAATAAGTGATTTGTCAAGTTCATTGAACTATAAATTCCATTTTTACTGTCATTTATTTATAACAAAGTTCAGATATAAAGAAAAATCTGAACATACAGTAGGCACAGATAAACCTATAGCAAATATTCACATGTGGTTTGAATGCATTTATTAATCTCTGTACTTATTAGAATTAATAATAATACTAAAATGATTTGGAGAATTAATGATTAATAACAGTGGAAAATAGCCTTCCCATTATTGTTAGAGGATGGTGCCATCATGATGCTAAATGCCTATCTGAGGGGAAGCTCATAAATATTACTTGACAATATTACTTGATAAATATTTGTTGAAAAAAGAAATGTAGTAAAGAAGCAAGGATGGCTGGGCATGGTGGAGCATGGCTGTGGTCCCAGCTAACTTGGGATGCTGAGGTGGGAGGATTGTTTGAGGGAAGCTGAGTTTGCAGTGAGCCAAGATTGCACTACTGCACTGCAGCCTGGGTGACAGAGTGAGACCCTCTCCAAAAAAAGAAAAAAAAAAAGAGAAAAAAAAGAAGCAGCAGCAACGAAAGGAGGGAGGAAGGGAGAAAGTTTACTTTGATATGCCATATGATTGAAACAAATGCTCTTTTTTCAAAGACAAGGATTATACTCCTTTGCATTCCAGCTACTTTGGTCCATTGTAACTTGGTAACCTTTGCCTTGAAAACAAAAAGAATCCCTGGATATAATCTCCTTCCTTGTAATTTTTTTTATAAGATGCCAGTATGGTAATAGGTCCATTAGCAAGTAAGTACAGGCACATCTTATTTTATTATACTTCTCAGATACTGCATTTTTTACAAATTGAAGGTTTGTGGCAACCCTGCATCAAGGAAGTCTGTTGACATCATTTTTGCAATAGTATGTACTCACTTTATGTCTCTGTGTCACATTTTGGTAATTCTTGCCATATTTCACACTGTTTCATTATTATCTCTGTTATTAAAATCTGTAGTCAACGATCTTTGATGTTGCTATTATAATTACTGGGGGCACCATGAACCACACTTATATAACACAGTAAACTTAATAAATGTGTGTATGTTCTGATTGCTCCAACAACCAACCTTTCTCCAATCTTTCTCCTTCTTCTCAGGCCTCCTTAGTCCCTGAGACACAATATTGAAAGTAGATCAATTAATAACCCTAAAATAGCCTCCAGGTATTTCAAGTGAGAGGAAGTTGCAATCTTTCACTTTAAATCAAAAGCTAGAAATGAATAAGCTTAGTGAGGAAGGTGTGTCAAAAGCTGAGACAGGCTGAAAGCTAAGCCTCTTATGCCAAACAACCAAGTTGTAAATGCAAAGGAAAAGTTCTTGAAGGAAATTAAAAGTGCTACTTTGTGAATGCATGAATGATAAAAAAGTAAAACAGCCTTACTGCTGATATGGAGAAACTTTGAGTCATCTGAATAGAAGATCAAGCCAGCCACAAAATTCCCTTAAGCCAAAGCCTAGTTCAGAGCAAGGCCCTAACTCTCTTCAATTCTATGAAAGCTAAAGGGAGGTGAGGAAGCTTCAGAAAAAAAGTTTGAAGGTAGCAGAGTCTGGTTCATGAGTTTGAAGAAAAGAAGCCTTGTGCATCCATAAAAGTGCAAAGTAAAGCAGCAAATGTTGATGTAGAAGCTGCAGTAAGTTATCCAGAAGATCTAGTTAAGATAATTAATGAAAGTGGCTACACTAAACAATAGATTTTCAAAAGAGATGAAACAGCCTTATATTGGAAGAAGATGCCATCTCAGACTTACGTATCTAGAGAGGAGTAGTCAATGCCTCACTTCAAAGCTTCAACCAACAGGCTTACTCCTTGTTAGAAGTTAACGCAGCTGGTGATTTTAAGTTGAAATCAATGCTCATTTACCATTTCCCCAAATCCTACGACTTTTCAGAATTATGCTAAATCTAATCTGCCTGTGCTCTATAAATGGAGCAACAAAGCCTGAATGACAGCATGTCTATGGACAGCATGGTTTACTGGACATTTTAAGCTCACTTTTTGAGTCTTACTGCTCAGAAAAAAAAAGAATCTTTTAAAAATATTGCTGTTCGGGCCGGGCGCAGTGGCTCATGCCTGTAATCCCAGCACTTTGGGAGGCCGAGGCCAAAGTCAGTAGTTCGAGACCACCCTGACTAACATGGTGAAACCCCATCTCTACTAAAAATACAAAAATAAGCTGGGTGTAGTGGTGGGCGCCTGTAAATCCAGCTACTCAGGGGTCTGAGGCAGGAGAATCACTTGAACCCCGGAGGCAGAGGTTGCAGTGAGCCAAGATCGCACCACTGCACTCCAGCCTGGGTGACAGAGCGAGACTCCATCTCGAAAAAAATATATATATATATAATATATATTATATATTTTATATATGTATATAAAATATATATATAAATGATCAGTTCCAGACCACTATAATATATATATATATAGCTGTTCACTGACAATATACCCAGTCACCCAAGAACTTGGATAGAGATATACAAGGAGATTAATATTTTCGTGCCTGCTAACACAATACCTATTGTGCAGCACAGGAATCAAGGAGTCATTTGCACTTTTCGTAAGACTATAACTGTCACAGATTGTGATCCCGCTAATGGATCTGGGCAAAGCAAATTAAAAACCTGGAAAGGATTCACCATTCTAGATGCTGTTAAGAACATCGTGATTCATGGGAGAAGGTCAAAATAGGAAGATCAATGAGTTCGGAAACTGATTCCATCCCTCATGGATGATTTTAAGAGGCCCAAGACTTCATTGGAGGAAGCTCTGCTATAGACATAGTGGAAATAGCAAGAGAACTGGAATTAGAAGTGGAGCCTGAAGATGTGACTGAATTGCTGCAATCTCATTACAAAAGTTTAATAGATGAAGACTTGCTTCTTATGAATGAACGAAGAAAGTGATTTCTTGAGATGGAATCTACTCGCGTAAGTTGCTATGTACATTATTGAAATGACAACAAAGGATTTACAACATTACATAAATTTCATTAATAAAGCAGCAACAGGGTTTGAGAGGATTGGCTCCAATTTCAAAAGAAGTTGTACTACTGGTAAAATGCTATCATACAGCATCACATGCTGCAGAGAAATCTTTCATGAAGAAAAAGTCAATCGAAGTGGCAAACTTCATTGCTGTCTTATTTTAAGAAATTGCCACCATCACCCCCAACCTTCAGTAACCACCACCCTGATCATTCAGCAGCCATCAACATCAATGCAAAAAGATTATGATCATTAGCAATTTTTAGCAATAAAGTATTTTTAAAATAAAACATGTACATTTTTTGGACATAAAGCTATTATACACTTAATAGACTACTAAAGAGTGTAAACATAACTTTTATATGCACTGAGAAACCAAAAATTTTGTGTGACTCACTTTATTGCGATATCCACTTTATTATGGTGGTCTGGAACTGATCCTGTAATATCTCCATGGTATGCCTGTGCTGTACAGGGGGTAAAGTGTGAGGGGTCAAGAATTTTCATGCCAGAAATTCCATAGCAGCCTACTAGAACTCTGGAAGTATCGCCTTTGGCTGCAGTGCCAGATTCTGGTGAGGATTTCCTGGACCCCGATTTATATCTGAAAAAACACTAAAAATAACAGAAGCAGGGCAGGAAGTGGCTATGATAACAAAGCTGGGCTTGGTACTTTCTCTGGCTTTTGTGGCCAATATTACTGGACTCCCGTGGTATCAAGTTTCATAAAAGAAACTCATACAAAGCAGAGATATCTTAATTATTTTCAGACTGGCATTTCAAAAAGTGTCAATTTAAGTAAGTATTATAAGTTATTTGTTCTTTGTTTTATCTTTTCAGATGTTTCTTGAAAACATTGTGGTGTGATCTTTAACAGAGTTTTCACTTACCAATTAATACAAAAAATAAGAAAAAGCTTTAAATACATATTTTATAAAATTTTATATGCCAAATAAGGTCCTTCATATAAGAAAAGGAAAATAATATCAATTTTCAGTACTATTATTTAGCACTAGAGCCCCTCCAGTTAGAAAAACAATTCTTTTAAATGTCTTTATGATTTGAGGTTTCAATAATAACTCATGAATAGGTGAAAGTTTGCTATTTATTTAGTCTTAGAAAAACACTGAAAGAAAAAGGCAGGAAATGTAGTACGCAGTGTGGAAGAATGGAGCTGGCCACATGTAGTTTTAGCAGCTGCAGAGGAAACTGGCTGAGTCTAAGGTTACATATTTCTGCTCAGTAAGGGTATCCATGGTGATAACTCTCATGATGACGGTAGTCATCCTGGTAACCATCCTGGTATCCTTGGTGGTAACTATGGTAACCATAGCCTGCATACTCATCTTCTGGGCAGCGCATCCCCAGTGACTGCTGAATCGCCATTTCCTGTCTCCGAAGTTGCATCGAATCAATTAAATCGTACACAATCACCATGGACCACATTGGGGAAGGATACCAGGATTTGACATTTCCGTCTTTTCCGACTAGAAGCATGGAGAAGTACTCCGGGCTCACTTGAAAATAGTTACGAATGTCTTTCACCAAATGGGCTGGTACGTCTTCTCGCTCAACAACAGAGCTCCCTAGAATAACATTGGAATAGTTATTGTTAGTAGATTAAACAGTCAGAGCCCATGAAAACATTAAAGTGTGAGGAAATTACTGTGAGAATAGGGAGGACCCATGAGCCTCTTCTCTTTAGTTCAAAATCTAATTAAAGAAGTTTGCTGGGGCTTTTTCTACTAGAAATTAAATGTCCCTGCTTTCTGCAACACGATTAGGGTCAAACTTTGGGGCACTCGATGTGTCTTTTGTAGGAATGTTACAAAGTATAAAACCAATTCCTTAATTTAATCCTGGCAAGACTAATTTCTTTAAAATTTGTCACTAACAAGGATTATATAGTTTATCTTTCTAAGTTTATTTCCAATTAGCTTAGTTACTTCTCTGTAACTACAGCTTACCTTTTGACACATCTTAATGATAAAAAGCTTATTTCATTGTTAAAAGTGAAAATATCAATTCTGTTAAGATCTAGAGGAATATTTAAACTATTGTGAATAGTGAAAAGAATAGAGGGGAAGGAGAAAAGGAGCTGACACTTTCAAGTCTGCTGTGTCCGGCATTCTGCCAAGTATTTTACACACATTATTTAAAGAGCTTGGTCTTGGAAGAAAGGACTGGATTTGCTTTCTGAAAACTTCAGTCAAGAGTCTTTTTTTGTTTTGTTTTGTTTTGTTTTGTTTTGTTTTGTTTTGTTTTTGAGATGGAGTCTTGCTCTGTCACCCAGGCTGGAGTGCAGTGGTGTGATCTCGGCTCACCGCAATCTCCACCTCCGAGGTTCAAGCGATTGTCCTACCTCAGCCTCCCAGGTAGCTGGGACTACAGGCGCATGCCACCATGCCTGGCTAATTTTTGTATTTTTAGTAGAGACGGATTTTACCATGTTGGCCAGGCTGGTTTCGAACTCCTGACCTCAAGTGTTCTGCCCACCTCGGCCTCCCAAAGTGCTAGGATTACAGACGTGAGCCACCATGCCCGGCTTCTCTGAGCCTTTTAGTGTATGTGTCTTTCAGCTTCTCTGAGCCTTTTAGTGTATGTCCTTATCTGTTGAAAGGGAATCAATGAGATATGACCTATGTGCCTCACAAAACTATTGTGAGAATTAAATGATATAAAATAGAAGAAAATGCTTTGTAAACCATAAGGACCTATACGGACCCCCAAAAAGCATTATTTTAGTTAAGAAAAATGGATATTTTTACTGTTACTTGGAATGGTTTATATTAGAAATAATATTAGTCCCTGTACTCCACACCCCTTCCCCTACATATCCCGTGCACACACAGGCACACATGCACAAATGCATGAAGTGGGAGGAGGATTCAATGAACTTTGTTCACCTTAGAGATACACCCACTGCTTGCATATAACTTAATGTAATTTAACTGAACTTAACACTAGTTCATACTGTTTCAAGATAACAACACATTACCATTAATTGGGAACAGTTCTAACACTCCCCCAACTTCCTCTCCAACGCCTAAAAGCTTCAGAATGGTTATGTGGCGCAGACCTGAGAGAAAAAAGAAAACCATAGGATTAGAGGAAAGGATTAGAAGTTATCTTTTACTTCAAAGCCCTGATATCTGACAATTAAAAATCTCTTAAATTTAAAAAGAATATAGAGCATAACCCGATTGAGAAGAATAATCCATTTTAAATTTTTACCATAAGGAAGAAAATACTTTCAAAACCTCAAAGAAGATGAACTGTGATTCTCATTCTACTAAATGACAAAAAAGAAAAGAAAAGATGAAGCCATGCTGGGCGCGGCGGCTCATGCCTGTAATCCCAGCACTTTGGGAGGCCGAGGTGGGCAGATCACGAGGTCAGGAGATAGAGACCACCCTGGCTAACATGGTGAAACCCCGTCTCTACTAACAATAAAAAAAATCAGCTGGGTGTGGTGGCACGTGCCTGTAGTCCCAGCTACTCGGGAGGGTGAGACAGGAGAATCACTTGAACCCGGGAGGCGGAGGTTGCAGTGAGCCGAGATCGCGCCACTGCACTCCAGCTTGGGTGACAGAGACTCGGTCTCAAAAAAAAGAAAAGATGAAGCAATTCATTGGAACATTAAAATATCTGAGCTGATCTAAGCTAGTTAGTGTTCTGAATTTATAACAGCTTTTAGGATAACTTAACTTTCAGAGAAAAGACTACAGACTCCATCAATTGTGATGGTTAAAGAAATTGAAATTGTTCTGCTTCCTCACACAAAACTGTAGTGGCTTAAAGGATATGTTTTTATCACTAATTTAGAGGATTAAAAGGGAAGACATTTAAGCAAGCACAGCTTGCCTTCATATCCTCTGCTAAAGTTTCAGGACAGGAGGGAAGGTCATGCCTTGGTAGCTTGTTGGAATTCTTTTGAAGATGAAGTGGATATGAAGAGATTCCAGAGAAAGAAAATAGGAGGACAAAGGGGCTGTCAAGCCATCATATCAAGCTTTCATAGTTTTAAATAAAGTCCCAACCTAGTCAGGATAATAACTTGGAACTAATAATAAGGTTGTTGGTGCTGTTTATTGTCCAGGAGAGAAAAGTGAACACTGCCATGGGAGGGTACTTCTAAGGAGAAGCTAAAATCTAGGCAAAATGCTATTCAAAAAAATTTTTTTTTCACCTTTACTCTTTTCCCAGAGAAGTGAACTATTCTGTTCTACATATTGGTTAGTCATGTTTTCAAAAGGGAAGATCATCAATTTAATTATTCATTAATTAATAAATGTGAACATGACTTGTTCGCATTTTGGGTATAGTACAAAAGAGTTTGCTTTCACAATGTGACATAGGATCTGTGTGCAGAGATTTAAAGATAAAGTACCACCAAATAGCTGCTACAAAAGCATCTTTGGAAAATTTAAAAACTGTGGCTTTATTTATATTTTTCTTGTAAAGGTTCTTAACTGCTGTAAGAATTTCTATCTTAACTGGCCACATTGGTGGCTATAAATAATTTAAAGTGTGCTTAAGAATACTAGCACAATCAAATTTATATGTTAATATAAAGTCTTAAATTATTAACCTTGATAATAGGAGTACAAATAAAAATTTCTGAATTTTCTATTGTTCTTACTATTATGAGTTTGGTTTTGGCCTTCCTTTGAGTTATTTCATATCTTAAAATTAAAATGTACTTATAATTTACACATACTAGGTCATAACAAGGACCTTGGCTCTGTTAATGCTTTACAAAACTTACCCTCCTCCCTTTTAAAAAACAAATCAAGCACAGTTTTGTAACTAGTAGATGATTCTTCCTCCTAATAGAGGCATCAAAATAATGGTGATTCATCTATGTTCTAATGGAGAATTTTTTAATTTGTTGCCCTTAGCTACTTCCCCCTGCCCCTGCCCCTGCCCAGTGAATCTCTCAAAATTCTTCTTCTGCAGAGGTATATCTCATATGAGATTTCACTCATGACTTCTACTTTTGAAATTGTAGTCATCTCCTTGATTTATCATTGAACTTAGTAGTAAGTTCTATATACTATTCATTTTACTGCCTATATATCCATATCCAAAATGACATTAGCTCTCTCAGGACACTAGAATAAAAATGTTTGGTAAATAAAGCATATATTCGTTTTCAAAATTCTGAGCGATTCACTACAAAAAACAGTAAACTATGTTTTTCTTTGGCCTGCTTGTCTTTAAAATAAGGTTTTATTTAAGAGATCTTGCTACTTTCTTAGTGCTCAGTTATAGATAAAAATCCTTTTTTAAAAAAAATTCTTTCACTAAGTCTTCTGAGTTTTGAAGATAAAAATCATTTTTAAGAGAAGGGCAATATAGTCTGCTTCAATTAATATATTATTCCCAGAGCCATTCCTATTTTAAAAAAGACATTTAATCTATGGAGTATCCAGTGATGGTATGTAAGTAGATATTCGAGTATTACCTAAGTGAATGGTAATACCTAAGTGAGACAATTTAAAAAAAAACTGAAGATAAATGATACAGATCATTAAAAGTAAATCAGAAGATATTTTCAAACACATGAATGAAGAAGAACTAGAGAGGAGAGAATATTGAGGGAAAAAAAAATCCACAGTTGACTAAAGCTCCAGTCTAAAAGCAACTTTATACTCAATATAGTAGAGTATGTGTCTGGAAACCTGAACAGTCTGAACTAGGAATCATTTTGAATGATCTAAGGTTCTATGTTCCATTTTAGAATTGACCAGGAGGAGAGTGGTATGGGAAAGCAGTAATGAGGTGGCTTCCCACTCACCAAAATTGCACGCCTGACCACTGAGGGCAGAGAGCTGCTGTGAATAGGCCCAGTCTTCATCGTTAGGAGCAGAGATCACCAGCAACCTCCTCCTCCACCGGAACCTGGAAAAAAAAAGCAGGACACCATTACTGCTTACTGCTTCAAACAATAAAAACCAATGTAGGAAACCAGAGTGACTTAGGCTAGCAATTTTTTTCTGTGCCCAGAAAAAAAAAAAGAAAAAAACAGAGAACTGTCCCATGCTTCTCAAAGCCATTAAACTGCATTGCTACACTCCTGTAGTTTTTCTGTTGTAACTTCACAGTCTTTCTGCTTTGGCATTTGCATGACGTGTCAAGCATGAGTCTGTGGTCACAATGCCTAATGAGGTCACTTGGGGAGAGACAAACTCTCAGATGCAATGAAGACAGGCCAAAATTGTACATTAAACTGTAGCAATGGAAATGAGAAACTCAGAGGACAACTGAAGAGAACTCGTCTTAGTGGAGTTACTGCTAGAGTTTAGAGGGGGTTAAGAAATGAATATACGGAAAGGAGATAGAGTAGAAAAAGATAACTGTATTTTAAGTAGATTACAGTGACAGGAAAAAGGAAAATGGGAGAGTGGTTTAAAGGTTCAAAGAGGATTCCTGGAAAAACGAAACCCTATGTACCTTCCTCAGTAGCCAGTGGTTCTTCCAGAGGCAAATGCAATTTCTAAAATGTACCCTATTATTAATAAGCGCCAATGCTTACAAAGTACTTCTATAAAGTGGAATGATATTAAGCCTAGAACCATAAGATTTTAGAATATATAGTAAACTTAGTTTCTGTTTTTACAGTTCCAACACAGTAGAGTAGCAGAAAAAGCTTTTGTCTTTTTGGGTGTCGTTGAGCATGTCACTCAATTCACCAAAGTCTCAGTTTTTCCTTATTTCTTTTCTTTTCTTTCTTTCTTTTTTTTTTTTTTTTTGAGACAGAGTCTCACTCTGTCACCAGGCTGGAGTACAGTGGCATGAACTCGGCTCACTGCAACCTCCACCTCCCAGGTTCAAGCGATTCTCCTGCCTCATCCTCCCGAGTAGCTGGGACTACAGGCGCGTGCCACCACACCCGGCTAATTTTTGGTATATTTAGTAGAGACGGGGTTTCACTGTGTTAGCCAGGATGGTCTCGATCTCCTGACCTGGTGATCTGCCCTCCTCGGCCTCCCAAAGTGCTGGGATTACAGGCGTGAGCCACTGCGCCCAGCCTTCCTTATTTCTAAAATCAAAAACAGCAGTATGTTGTTCACAGGAATGTTACAAAAATTAGACTCTCAAATCTATCAATGCAAGTTATCCACATGATAACATGGATATAGAGGATTATGTCTTAATCTGCAGGCTTCTGGGTGTAGAACTTTATCCATTAACAGACGTTGACATTATCCATCACGGCACCATCAAATAACCTATTCTTAGTCCTTAGGTTTGTGTATCATTTTATAGCTCACTTTCACCAACGCAATATGGTTCTTCATTAGAGCTCAGTGAGGCTGCGGATTATTTTCCCCATTATGCAGATAACAAAACAAGGCTTAGAGAAGTGAATAACTTGCCCAACTAGTAAATCTAAGAGGCATTACCAAAATACAGACACTTCTCTGACTCCAGGTCCAGCGGTTTCCCCGACCTACTACCCTCAGACACTGATATTTTGGCTGGTGCTATCAGGGTCTGCAAGAGGGTATAAAAAGAGAGAAGGTATGCATCTAAGGGGCAACTGTATAGCGTTGTCTCAACTTCCATCTTCACTGGTGTTTTGCTTTTTGCCTTCAGTGCAGGTGACCGCAGGGTGTTGGTGCACTCACAGAGCTGACAGCCAGTTAATTTTATTCATGGCTTTGATCCCTGTGCCCCTTCTAGCATCAGGAGTGAACATGAGAGTTTTCAACCCCAAAGAAAATGGCCTCTTGAGGGAATAGTGGTTTGGGTGAATAAGAGAAAATGATAGTTTGATGAAATACAACCTCTGAATGGATGCCTGCCGCAAGGCTCGCCAAGTATTGCTTGCTGTGACATTACATTCACTTCCTCTGCTTTTTTTTTTTTTTTTTTTTTAAAAAGGGAAAGAAAAACTAAAATCTCTACTGAGGACAGGGAGCTGAATGTGTCTGGCACAAAGGACAAGAAAGGAGCCTCTGAGACTGTCCAAGGTTTCTTAGGAAAGGGAACAGTAACTGCTGTCGGATCACAAACACAACAGTCTCAGGTACTTCTCCTGCTTCCTTAGGAGGCATGCCAGACCAGCGCTGGCCCCCTAGCCAGCATCCAAACCAGACTAGCCTTCCTGGCCTCACACAGAGCTGTAGGGTGTCTTGGAAGGAGCTATTTTGGGTGAGGTCTATTTTGGTTTGTTTACCTATGTGCACACTGAATGCAGTCCTGATTGGAGAGGGATGGGATGTCAGACTCCCTGTCCCAGACACAACTAAGAGAAGGTCATTTCCCCTAAGTCATGTTTCAGCTTCCCACAGACCTTCACATTAAGATACAAGGTTGCAGCTCATGACACGGAAGGAAACTTCCAAAAGATGTAACAAGAGTTATGAAACTGACCCAGACCCTTATTTTAGACAAATTGTTTTTCTGTCACTTTAGCTTCCCAGTAAATAAAAACTTTACAAGCTGTGAATGTGTTTGCTTCTCTTAACTGGCATGCCCAAATTAGTATGCATTTGCCCACTCTTTGGGGTTTCTGTCTCAGGGAAAGGTGATTATACCCTGAACCAAATGAGTGCTGTTGAAGACTAGACTGGCTTCAGGGTCTGGTCAGCTGAAACTAGCCTGTGTAAACCCATCAACCACTCAGCAAATTTGAAGGAAAATTCCCATTTGGATACTGGTTTAATTACAGGACTGTAATTTTTTTTTTTTTTTTTTTCATTTCTCTTTGCCTGGGTTTCAATTCTGGAGTATTTACTAAATCTCTTTCTGGTAGCTCTTCCTGGATGGCAAAGTTCTCTATAGGACCAGAATAACTGACCCTAGGACTACTAATAAGTAGCATTTATTGACTACTTGCTTTGTACTGGGTCCTGGGCCATCATTACCTTTAGTATTGAATGTACCCTTCACAACAATCTTAAACAAAAATACACTTACTATGTTCATTTTGCAAATGAGAAAACTGAAGCCCAGAGTGTTTAAGTAATTAGCTCAGGGTCACACAGCTAGTAAATAGAGGAACCTGGAATCAAACTCATTTTGTCTTGCTTGTGCCTTAAGTAGTACACTATTCCACTTTAATCCTTCAAATAAATTACAATTATTAGCAGAATGATTTTATGAGTTATGACTACAAATCAGGCACCGCTATGGGACATCCAAATTGTAATTATATATATCTCTGAATATCCATAAAAGATGTATATTCCTATAGTAGTAATGAAGATAAGAGCCCATAAAACTCTTACATTAGGTGGAAAATACATTTACATATGTTAGGACCCCATCTAGTACAAAAGACTTTATAATATTTGTACTTTCTTGAGAATAAAAAAAAATACAAAATTTAAGTAACCAACCTACAGGAGTATTATAAGCTTTTGTGAATGAAGAAAATTGAGATAATGTCAGCTTTCCCTTTCAAATTTTGAAACCCTTGACATAGTGGTTATAAAAAGACACTCTACCTAGGGATGGTGAGAAGAATCTCTGAGGATGTCTGTAGCTGCCAGTCTCACGACAGATCTCTGGTTTTAAGTAACATCAATGAACTGGATGATAACTGTCTGCTTTATAGGGTGGGCAACCTGAGTTTACTGGGATAGATCACTAACCCTGGAAGATTTAGAATTAAGAAGAAAAAGTTTCCAAAGAATCAAAATTATAGTAATATAGTAATAATTATATATATGTTTGTATATATCTATAATTCTGGTTATATATGTATATGTATATAAATATATTATTGTGAAGCTTAAGAGAATTTGGCCTAATAAAATGACAACTTGAAACTACAAATTAGAATGTGTAATTAAGTAATTGGTTTAGGCATGCAGGTAAGTTGAAATCTTACAGTGTATGCAGTTTTTAGAACATCTGAGAGAACGTTAGATTCACTGTATTTGTAAAATTAACTTATTAACTTACAGATCTTTAAGTACTAGGAAAGATTTTGTTTGTTTAATTTCAAATAATTGAAAGAAATGTATTAAATGTATAATGCCTACGTGAAATGATGAAGTTGTTTAATTACTGGGTTTATAAGCAAGATCAAACATTATTCAAAGCCCTCTTAAAAGTGATGGCAAAAATTTGCTAGGTTATAAATTGGAAAATAAAATTTCGAAGCCTAATTCAGAAGTTTGGGAACTGAGGTCTTGAATTTGTAACTTGAAGTATATTTATCACTGTTAAAATAAAAAATAAACTTCTAAAGAATTTTTACCTTAAAAAGAAAAAAGAAAAGCACCTCAAGAGCAAAAGAAAAGCTCTTAGCATAAATCTTTTCAATTATCGTCATCTGGAGTGATGATCTTGGATCAGAAGTTGGTGTTTTAATACCCCCGAGACCAGACAAAGAGCCATTGTCCCGTGAAGCTCAGAGCCCTTTCTCAGTGGAGGCTGCCCCTACGGCTGAGTTGATTTTAAGTCCTTATGAAGGTGTGTGCCTTCTGTTTCCATTACGGATACTTGTACTGCATTGAGAATTTGGATGAAGGAAGAGCCTTGGGTTCCTTTCAGGGCCGAAATTCTGTGGTTTTAAGAGTATCTTCCTTTGCTTCAAATTCTAGGCCTTTAGGTTCAGAACTAATAATAATTCACATTTTCTAAAGGAGCATAAGATAAGACGATAGATTTGGGGAGTCAGATTGTCCCAGGGTACTTCCTAGAGATGACACTAGCTCAGTGATGAGAGAAAGTTACTTAATCTCCATTGGCTTCAGTTGTCTCTCCTGCAACATGACAATAGTCACAGTATTTAGCTCATGGGATTCTTGTAAGGGTAAAACTAGGGAATGAAGGTGACGTGCTTGGCACAGAGATTAGCACACAAAAAGTGTTCACAGGTATAATGGCTATGTGAAATGGAGATGGATGGAGATAGAGCTGCTTGCTATCGTTTTTAATTTTATGGGTGAGAGATTTTTGAGGCAGGTTAATTGAAAAGGATCAACATAGCTAGTAAGTTACAGACTCAAAACTTGGATGAATGGTAAGTTCTGTACCCTTTATATATCATGATGTTACATCCCAGAAGACCCAAGCCTCACAAATCTGTAGAAATTCGGTTTATCCACTTACTAATCATATCCTTCTTAATGCTCTGTCTCACATATGGAGAATGTGCTTTTAGAGACATGAGTAAAGATTCTGCTTGGAGGCTCAAGCACTAAATGTGTATTACATGCTTGCTTGGTTTCTGGAACCCCTTAACCACACAGTATAGTTGGAGTGGTGTTGATACTGGGACCTCTGTAAGTTTGTTGTGTGTAGTTTTCTGCAGCTTTGCACCTCCTAGGGCCCCAAAGTCTCAGTAGAAGTTTCATCCTACATCGGGGGAGGGGAGGGGAAGGGAGAAAAGTGGATTTGGCAGAGGCGTTTAAACCAAAGCAACTCCATCTTAAATAGGAGCTGGGTAAAATGAGGCTAAAATCTACTGGGCTGCATTTCCAGACGATTAAGGCATTCTAAGTCACAGGATGAAAAAGGAAGTCAGTACAAAATACAGGTCATAAAGACCTTGCTGATAAAACAGTTTCCAGTAAAGGGGCCAGCCAAAATCCACCAAAATCAAAATGGCGATGAGAGTGACCTCTGGTCGTCCTCACTGCTACACTCCCACCACCACCATGACAGTTTACAAACGCCATGGCAACGTCAGGAAGTTACCCTATATGGTCTAAAAAGGAGAGGCACAAACAATCCACCCCTTGTTTAGCATATCATCAAGAAATAACCATAAAAATGGGCAAGCAGCAGCCCTCGGGGCTGCTCTGTCTATGGAGTAGCTGTTCTTCTATTCCTTTACTTTCTTAGTAAACTTGCTTTCACTTTGCACTGCAGATTTGTCCTGAATTCTTTCTTGCGCGAGATCCAAGAACCCTCTCTTGGAGTCTGGATTGGGACCCCTGTCCTGTAACAGATGGAGTTGTTTTTACACTCTTCTCTGGGTATGCTCCTCCCCCATGGACACTGGGGTTGCCACAAGATGGCCTTCAATAAACGACAGTGTCGAAAAATTCGTGAAACTGGGTCAAGAGGATTTCTCCTTTTGAGGTCTTAGTGGGGCTTTTGTTGTTTCCTGCAGAGTTGGAAGGAAGCGGAAAATCAAGCACAGTGTGCCAAATCCTGTTTGGAACCAGAAGGGGCCTAATAAATAAATATGTAAAATAAAAATGCTACATGCAGAGATCTCCAGATTTACTGACTGAGTAAATTAACTTTCTTGGGAGGTCAGGATTCTATATTCTGTACCAAAGAAAGAGAAAAAAAAAGAAAAGAAAAAAAAAAAAACAGAGAAAAGACCTATCCTGAGTCACCAAATCAACATTGATGCTTGGAGCTGCAGCCAGCCAGCCCTGTAGCCAGAGACATTTCAACAGGACAAGACTAAGCTCAGTGGCCAGAGATGGGTAGGTTTTTCTCCAAGGAGGATTACTCTCTGTAAACACCTGTGGGATCTGTGTTTCTTTGGCATTTTCATGAGCTCACTCAGAACAAATTTGCACCTTCCTCTTTAGCGACTCCAAAGGTGATGTACCTGGATAGGAAGTTCTCCAGGGACTGCTTTTTGTCCTCTTTGCAAACAATGCCCTCCTTCTTCTGCTTCTCCATATCTTTGATTCGGGACTGGAAAGTATCGATCAGATCAAACACAGACTTCATTGTTATTGGTACCTCATAGTATTGCTGTTTAAGAAAAAACAGAATGCATTTAATGTACAAGTGCATTTCTTCTCTCTATTCAGAGGATAGAGAACCTGTGAGAATTCAGAGGAGCTCTGGGGAAATCTTTGAAATCAGAGCCTAGAAGATTCATTGCTTCATAAATGCTCTCCTGCAATAGTACCCTTTGCTGATGTTTTGAGAGTTGGAGTCCATAAAACAACTGCCTCTTTTACAAGTAATTCTTAACTACGCTCCTTTTATTGGAAAGGGTCCATGCCTTCCTCACCATACAAGTCCTAGGTTCACCTCTCTACCTTTGGGACTAAGCTGGTTCTTATTTACTAACAACTGGAGAAGAACTGAGAAACACTGTACCTAACACAGGAAACTAAATGGAATAACATGTTCAAGTGTGTAACCTGAGCAATAAGAGTAGTTTTCCACCAAGGCCTGTTCTGTGGTCCCAGGGATTGTTTTACTGAGTAAACATCACTTAATATTAAGTCATTTTTGTTCACCTATTCTCAGAAATAAGTTGGGATCCAACTTAAAGACAATGAAATTCAGATTCCTGAATCACAGCTGCCTGGACTTACAAAAGCAACCTGAGATGGATTTAGGGGCTGGCTGAGCGTAATCAGCATAAACTGGAGAGCAGTCTGGACATGGCTCGAAGCTCTGCCCTCTGTGGGAATTCAGTAAATCACAGAATGTGAGAGCTGGTAAGGACCTTAGAGATTATCTGGCCCAACCTCTCTCATTAGAGATGAGACAACATGTGTGCAGAATTAACTAATGATGCCATTTCTCCAGATCCAGAAATATGTTGCATGTTGGGTCAGCTATTCTGATAGCATAGACAGCCTTTTTTTCCCGTGAAGATTCTCACACAAGCATGGTATATGAATGACTTTTTCATGAACATTTTTTGTGTTCCCCATTTCACATGGTTTCAGAAGCCTGGAATTTTAAAAGAACATTTTGATAAGTTGTTTTAAAAATTGTTTAGGGAATGCTTTAAAGAAGTATTAAGATAAACTTTAGTAAAATGTATTTTCAGTGATATAGTGCCAGTATGCCAAAATTGTTAAGACAGTGGGTTCGGGAGCCAGCCTCTGTGGGAATGAAGTTCAACACTAATTGCATGATGACCTTGGGCTAGTTACTTAACCATTCTGGGCCTCTGTTTTTTCCTCTGTGAAACAAAAATAATGTTAGCATTTATCTTAGACGTGTGAGACTAAGGATTGCAAAGGGTTGAAGAAAGTGCCAGGCATAAGGAAAGCACTTGATAAAGTGACTATTTTTGTTATTGTTATTATTACATGGTATAGTTTTTCATGGTTCAGAACTTTTGTCCGCAAGCATAGAAAGAAACTAGGTGTAAAACCCCAAACTTTTGGCAGGGCGTGGTGGCTCACGCCTGTAATCCCAGCACTTTGGGAGGCCGAGGCAGGCAGATCACGAGGTCAGGAGATCGAGACCATCCTTGCTAACACAGTGAAACCCCATCTCTACTAAAAATACAAAAATAAAATTAGCCGGGTGTGGTGGCGGGTGCTTACTGTAGTCCCAGCTACTCGGGAGGATGAGGCAGGAGAATGGCGTGAACCTGGGGGGTGGAGCTTGCAGTGAGCCGAGATCACGCCACTGCACTCCAGCCTGGGCAACAGGGTGAGACTCCGTCTCAAAATAATAAAAAAAAAACAACCCCAAACTCTTGTCCACATTGGATCAGGAGGCACACTTCTAGACCCCTCTGAGATAGGCCTATGTTAAATATGGGTTTCTTGAAGGCAGAGACCACTCTTCACCTTTTATCTCCAGGACCTCGCACATCATAGCTATTTAACTAGTGTCTTATGAATGTAAAACATTGTTGTTAGAAAAGAATTTAGTCTGAGTCAAGTAGCTGGGCTGTGGGAAGTCACTCCAACTCAGTCTTTGTCAGAGACCACATTTCTGGATGCAAATTCGTAGGACAACATGGAAAATTTGGCCCATCTCAAAACTTTCCCATTTATAAAATAATTTATGCTTACTCGTACATTGAATGGACTGTTTAACAAAACAATTCAGATTTGCTATTCTAAGAAATAGTACTACATTATTCAGAATAAGAAACTGTACCTTGACTCTCAGATCCACATCTGTTAGCACCATGAAGAAGTCATTGTAGGTCATTCCGTACTCTTTCCTCAGCTCGCTGATGAGACGCTGGTCTACCAAGTCTTCATCATCCACCACTCGCATGGGCTTCTCATTATCTTAAGGGAAATAAAATGTGAATGAATATGGGTGTGGCAAGGCAGAAATCATTGGGAGGTGAATGGGTGAAGGCTTTGGGCCTAATCACACCAGCCTTCATTAGTTTTATATATTCAACTCACGTTGTGTTTGAACAAAAGTTTTCGGAGTAAATTAATAAATATAGAAATAAACACATGAATAAAGTTTTGAAAGCTACTCTTCTATAGATGATCAAGGCTCCATCTCTGTCCATCCTGTTCACAGCAAACAGGAACAAAGGAACAAAGTGAGAGTGGAGACTGCTGAGTCATACCTAGGAGAAGACTGCAACTCACCCAGGGAGTGAGTCTTCACCCTAACTCACCGGGGAACTGGACCGACCCAGACAATTTGTTAAGTTCTGTTTCCATTAAACATAATTCTGAGTCTAAAACCTGTGTCTGTTCCTCTTTTTTGGTATAGAATTAACTTTGGGACCCAGTAAGCATGTCATATCTATAGAGAAAAATAGAGTTTCTGTTGAAACCTAGTCACAGTTTCATTTGGGCTCCAAAAGAAGTCAAGCTATTCATAATGCAAATTTTGTAAGTGAACACAGTTTAAAACAAAATGTGACAATTTATGGAAATTTTAAATCACTATATGTTTTTTCAATCATCAGCCTCCCCAAATAAATCCTTATAATTCAGAATGGTTCCAGAAGGTGTCACTGGATTAATGGGAAGCATGAAAATCAAGATACTAGTGGCTTTACATGGCAACTTGTATGTCAGGAAAGCATTTTAACATTTTCAAGGACAGAAGAGCTTTATTTACTTCTTCCCGCTAAAACAAGTCACAGTATATCTCTCAACCCTACCTAAGATTTTATCTGCAAAATAATCCCCTATATTAAAAACAAATGTGAAAAAATTAATGTTAGCAAATATATGATAACAGGAAAATTACCAATGAGAGCCTATCACTTATTACCAACATCACTACCCAGTGACTAACACTGTACTACAATACTATATCACAGTAAAAACAACCACAATTTTGCAAATAAGATGTTATAATTTGAGTACCACAGACATTACTCTTCATTAATAAAAAGGGGATGATTACAATTTAACTGTTACTTTTATTTGATTAGGATTGCTGAAAGTGTATAAAGAAGGAGCTTTATTTCTCCAAAGCAAATCAAAATGAGAGGGGAAAGAATCAATCTGTTTTCCTCCCCAAAGTCATAACAGTGCTTCATGGAGGTGGTCCAAAGGAAAAGGAGCTGAGAGCCTAGATGAGAACCAAGCACTGTCTGCAACATAAAAAGTGATAGGCCTCATGCATATAAACTATTTTTCAAATGTACATTTTTGTTATTAGAAAAAATTTAAATTAATTTACAATTATTAGATTTATATTTTTAAATATATCTTGTTGAGTATTAAAAACAAGTTGCAAAACAAAATGCATAATATGACTTTATTCCTGGTTGTAAGGAAATAAAAACAAAAGAAGATACATTCATTTGGAAATACACATAGGAAAAAGTCCACAGGAAAAGGTGAAGTGAAAACTTTTATTGTTTACTCTGCATACCTATGTTATTCAAATTTTAACAAGGAACATATTTTACTTTGTGAATAGTAATACTAATAATAAAGAAAATCATTCAAAAACTGCTTTTTAAAAAATGTTCTTAACTAATGTTCTGATTCTAAGACTTTACAAACCAGATTTTATCTTGTATTTGGAAATTACAATTTTTAATTCCCAACATACATTCATTCTTGCTTTTGTTCATTCAACGAAATATTTATCACTAATGTCCAGAATTGGTTCTGTGCTGAGTGCTAGATTCAGAAATCAATAACTTGGACAGAGTTCAAGCTCCTACTTAGAACCAGAATTAGACCACTAGCATCTACTTAATGGACAAAGTCACAAAATCACTGAATGGCTCAGATGGAAGGAAGTTGGAGATTGTAGTAGATTTTTAATATAACACCAATTCTTCCCCCCTCCCTATAGCTATACCCTATACCTATGCCCAGTAACTACAGCTTCTTCCTATGGGAAATGGGTTGAGCTGTCCTGCCTCTTGACTCTGAGCGCATCTATATCACTTGCTTTGGCCAATGGGATATTAGCACAATGACACAAGCAGAAGCTAGAAATGGGCTTATACATTAGGGATTGTTCTTGCTTCTGCCATTGCCATGAGAATATGCCCACACCAGCTTGCTGGAGGTTTAGTCAAGCCAAGTTACCCTGTTCTCATTCTAACCAAGGCTACCCAGGTTAGCTGACAGCCCACTGACCCCCAGCATGCGTGCAAGCCCAGCCAAGATCAGCAGAACCTCCTACCCAACCTGTAGCTGACTGCAGATGCATGAGCAAACCTAACCAAGCCCAGCCCAGATCAGCTGAACCCTAGAAACTTGTCACTAAATGAATGCTTACTGTATGTGCCACTAAGGTTTGTGGTCTTTGTTACCTCACCTTATTATGGCAATAGAAAACTGAATATAGACATTATCTGGCTCCACACCATCACATTATTAAGGTTGAAACTAAGGAAACTGTAGTGGACACTGTGGTGTGCTGTCCAGTTGCTACCTTCACAACTAAGGTTGCTGTCAATATAAGCAGCTAGATCTCTGACAATTGATCTACTTAGAAGGGAGCCACCTTTCCCCAAGTCACACCCCTACCATAGGACAGCTCACATTCAATGGTTGATGTAGTAAAAGAGGGGATAGATATAAAAGCTATCCCCTTTGTCTCAAAGTGGACAGTTTGGAAGGTCCAACTCTATTGCAGCTCAAATTTTCCCTGTCCAGTCTTGTATCTCTCACCCCTCATAAGTATTGTTTCTGTGTTAACTGCCTGCAGGCAAAACTCAGAGTCTCAGACTCTGTCTCTCAGAAAACCCAATCTGTCACAGACCCTGAGAGGAGGAGTGACTTGCTCAAGTTCACATTGCAGGTTAATGATAGAGTGAGGTTAGGACTCAGGTGACATTACCTCACTCCCACCCAGTGTTCTCTCTGCTATGCCAAAATGCCTCACACTCAAGGGTAGAAAGGACCCAGGACCAAGATTAAAGGCAAACTTTGCTTTACTAGTATATGGCAAGAAACCAATTTCAAAGCCGGTTTTCTTTCAACCAAAATATTTTCTGAAATATTTCAACCAAACATTAGAAATAAAACATTTTGCACTCCCAGATTATAGGAATATCTACATGTTTGTGCTGAGTAGGAGAATCTGCCAAAGCAAAACAATGAAAGTCCTAATCAACACTGCATCAGACTAGGGTGGTGGCAACTCTACAGAAGGACAGAGTCCACTCTAGGCCAGTATGTGTGAAGCTACATCCTGTCTCAGCTCCTGCTCCTGCCACCGGTCTTTCTTGAGCTCTGCATTCTATCTAAATCAGGGCTCAGTGTTGAGGTTCTCTTTAGTCTGGAAAAGCAACATAGACTTGGCAGGTTCTTGTTAAATTTATCCAAACTCTGTTTAAGCTCACTAATGATTGTAAGGATTACAGGGCTTAGAAAGAAAAATTCTTTTTTTAAAAAAAATTATTATTATTATTTTTGAGATGGAGTCTTGCTCTGTCACCCAGGCAGGAGTGCAGTGGTGCAATCTTGGCTCATTGCAACCTCTGCCTCTGCGGTTCAAGTGATCCTTCCACCTCAGCCTCCTGAGTAGCTGGGATTACAGGCATGCACCACCATGCCCAGCTAATTTTTTTTTTTTTTTTTTTTTTTTTGTATTTTTAGTAGAGACGGGGTTTCACCATGTTGGCCAGGCTGGTCTCACACTCTTGACCTCAAGTGATTCACCCACCTTAGCCTTCCAAAGTGCTGGGATTATAGGCATGAGCTACCACGCCCAGCCAGAAGAAAAAAATCTTTAGGAAACATTCTCTAAACTGTCTACATACTCCTGATCCAGCTGAAATGCTTCATAGATTCAAGCCCATTTGCTGGGATTTGGACCTAAGATTATTGAGGTGAGGGATTCCCAGGGAAGGTGAACTCTGTTATGTGCTGATAAGGTCTGGCCCTAGTAGTAAGACATTTGCCTAGAGTGCTATTCTTTAAAAATTCCAACCCCAAACATCAGCAGTCAAATTCAGGTGGTACTAAATTTTTTCATGTATTTGTCCTTTCGTGACTCACTATAGACAGCAATGACACTGCAGAAAATTCAGCTTCAGTTATAACATATTAAACACCAAATGTGTGCTAGGCATTACGCTTAAAGCTTCCATCTGTAACTGCTTTCCTTGTGACATCCGTGGATTCTCCTCCTCCAACCCTCTCTTGCCTAAGTTCAGGCAATTCCACTAATGCCTGGACTACTTTAGCCTCTCGCATTCCTTTGAAAGTTCCCAATCTCTTCTAGCAGTTTGTAAAAGTACGATCCACTATCCACCTTCATCACAGTCACCAGGAGTGCTTGTTAAAATTACAATTCTTGGATCCAGATCAATTGACTCAGAATTACTGGTGGTGAAGCCCAGGAATCTGCATTTAAAAAATTTCCTGGGTAGTTGTTATACACTCTAAAAACAAAGAGCTACTGTCCCAGAGGAGAAAATCTAAATCCTTGTCATAGCATACAAGATCATTTATGGCAGTATAAACTTATCTATTAACTCTTCCTCCACATGTTATGCTCCAGCCCCCTATTTTCGGTCTCTAGAAATGTGCCCTCTCTTCCTGGAATGCTGTCCACATGAGTACTTCTTATTGTCTCTGAAACCTGTCTTCACCTCACTTGTGCACTCAACATTTTGGCATTCTTCTGTAATAATGCTAATCACCTTGCATTGCAACCAGTTGTTTACATATCTGTCTTCCCCCTAGATATGAGTAATTCAACAATAGAGACTGAGTTTTGGTCACCTTTTACATCCTTTCAGGCTGGCACAGTTCCTAGCATACAACCCCAGCATTCAGTAAAGATTTGGTAATCACTAGAACTCTCCCATAAGAAAGATATATGAAAAAGACAGTAATAAGGTATAGATAAGGTGAGTGATTCTGGGACTGTGTAGAAAACCCACCATAAAACCTTCACACTTTCCTTTGATCTTGTGAACCCGCAACACAGTCTAATGTAATTTGAGAAAACACATTCATATATATTTTTTTCTAAAATTGGTTTTGCATGCATTAGGTCTTTTAAATAAAACATATTTGTAAGGCATTTAAAATATAACGATTCTTTTCAAGAAGTCAGTAGGGGCCAAAACTCTCTTGGTTGTGCTTTGCATAAGCCAGGAGGTAGATGCCAGCAGAAGCTAAATTGCTTTTATTCTCAAGAACATTGCCAGGAGTGCTGAGCAGTCCATGGCAGGTTATTTCAGTTAGGATAACCTTGGCCTCCAGCTTGGAACTTATTTCCTTTTGATTGGAAATGGATAAGTTTAAATTACTTTGCAATTGATCTGCTTACTCCCCTTTTACTCTATGAGTGGGTCATTTTCCTATCTACTACCCCACTGTGAGATGAGTGACCTGATTAAATTGATAGGTGGGACTACCCTGGCCATTCCTGATCACTTTTTCTCTAGAAAGAGCAACTTGTCTTATTAATAAAGAGTGTGTCCTGTCCAAGTGAATTGCTGTCCTACAGATTGACTCCATCAAATCTTAAAGTTATAAATATATTTGAAAAATATATTCAGAAATATTTAGTGACTTCACATGGTTTACATATAAAGTTTGAATACTTTATCTTGGTATTAGAAATCTAATTTCAGGTGCCAAACTACATTTCTAGCCCTCTCTTCACCTCTTATCCTCTACCTAGCCTTCTGCTCTAGATCAAACCTAATAGCAAATCAGAATCACCTGAGCAACATTTTAAAATATAGATTCCTGGACCTCATTCCTAAACAAATGAGTCATTATCTTGGAGTAGAAAGGGGAGGTGGGAGTCTGAATTTTTTTCCAATTTATATAGAGTACCTATGCATTGGGATGAAAAAGATGACAACGCAATAGAAAAATGGGCAAAGAACACTAAAAAGGAAATATAAATGCTCCCTAAGCATGAAAATGTGTTCAATCATACTCACAACATGAGAAATGCAAATCAATACTACCCTATACTGATACCATTTTTCACATATTACACTGGTCAAAAGCATCCAAAAGTTTGATTACACACATTAATTGGAGAGGTCTGGGGAAATAGACATATTTAAACATTGTTGTTGGAACTGCAACATGATTCAACTTGTGTGGAGAGAAATCAGGAAGTATCCACTCAGACTACATTTTCTATTTAGTCTAACAATCCTGTTTCTTAGACTGTATTGGAAAGATGCACACACAATTTCACAATTTAATCGTAACCTTGTTCATATATAGCTCTATGTATGTGTGATATATGTGTAAGAACAAAATATTGAAAATAGTCCAAGTGTCCATGGACAAAATGTTTAAACTATGAGAGAATCTCACAATTTTTTGATAAGAAATGGGGAAGATTGCTATATACTCATAAAGAAAGATCTCCTAGAAATATTTTAAGTGAAAAAAGCAAGGTGTGGAACAATATATATAATATGCTATATTTTGTATAAAAAGAAAAATATATAGGTATTTATTTGTATTTGTCTAAAAAAGTACTAAATGAATAAATAAGGAATTAACAAAAATGATTACCTGTGGGTGCAGGGAGTAGCAGGGTAAAGGGGTCAGGAAGGATACAAGACTTGTCTGTGTACACCTTTTTATATAGCTTTGACTTTGAAAATTTAAAAAAAGTATTTCTTTGAAAAATTAAACAAAAACAAAAATACCTTGATCTAGTCATTATTCTATCAAAAGAAAAAAAACCTACTCATTTTTCAAGGTCCCTCCATTAAATCAACCTACTTTTCAAAATTCTCTGATATTTTCAATACCTTATCTGATGACTACAATTGGAAGAGCCAATCCCTCCACTACATTCTTCAAACACTTGTTTTGTACATTTGACATATCAGGCACTTTTCCCCCTTGGAATGTCAGGGATTGGTCTTGACACTGATATGCTTGATGTTGGAGGCAGCAAGGGCAGTGGACTAAGAAGACTGAGTAGGTTAGGAGACAGGCTCTCTAGTCTCTAGGGCACAGAATGATTGATAAGTAAAGACTTATCAAAGCAGAGGGGGACACACAGCCACTGTGTGGAAGTCTGAGCACTCATCCTGCCTCTCCTCCCAGCTCAGTGTTGCAGGGTCTAGAGAAGGCAGCTGCCAGGCACTGTCACCACTGATGAAAGGAGAAGTTGGGGGAAAAGGGTCTATTTTTCAGGACTGCCCCAGAGGCAAAGCAGCATTTTTGAATTGTTGTGGATCCTGATGACTGAGGTTTCTCTAGAAAGAACAATTCTCTTCAACAGGATCAGACAGAAAGGGTATTTTAGACTGATTTGTATACTATCATTCTCATTTTGTTTATTTATTGATTTATTTATCTATTTATTTTGAGACAGAGTGTCACTTTGTCACCCAGGTTAGAGTGTACTGGCATAATCTTGGCTCACTGCAACCTCTGCCTCCCAGGTTCAAGAAATTCTCCTGCCTCAACCCCCCAAATAGCTGGAATTACAGGCATCTGCCACCATGCCCAGCTAATTTTTGTATTTTTAGTAGAGATGGGATTTCACCATATTGGCCAGGCTGTTCCCAAACTCCTGGCCTCAAGTGATCAGCCTACGTCGGCCTCCCAAAGTATTGGGATTACAAGCATGAGCCACTGCACCTGGCGTACCATTCTCATTTTAAAAATTGACTTATGAAGTCATTAGATAGTAAGAAATCAACATTTTCTCTCTCCTTGTTGCCATATTCCACCTCCATGAACTTTGCTACCTCTCTTGATTACCCTCAAACTCTCCTTTCTTTGAAAGAAGTTATCAAAAAACTTCCCTTGCCCTATTAAATGTCCTGTGTATTCTAGCTCTTAAAATTTGGTGATAAAATGCCAATGTTAAAATATTTTTCATCTCTAAATATTGCTAAGAAAGAAACATGCTTGCTGTGCATTTCCCCCCACTTCTTTTTTCATTCTGCAATGAAGTGCCTTTAGCCAGCAACTTTTTCCTATCTGACAAAATTTGTCTGTAATCCATTCACTAAACATACACACCCAACATTCCTATCCTAGACTGACATTTTAGATATCACTAACAAGAAAGAATGCCTTTATGTGTTAGGCCATTTTAAACCCCACATGCAATATACTCTGTGCTGACAAAACCAGATAGGCATTGGAATTTGCTCAAGCATAAATAACTTTATTTACATGAAAGCCTAAAATCTTAAGGTAAGTTTCTTGGCGTTTGTAGGTTCATCAGTGATGTCCAAATACTTTTAGCAAGATGGACCAGCTGGTGAGTACGGCCCACACTGTAGTTGGATGTGTGCCCCTGCTTTCAAGGCCCAGTAAAAGTCTGGAATAGTAGGCAGAGCTTGATTTATTTTTAAGGAAAAGTAAGGCCATCTGATAGATTTCCAGCTGAAAGTCAGTCAAGGCTGGAGTTTTTTGGTTCACTGAGCCCATGGCTCATGCCAATTCTTTTTATCCCATGGCCGACTCCCAGTCTTGGCTCACAGTGCTACAGCCTTTCCCATAAGGGTAAACTGGGACATGACACAAGGAAAGAGAGGCCTTCCAGGAATTAGATGAGAAACAAAATAAAAGATCTCCCACCCCAAAATCAGGTCCCGGCTACCATTCAGTGAGGAAAATGCCCAAATCATAATACCTGATTTCCAATAAGGCAGAAAAAAAAAAAAAAAAGACCCACAGCCCCTCTACAGTTCATATTCAATCCAGATGTCTAGAAAACAGTAGGATTATGCTAAAAATTTGCCAAGGCAGTACCAGATGCTTATAATGGGACCATATAGAAGTTGAGGTGGAAGATGTAATGATTTTTCCAAGCTTCTCTGAAATAAGGAATGAGAACACTTTGTGAAAGTGTTGGTAGGTAACACATTTGACACTGGGAACACCTGGTTTGTGAGGGCTTTCATCACTAGCCAGCACCAGTCTTTGTGCTGGATTGAATACTTACTTCCTTTCTGGACATCTGGAGTGTAATTAAGCTCACTGCCCTCATGCTATTATTTGAAAAATCCAGGAAACAAATGGTTGAATCCTAGTTAGCCAATAAATACGTGGCTTTGTAGTATTAGTCTCTTGGGCTTCAGTTTTATCACCAAGAATAATAATGCAGCCTGATCTGGATGAGCTGTTGTGAGGGTTCTTGTGTCAACATTCTGTAATCAGCACAAAGCAATAACAAGTATTTTGCCATTATAGGTGCTCTAGTGACAAGTGTGACAGCTCATTGATTTCCAGATGACTACCAGATCAAATGGTGATGCAGAGGATGACCACATAATAGTGCCTATTACCTGACTGGCATTTCTGTATACTATCTTATTTAATCCTGTGAAATAGATATGATTATCTTCTAAACTAAGACTTAGGAGTAGCTTGCCCAAGGTCACACAACAAGTAAATTGTGACCCTGGATTTAAATCTGTCTGTCTCCAGAATTCATTTTGTGTCTTTTGTTTGTATGATCATTATTGTTGTTTTGGTTAAGAAAATTCCTTTTTTGCTTGTTCTCCCCCTAAATTATACACACAGTGCAGGATAAATGTCTAAAAATAAATCATCAATCCACAATAATTTATGATGGGACATTGGAAAAGATGCTATTTATTTTTCTTTTGTAGCCACCTCAGAGGAAGGTGGGCTATTTAAAGTAGAGAATGCATAACTGATACTTTACCCTGAATCAGCTCTAGAGATCTGCCGTACAATATTGTACCTATAGTTATCAATACTGTATTGTGCACTTAAAAATGTATTAAGAGGGAAGATTTCACGTTAAGTGTACTTACCACAATAAAAAAAATATGATTTAGAAGGCTAGACCATATTCAAATCAAGTTGACATTATCGTGACATAATATAACTAGTATGTCTTCAATTACACCAAGATCGTATGTCAGAAAAATCTGTGTGATAATGTTATGTGTATTGAAGTTAAATGTTGACTAACAAATAATTAGTTATATATTACTAAATATATTTTATATTCTTTCAAGTGCTTTTAGATGAAATATATTTTACGGAAACTATGCAGAATATGCAAACGATGGAATATAAAGGATTACTCTAAGGTTTTTTTTTTTTGTAGTTAAACCATGAACAACAACAAAACAGTAGAAAGTGCATATAAGAAAAAAAGCTTTTTAAAAAATAAAGCCCTAGAGATGCAATAATTATGAAATAAACTGGGTGGGTCATATTTTGGGCTTCTGACTATGAGGCTTAACTAATCACAGTAAATCTTGCAACGTTCCCAGGAGAACTGCAATGAGTTAGATCTCAGCTGTCCAACACTGGGCTGTACGCCTCATGAGTCTCACATGCACCATTCATATGTAAAATTGCGAAAACTCTAAATTCAGCCAAATTCTTCTACTCTCCAAAAGGACTTGGGTGCAGTTCAGTCCATATTTTCAGTGACTTTTCATTTATCTTAACAGCTTCTCTCAGTTCTGGTTAATTCCTTCCTCAGGCTTGCCAGAGTCAAGTACTTCCGAGAGTCTGGCAAGTCCCATCTGTGATGAGTCACCTGCAGCGGAGAGTCTGCAGGAAGATCAGACGGGGCTGCTCACAGGCGAGAAGACTCAGTACCCAGAAAAAGTGTCTGAATGCCTCTCTGATTCTCTCCCACACTGTGTTACTTTTCCCATTTTCTTCCACCTTACTGACTTTCAGACAATAGAGTGTTTGCGTATTTTTCTTTTTTACAGTGCTTAAAACTTAAACGAGAACCATCCTGGAATGGCTATTTAAATAAGCAGGCAAACTGACCTGTGTTATCACAACCAAAGAGCCCTCTGAACATCTTCATTTTCTTTTGGATCCCCCATGTACCTCTACCATAAAGTTTGTCCCACCTTAGATATGAGAAAAACAATAATATAATTAAAATGTTTAAGAGAACCTAGCTGAAAGTGGTCGATTTTCATGGTGCTGTTGTTGACAGGGCCGAAGATGGTGATCACAGAGATTTTCCTGGTAGCCATCTTGCAGAAACTTTCCAGATATTCATCACGTTGTTGCACATACATATTGTTCTCAGCCTTGGGAGCAGTGATCAGCTGGAGGTGGGTGAAGACAAACAAATACTCATTTATAGTGATAGTTTCACACTGAAGCAAAACCCAAAGAGATGATTTGGAAGAGAGGGCTGGTAGTGACTGCATCTAAGCTACAAATGTTCTGCTGAACAGTTAGCATAATTAGGACCAAAAAGGGCCATTTGAAAAGGCCTCTTTTTGTCTCCAAGACAGCTTGGAGTTTTCTACTCACTTCCATTATTTACCTCCATTACTAGCCTCCACATGTCTCACTTTTCTTATTTGTGAACTCTGCAAAGGAATATTTATTTTGCAAGGCTGCTGTGAACATTACATGAATACTTGGCATGCAATAATTGTTCAATAAATGTTATTTTCCTTCCCTAATTTTGATCTTCATTATTCTCACTGGCTGATTAGATATTGGTTAATACAGTGGTTACTACTATTATTCACATTTCACAGGGTTAAGAGAGTTTCATAGCCAGGCCCTGGGCACTACGAAACATTCTGTGATTTAGAACTCTTATTAGAAAACCTTGCAGAAAGGTTTTATGATGACTTTTAGGCCTACGTTTTGTCACATAGAATATATTCACTGTCACATTCAGCCTGCACAGAGTTGGTGGTGTTTGTCTTTTGATATTGCAGTTTTCCAACAGGATGTTTTTTACTCTAAGTTTAGCCCTCTCTTTGGTTCAGACCTGGTATTTTTCACCTAGCCCTCTGTCTTTCATCCTCATCCTATGACCCCTGTCTTCTGGGGGAAAAAAAAAAGAGGAAAGACAAAGCAATCAAAAGAAATACTTTAGTCACCAGAAATCTGAGAAAATGTAATTTATTTTGGATACAGTAAGGATAACCCTACTTTTAAGAGGTCCTCTTGAATCTTTTCTCTGAGAACGTCTCACTATTTTTATCTAACCTAATACAAAAGCTTCTCTACTCTCTTGATTAATTTAGCTGCCCTTCCCTGAGCCTTCTCCAATTTTACCAATTTTACTCAATCCTTGAGCTGAAGCTAGAACTCTGTTCCACATCCCACAAGCTAGTGGGCATAATGCTGCTTACCTTGGAGGTGGGAGGATGTGAAATTTTATTGTGATGATGACCAGGTCTTTGTTGAGATCCTTGATCCCAAATAGATCACCAGGCTGATGTCTGCAATGAACGCTGTCTATTTGCCCTTTGTTGCATCATCACTAAGCTCAGAAGCAAACCTCTATAAATCATTTTTCTGTAAACAACTTTTTGCATTTGACTAAATACAAATTTATCAGCCAATTTTCTTGCATTTGACTACATTCAAATGTATCAACCAACTTTCTATTTATCCGCCTAAACTTATAAACTATTTCCGATATTTATGACTATTACCTTGGCATTTTTCAGAGGGCAAATCACCAGGCTGTGTACCTCTTCCAAATATTTTATCAAAAATGGTTAATAAATCTGGTCTCAGCTTGATCCTGCTGTTTATTTTTCTCTGTCAGAGATGTCTGTATTGCTACCTGCAGGCTTTCCCTTCTAAGAATTCTCCCCGCATGACAAAATACTCTCCCTCAAGGAAATTAAACGTGTTCAATAGCCTTTGAATGGAACGTTAACAAAGGTTTTCTGGGATGAAGTTTTTGTTTTGTTTTGTTTTGTTTTTCAGATCATAATTAATTTTAAATAGACATGCTTTAGTTTATTTTTCATGTGTTTCTATGCCTGCTCATACGGACATTCTGGGTAGGAAATGCTTGTTTTAGGAACATAATTTTTTAAGGGGAAAAACAAAATTTCTCCAAATTTATTCATTGATTCACATTAGCCTTAAAACAAGATTAAAGGCAGCTATAAAAAGATGTGGTGATGGTATTTTTAGTTGCTTGGTTTGTTTTTAATTAGCTTTATGGCATCTGAAAATATTTCTTCAGATCTTGATGGGAGCGCAGATACCAAAGTTTTATTTTAAGTTGGTATATTTTAGGTCTTTTTTTCTGACTGTTTTGTGCTCAAAACCACACTATTCTGAAATAAATAAAATGAATGTTTAAGTAAAAACACAAAACAGTAAAAACAAAGGTAAGAGAAAGGGACTTACTGTTCATGGTTTTGGACTCCCTATTCTAAATTAAGGATAAGCCATATTTAGAATATATTTAGAGGAGTTTCTAGGGCAAAGCTGCTTAGATGTTAGATGACAGAAAATTATCTGTTTCTGTAACTTCAAATTCATACATAGATTCCATTTCATTCATACCATACTTTGCCATAGACCCTTACAATCTGTGGACAGATCACGGTATGACAGGATTTTAAGAGTCCTCAACCCTCCTCTAGTCTTCTCCCCCTTGTGTATATTAAGGATATCAGACAGTATGTAATCACACAGAACCTTATCCTCCCCTGTGTGGTAGGTTCTCCCACATAGCTCTATACACAGTGGCATGAGGCCATGGATACCCAGTGGGAATCTCATTTAAATAAATAAGTGCCTCTGATGTTTATTTTCACTGCAGACCCTTTGCCCAAGAATGCCTTTAACCACCAGTGGGGTGACATTCGTTTTGCAGGACTCATTCTCTAACTTCCGGCCCTCCACGTTCTGGCCCCGGGCTCTCTTTTGCTAATGTCCTCCTATACCTCCCTTACCTGACCTCTTTACCCCCTAGAGCCAGACCCAGTCTAAATTAGGAAATGAAAGGAATCTTGGGCAGAGAGGCATAGAGAAAGAATAATTGCAGTCAAAGTCAGGGGGCTGTCATTTCGGTCCTAGTTCAGCTCCTGGCTAGCTTGTAGCCTAAATAAATCCACTTAATCTTCTGAAGCTCAGCATTGTCATTGTTATAATGAATCAACTTTCCTGCCAACCTCATCACGTTGTGAGATCTGAGCAAAAGTAAATATATCTGTATATCTTTATAAGATCATAACATGAACTTATTACAGATTGATTTATTCTTAATAAATAAATATGTGTCCCCCAAGCACATACAGGTATGTCACCTCTGAATAATTCACCCACAATCCTTCCTCTGTCTTTGCCCAAGTCACTCCTTCTACCTCAGAAACCTGCCCCCGCCCTTCTCTAAATCTCATTCTTTCTTTCAATGCATTATCCTCCTTAAAGTCTTTTCTAGCATGCAGGGATCACTTCCTCCTTTTAATTACTGTTCTTTTTGTCTGCCTCGCCCACTTGGAATTTAAGCATTTCCTTCATTTACTATATAACTGTCACATCTCCCCAGGCAGAATGTAAGTTCCTCAGACTCTATTACTGTCCTGCAGATGGTGGGGGCATAAATGCTGGCCAACACTCCTCCGGTTATATAGATCACCCTAGTCAGAGGAGAGGAGAGGGACTCAGGAATAAAGGGGTCCCCTGGTTGTTGTGAATGTCTAGATGCAGGCTACGACTTTACCAGTTGGTGAAAACACTCTCCCTTACATTTAATCTGCTCCTCAAGTTTGCAACAGAGAAAATAGAGAAGACTGACCATCTGAACCCATTTCAGGGACTCTTTCCCTATGTTTTGACATCTCCATCCCATTCACTTTCTAGTTGGGCTGTATTTCAGACAGTGTTTAAAATGAGAACCATTTCCAGTCCCCTCTTCCTAAAAAGAGCAGCTTAAAGCTCCTCAGTAAACACTATTTTCTGTCACTTGGCCTCTTTCCAGTTTGATGGCAATAAATCAGGGCATGTATCATGAATTTAGACCTGTGTTGTATTTCTTTTTCATGGCTTCTGTTCCAACTGGTGTGTTGGCTCAATGAGCCTCAGAGGATAAGGAAGCCTGTTTGCATAAGTAAAGAGAGCAAAGAGCAATGGAAAAAAGCTAGAGGGAAGACACTTTAAGTCTCAGATTATTCAAAATACTGCGTTAGGCTCAAAATGCTAGATTTTTTTTTACAGGATTCTGAAAAATAACTTTCAAGCTAATAGTCTGCCTTAGTACAGCAGGAAACCTTAAATTCTTTCCTAAAATTAAACCAAATAAGTAGATGGTTGTCCTAATACACAGATGTCTGAAGTAAAGTTGGAAATATGAACCCACTTGAATTACAGGAGATTCAGTCACCAAAGAATTCTTAAATTTGCACTTGAATTCATTGAATTCAGCATTTGAGGTCCCTTGTTAATTGACAAGTGACTAGATCTCAGAGCGCAGAATGATGGCTTCTCAGCTATACTCCCCATAGTACAATGTTTTGGTGATAAGCTTACCTATAGTCTCACTATCGTCAACCTCAAACTGACACCAAGCAGACTGAAGAATTAGGTTAACTGGAATCCAATCTATTGTTTTTGACTGACTGTTTGGAAAGCCAGAGAATTGAGTGCAGAGGACTAGCTGCGTATTAAAGGCAGAAACTCCACATTTGTGCTTAGCAATCATTTACCACTTATCTGGGTGACTCAAGGTTGACAATGAATTTTTAAATGTATTTGTATTCATATGTATTAATTTTTTAAATTCATGTTTATTAACTGGCAAGATCATTCCTCAGTTTCCCCTTCACTTTATGGCATATCCCACAGGAAGTTCATACCCAAAAGAATTCAGAAAGGGAGATTGGCCTGAATTTGAGTTTTCAACTCAAACAGATCTGAATTCTAATTCCGACTTCACCACATATTAGCTATATATCTTGGGTAACTTCAGGTTCTGTTTTCTCATGTGTAGAAAGGGGTAAATAAATCATTCCTTGAGGGATTGTTTTGAGAATTAAACCACACAGTCTTGGCAAAGTACCTTGCAGGATGTGCCCTTCTTCGTCAACAGGTTTAGAGGCAGGAGGTTTGAAAGAGTGAACACTAATCTAAAAATAGGACACCTGGCTCCACCTGCAGCTCCTGTGAAGGCCTATAGGAAGCCATCAGCCTGTAACCCACATCATTGCTGTTAGTGTTTCTGTAATTGTTAAGTAGCAGTTATGTGATACGTCCACATCTAAAGAATGCTATAAATAAAGACAAAGCACTAAGGGTTTACAATAAATGGCAGTTAAGTACCAGGTTACTGAAAAGCTGAGAAGATGAGCTGAAAGTCCTGCACAATTTCTTGGAATGTAAACCTGCTTTCAGTCTGAGTATACTGGGTTAAGTTAAGGCCAGTTGGAGGTAGTTGTTCTCAGCCATACTTAAACAGCTTGAGAGCACTAAGCCTTAATGAATAGTAATTGAATCACTGAGCTTCCTGAGTAACATTAGCCAAGTTTGATGGGAAAAGTGAGTGGAAAAGGCTAAACAGCACCAACAATGTTTTTCACCCATTGGTCTCCTCTCTGGCGAAAAATTCTTTTCTCTCCATCTTTTGCTTTGGTATCATGTCTATTTCATTTGGTCTTTTCTAATACATTCTTACTTTAGATATCATTAGCTCTGCAGAAGACACATTTCTGATATGATCATCAGTTGGGCGCACATAGGATCAAAAGTCTGAAAAGCCTTCTGTTAGTATTTTGTTTCTAATAACAAACCTGGTTCTCTCACTAGGCCAAAGAACCAACACTGCCAGGAGCAATTCCAGCTGGTTTCTGTTTTGCCTCACATGACATCAGCAGAAGCTGTCATTTGAGTTTCATTTGCTAGAAATTTATAAGCAGGGATACTGTTAAAAGCAGGATTGGCCCAGCTGGGCTTTCACATCTCCCACTAAGGGAGTGGGGAGAAGGAGGGAGAAATGAAAAGTATGACTAATATCAGGGATACACTGTGAAAACCCCCTTTTTTGACTCACAAACTAGCGGCAATGGGAAATATTTGCCAGAAGGGTGCACAATTACAATCCTGACATTTTACCCATGATTTTGTTTTTAAAACCTGACCATGAGGAACATTTTGCCTGCCCTGTTGGCTAAATGAACAGAGTTGGGTGATGTACTTTAGTGGGCTGGACAAAGTTGTAGGTACTCAGGAGGAGAGCACTGGAGCAAACCACTAATTCTTTCCCATGCCCCAGAGAGAGCAGTTTGCCCCCACAGGCTCCCTAACAGACATTCAAGTATCAGGTAGAGTTTTACTCTGAAATCTGATTTCTTTTTTGTTCTAATGGGAACATTCCCATTTAAATATATGTACTCTGAGAATATCCAAGCGACCTGATAACCCAAGTTTATATAGACACATTAAGGCTCTGGTTAGATATTCCACCAATATACAGAAAATATATAACAAAACACACACAGACATACACACAAATCCTTAGAATCAACCAGAGCTAGGTTTTACTCTAATACACAGACCTACTATCAATGTAAACAGCTAAGAAAATTTGGGATATGTCCCACTCATGATAAACATCACAAAGAACTTTGCTCTGAGTAATATTTCAAATGCACATTTAAACTTTCTGAAACAACACACGATAAATGGGCACCAGAGTTCCTCTGCCCAGATTATTAACCGAAATTTAGGCTAGCTTGGAAAACCTAAAAGATCCTCTAAAAAATGCCTTGAGAAAAGAGTGTCTGTCTCTTTTGGTGGGGGAAATGCAGGGTGTGCAGTTACCTTGTGCCTTCAAGAGGATGGGTGCTGCCCTCAATGGCATGAGTTGATTCTCTCACCCAGGCATCTGAGAAAATCATTCCTGACTCACATTACCCAACATCAATTTATTGATCTTTTACTCAGAATTAATGGTAACAATATCCTTTTCCTCCTTGACAGCCTGGAGTAAAAAGCTAGTCTTAAGATCCAGGGGTGGAAATTTTGGAGGGGCAGTAAAAGAGGGAAAGAGAAGACAAGAAGAGGAGAAGGAGCCATTTGCACATCACTGATAAAAACTGCCCTTATATTTGGCTCACTCCTGCCCGAAGCCCTCATTTGGTGGTGGCAAGTGATGGCCAAAACAGAGAGTTGCTGAGATGAATCTGTGCCTTACTCAACACGAGTGGCACAAAGAACTGCAGACCAAGGGCAAGTAGGGACAGCTTGTCTCCTTTTTCACACACTGATGCACAGGCACATGCACATACACATTTTACAGAGCCCCCGGAGAAACTGACATCTAGATTTTAAATTCAGGTGTATCTCTAGAGTACCGGAAATTGAAGCAATTAACCCAGTTCCCCACATTCCACTCTTTGGCTCTTCCTAGTAGCTGGATAGAAATGGGAGAGGTAGGCTTTAAGGGGAGAAGATTTCTGCTAGCTCATTTTAAAAGGATCCGTGAGGGTCATACCAACAAGGACTCTTCTCTACTCTCAGTCATACCCACTCCCCACCCAGGCTGTCTTACTTTCCTCTTGGAGCACTCCAATGTTGATATAGAGCTAATTAGTGAAAGAGGGGACCTCTGCTATTGTCCCATAGACATGATTCTAGTTCCTAAGTCAGACAGAGAGAAACCCTTTTACTAAGATGTAACTGAAGTCAATGCACTCCCTTTTAGGAATTTCATCTTTCTTTTCATCCTTTGGACTTGGTAAAAGAGAGCTTTGTCCAGAAATATCCCTTGGAAGAGAGTGGTAGAAATGGGGGAAGGGTCCCTACAGGTCTAGAGGAAGCTGACTACAGGTGCTCTCCTGGGCTCATGTGTAGGGTCCCCAGCCACTGACTTTGTACCACAGGGCCATGAGTTGTGTGAGCAGAACTTCATAGGTCACTAAACCAGAAGGAGCTACTGGCCTGCTGCCCTCTTTTGCCAGACTTCTGAGCTTCTTGACACAGTACAGGTTCAGTCACAGTCTGGCATCTAGCAATATGATTTTTACAAAACTAACAAGACAGACGTTAACATGCCCTGCCTCAGCCCATAGAAGAATGCCAAGGAGAAGGCTACTTACAAGGAGTCTTCGTTTGCCTTCAAAGGACCCCAGCAGGTCGGCCACTGACTTCTTGGGACTCTGCGTGAAGTGTTTGTTGGTGGGTTTCTGATAGCCATCCTGTTCTGTTTTACCTCCTTTTTTCTTCTTGCTCTTCTCTTTCTCTTGCTTGCTCTTTTTCTCAGACTTCTTCATTTGCTTTTCACTCTTAAGTAACTTGTCTGCGTTCTCATTCTTCATCTTTTTTTTCTTCTCCTTCTCTGGTTTCTCAAGCTTTTCATGCTTTTTAGACTCCTTTGCTTTTTTAAGGGGAACATTCCCCACCTGCAGCTCGTCCTCCAGCTGAGAGGCAGTAGGCCGGCTGAGGTCATACTTCTCCTCATACTCATTACTAAGAATTTTGTCCTGGGCCTTCTTTTTGGGAGGTTTCTCCTTTGCTGGCTTGGGAGGACCTGGCACCACATTTGGGTCTCGGTGGCCATGTTCCCGCCTGTCCATGCGGTTGTCCCGGAAACGGCCTGGGCCAGCAGCCCTTGTGCTGGGTTCTGAGATGGTGGTGGGAGGGGCATTTGTGAAGCTCTCCAAGCTGGTGGCCTTGCTGGGCCTCCTGGTTGTCTGTGGCCTCTCCCTGTGCTGATCCTTCCGGGATGGAGGGTAAAGATTCTCTGAAACTGAGGGTCTCCTGGCAGTGATCACCTCAGTGGTTGTAGGGGGCCTGTGGGAGGGTGAGGGGGTCCAGGGCCTCTGCGTGGTGGGAAAGGCAGTGGTGGTCATAGGTCTTGCAGCAACTGTTACCGCCCGGGACGTGGACCGAGTCACTGTTGTGGCTGGGGCAGGAGGAAGGGTGGTGGCTCTGGGGGTTGAGGGAGGTTGGGGCAAAGCTGGTGCAGTGGCGGCCAGTTTTCTCAGGACCTTCACCCGACTCTCTCTGGTTGGTGGGACTTGTGCTCTCCTTGGGTCCTCTTTCTTCTTCTCGCTGCCCAGGCTTGGCCTTCCTGCTCCCCCTCCACCGTCATTCCCCTCCGCCACCACCTGGCCCTCTACACCAGAGGCCTTACATTTCTGGACAAAGCCCTTCTGCCTGATCTTCTCGATCCTACGGATGGGGCCTTGGTCGATGACCTCGTACATGGCTTCCAGCCTAACGGGATATGGATAGCGCTCCTCCACCTGCAGCGTCTTCTTCAGCAGCACCATGCCAAACTTGCCCTTCTCCAGCTTCAGGAAGCTCATCAGCTTAGGGATGAGGCTAGGGTCCAGGGGCTGCTCCAGGATCTGGCCCTCGCTGGTGATCCTTCTCACCTTGCCTCCTTCCTCACCTGCCTGGTGGAAGAGCACAATCTGTTGGATGTGCCTCTCCGCCAGCTCACAGTACACATCGTCCTTCAGCAGGCTCATCATGAGGCGGTAGTAGCCTTCCGAGGCATGAGGGGCTGAGATGACCCATACTCTGTTCTTCCCTGCAAAGCTGGCAAGGATGTTGGGAGAGCTGGACCCCGAAGGGAAACGCAACATTCTTGACCGAGCTGAGGACCCCTCATCTCTGATCATCTCACGCGGAGAGCCCCTGGCTGCTGGTCTTTGCTCAGGTCTCACGGCGGCCCCATTGATGTCCGAGCGGGCTGGCGGCTCTGTTGGGCGAGCTAGTCTCAACACGGGCACACTCCTCCTTCTCTGGAGAGGCTGAAGGTTTGGTTCCTCCAGAGTGGATCTCTCAATTCCGCGAGACCTCCCAGTGTGCCTCAGAAACCGAGCTGGCCTACTGCTGTCCGGAGAAACCAAAGGCACTTTCCGTCCTCCGTGGCTGCCTCTAATAGTGGCATGGGGGTGGGGTTCTGATCCACACACTAGCCACATGGCCAACAGCATAGTGAAACGGGGTCCCATTCTCCATGTCATTGTGTAATCCACTTTGCGATGCACGGAGGTCATAAAACAAAGGGGAGGGGGAAAAAAGAAAGAAAATTATTTATCTGGAAACAGAGCTGGTCATTTTCTTTTTCTGTATCTCAGCCAAGGGGAGGGGAAAAGGTTGGTTAGAGAGAAGGAGGGAGGTCAGGAGATGGAAAATGGGATGAGATCCTGTTACTTTCAATCCCCTATAATTTGTTAGTGTTTAACAGAGACAGTTACATTAAGCAGGAAATCCAATTCAGTTTCCCAGTCAGCATGCTTGTACTGTTTCAACTAATGCTCTGGATGCTCCAAAGAAAATGCAAACTAGCATATTAATTATGACAACATTCACATTTCATTCCTTCAAAATAAGCAATAAAGAAACAAATAAACAGATCAAAGACAGAAAAGATTACACACTTACATGGTGGCTCATAGAGATGGAATGCAGAGGGTTGCAAAAGAAATCAGAAGTTTGGTTCCCAGGACAGTTTCCTAGATGAACTACTTTTCCTCCCAGCCCTCTCTCTCTTTACCGAGGGTGAGCAATACAAAAGGGGTGTGCTGCAGCTCCAGCTTTCAGAGTACCGCCACAGATCCACAGCCTGTCCTGATCTGAGAGCTGAGCCGATGCCTTTTCTTTCTGGCTGTGTCTTTTTACCTTCTGGACAAGTAGGATGAGGTGAAAGGAGCTGTCCTTCTAAGTCTTTGTATCTCCATTTGTCTGCAGTTTCTCCTCGGTCTCGTGTGTCTGTGTGTGCCAGTCCCTTGTGCTGACACAGGACGTCCCTTAAAGTCCAGTCCTGGCGATTTCTGAATCTCACTCTTTCCCTCTTTAAAGTTCCAGGATCCTTCTTATCTCCCTTTCCCCCATAGTCTGGCTTAGTCTCTTTGTTTCCGGGCGTAAAAGCACTGGGATTAATATGTTTTCCAGGCTGAGGGAAAACACAGGAATGTGATGTCGAAAAGGGACTTTTTTTTTCTTTCACTGTGCTTCTCTCCTCCCTTTATTTCTCCCTACCTTTTTCCTCCTCTTTTTCTTCTTCTTTTTCTTCTTTCTCTTGCCTGGATTCAGTCCCAGAAATGTTAGGACTACCTCAGTTTTGCTCCAAACCAAACTCAAACAACAGCAGCCACTGGAAATCAAGGAAACTTCACTAAGAATTTAACAGATCAGCAAAACACCGCCTCCTTCCCATTTTAGCACGTTCAGAGTGGACTCAGTGAGGAGTGAGAAGGCTGTTCTTTGGGGTGGGGTAAAGTTTTTAAACTCCACACATCATCATAAATCACTTTAGAAGAGGATGACTGGTGCCTTAACCCCTTCCAAACCAAGTCATCGGGGTAACTTCTCTTCCAGTCTGTTCTTACACTGTACTTTGGAAGGAGAAAATTCTCAGATTTCTGCATCAGGCTACATTCTTTTCTTAGAGACAGATACTCATTTGGGTCAGGGTGCTTGGCTGTGCTGACACAGACAGTATATATGTATTTATAGTCCCATGTGTATATTCTTATATCTTTCTCCCTGCTTTGTGCTTTTAGTTTGAGGTTGGAAAAGCCCATGGAAAACATGACTAGGTTGTTTTTATTTTATGCTAATTGGGGATCATATTACTGTGTTCTTGGTCCTAGTTTCTCCTCGGCATGGAAGGAAGCTGGTAAAAGGTTAGAAATGCAGGCAATGGCTGCAAGTCGAGATTGCAGTTGACTGTTACATCAGGGAACAGGCATTATGATCTCTAGCTTCAAAGCTCTGGCTGCAGATGGTAGACTAAGGGCTCCCTTGGAGGTCCCGAGTGTGTGTGTTTGTGTGTGTGTGTGTAGTGCAATATTTTCCTCTGCAGAGACTTTAGATGTCTGAAGGGCTTTAGGCAATCCATAGAAGTAGACTTATCAGGTTCTGAAAGAGAGAGTGAGGCAGCTTTGGGATTCCACCTCCTGAGTCTGCCATAAGGATTCAATGGAGAAGGAAGGGGTCTCAGGTTACGTGGATATTTCTTCCGGCCATGCTGGGCGAGCTGACTCTCCATGTCACTATTAACTGCCACCAACAGTGACAAGCCAGGGTTCTCAGAAACCTCCTTGCCAGCTCAGTCATGCTAATAGCGTCCCTCACTGGATCAAACTTCATCCCTAGTTGTTATGCCTTGATCAGCCCCATCTTGCCCTGGTCACATTTGACTTTTTTCACATAAGCTACGAGCATGGAACTGAGAAAGTCCTGTATAGAGGTTAACTATAGAGTTGCCCGGCCACACCTTGAAGTCCCAGGGGTACCAAGAAGGATGGCCAGCCCTGCTGTGGCATTCTCTCAGACACTTGTAAGGATAATAACAAAAGTGGGCTTCAGGCAGAGACCCTCTGTCCACTGGAGTCATAGATTGCAGCCTTCGTGGTATTCACCTGTTGGGTTGATCAACCTAGCCTTGTGCTAAGTTGGAGGGTCCTAGATGTTACTTCCTTTCTCATAATTTTCTAAGGCGTCCTACACTATCCTTACTGAGCTTTCTCCCTTCTGGCTTTTCATTTCCTCTTCTCTTCTCTCTGCTTATAACAACTACCATTTATTGAGCATTTACATGTGAAGCTTTGGGCTTAGTATTTTTGTGAATTCTTTTATTTAACCCTCACAGTATCCTTAGAAAGTAAACAGAATGATCCTCATTTTATAGATGAGCAAACTGAGGCTTGGTGAGTTTAAATAAATTGCCTATTGTCCCACAAAAGGTAAGCAGTAGCTCTGAAATTTGAACCCAGGTTTAGAACAGCCTACAAAGCGTGATGCTATCCTGCCTCTCTCTTTAATTTTCTACTCATACCTTCAGTTTTTTCCCTTCCTTCAATTCCTTTTTGCATTTCCCACATTCGTAGAAGAGTTTCATTTATTTGTTCAACCAGAGTACTTACACTTTTAGAGTCCTACTGTCTGGGATAATTGTGTAACTGTACTTTTTGCTTTTCTCAATAGGTCCTTAAAGCCCTTTATTATTTTTCTTGAATAAGTCATGACTTACACAAACCTCTCCATGATGTGCACAACATTTGTCACCTGTGCGCTGGTAAAGCTGAAATACAGCCACTTTAGCAACCCCGAATTGACCATGAGGAGCCACCCCAACCCTGGGTTGTGCCTGTCTTCCTAGGACCTCAGGCTTTCTTCCCTCTGTGAGCTTCAGTCACCAGATGGCGCACTAAACACACACACCAGAGAGGACCTAACACTCCACCGCCGCCGTTAGTCCCCACCCCACACCCAACTCCTTCCCCCAGTCTCTTCTCACACACAGATACATACACACACACTGGCAAAGTGGGGCTTCTCATGCTTGTTTTCATCTCAATGCCTAAACGCTTACCTGGGGCTTCAGAAAATCCTCCTGAAGAAGTATTGGAGGCACGTACCTAATAAGAGCAATGATAAATTCTCATTCATTCATTTCCGGGGAGATCTATAATGATTAATGGCTTGTAATAATTCTCAATTTCAAGTCCGTTATTTAAGAGCTCCATATTTTGTAAGTCCTCCATTTAGATCTTTCTATTTTTCTGCAACTGAAGAAACAATTAACCAATTAGTGCTAGGGGTTGGGGGAGGGTGGTGGGGGTTGGTGATATCTGAAAGGAAGACATTGATGTTGAGTCAGAAAAAGGTGAAAGGAAGAAAATGTTAAAGTAGACTTTAGAAATGCTAATTTGGGAATTAATTGATAGGAAACTACCTGACATTTGTTTTGTAGTAATTTGTGGGGAGGAAAGGAAAGAATGTACAAACTAGAACTGCTTTAGAGAAACTAGGGTGGGGATAGTTATTTGATGAAAGCTGGAGTGAATGTAAGAAGGCATCCAAAAAGGAGTGTGCTAACTGGTCAGACCCACACTAATCCAAGACTTCAGCAACCTGGGACCAAGGCTCAGGGTAACACGCTGTGACAGGCACGCTAGAGAAACCAGGGTTTCTGTCACATGCCGTTGGTTCTCTTGCACAAAGTAACACTCAGAGATGTTACTGAACTGAATTCTATTGCTAAAATAAAAAAGCATTTGCTTAAGAAGAAACAAGAATAAAAAGAAAAGGAGGGGATAACAGCATGCTGTTCAGTGTGGTTTTGGAGGGAAACCACCTCTCCTGCTCTGTGATCATCAGTATCCCCAGCAAGAAAATTAGCTGAGCCATTTTATCACACCTTTGTGGCAGAAGCACAGACAATACTCACACTGAGGAGGCTATGTGTTTTTCCTTCCCATTTGCAGAACTCAATCAAATGTTCAGTCTTAGGCTGCATTTGTGTCCTTCAGAATGAAAAAAGAATTCTTCTCTTTCTCAGTATTTTCAGTGTAGGACAGACTAAATAAATAAGTTGCCAGGTCAGAGAGAAAGCCAAAGATGACTATTAATGCAGGGTGCTGCTGCAGCCCAGGTGATACCAGTGAGCTGGGGGTTTCCCAGGTGCCAGTGGGACCTTGACCCCAGCCAGTGTCCAGGCTCTTGACACTGTCAAAAGAATGAATTCAAGGATATTCTAATCTGCCACGTCAAGAGTCTCCTCAATTGTGTTGACCATGCCTTTTATGGGAGCTGCCAGGGACCTCAAGCCCCTTCAGTCTCAGTTATGGCCATTACGGCACTGGGTGGCCTCCTCTCCCTTCAGAGCTGAGAGCAATTCCTTTTCCAATGGCCCTCCTGCTTGCAGTGAGGACAGGGTCTGGGTGGGCTCCCTTGGCTGGGACAGTCCTTTCTCCAGTGTCCTGACTTCTCACACTTGGAGCAGCAACCGTTGCCTGCAGGTTTGCTGTTGAGCCTGTTTGGTCTGCGGTGAAGCGTCTTCCTGGGTGACCCTGAGGTTGCAGGGCACTGTTTACAGTGACTGCTAATCATTTGGGCTGGCTGTCTATCCCATTTTTTGCCATTCTGGGTCATTTCAGCCATTTTAGCTCTGTCCCTATTATTGAATACCCCAAAAGCCACACCAAACATTTCATTAATAGGTGTGTAGAGTTCCAAAGCCAATTTCTGTAATGTTCTTCTTATGTCAGGTGCTGACTGGCTAATAAAGTGTGTCTGTAGAAAAATTTGGCCAGCGTCAGTACTGAGATCAATGTTAGTATATGTTCTTAGGTCCTCCACAAAGGTGCCCCTGAAACAAAGCTGAGTTTTCATCCTTTTCTTATTTATCTTATTTTATTACAGTTCGCGGGCTTAGTGGTATATTGTTTCATTCCCTCCACCAAACAAGTCACCATATGATTTTTCTTAGATCAACCTGGTCCTGTTGATAGTTCCAGTAAGGGTCATTGCTAGTCACGGATGTGGCCCCCACAGTGTATCGTTCAGGATCCCCAGCAGACAAGCTGTAAGCATAAGCCTGGGTGCTTTTTCTTTACTCTTTTTTTTTGAGACAGAGCCTCGCTCTGTCCCCCAGGCTGGAGTGCAGTGGTATGATCTCGGCTCACTGCAACCTCTGCTCCCGGGTTCACACCATTCTCCTGCCTCAGCCTCCCGAGTAGCTGGGACTACAGGCGCCCGCCACCACACCCAGCTAATTTTTTTTTGTATTTTTAGTAGAGACGGGGTTTCACCATGTTAGCCAGGATGGTCTCGATCTACTGACCTCGTGATCTGCCCACCTCCACCTCCCAAAGTGCTGGGATTACAGGCATGAGCCACCACGCCTGGCCCTCTTGATCCCTGTTTTTTCAGGATCTTATTAGGCCATAGCTTCCGAAGCTATTTCAAGCTTCATTTTGCTAGTCATGTGAAACTGCTGCTTGGAATTTTCTAATCTCCTCCAACCACCCTGTATTATTCCTTTCTCACAGGGATGTTCTGAGAAAGCGTAACCCCCAAAAGAAACACTTAGTATTGTCCATGAAATGTCAACAAAGTCACATGTTTAATCCAAAATTGAAGGAAACTGTGTACTTTAAAAATAAAAGTTACCTAATGGGATAATGGTCAAAGCTCTTGAGAACAGTTGTTAATATTCTTTCTTTATGCATTTATTTTTAATTACTTAGAGTTTGCTGGGGAAACCTTGTAGGCACCTTTTTGTCCCTGTAGCAGGTTGCTTAATTAAGAAAATGTCCATCTCCTAGCTAGTACAAATTAAAGATCTTGCCCTAGCAGAAATTAAGGAGCTGTGTGAATGGCCCAAAGATTCATTTTAAATCTCCAGAGTGAATGATTTAAAGTTCAATTATTTATTGGTTGTTATTTTATGTAAAAGATGTGAACTTGTGGGCATATGAATTTGCTGCTTGGGGGACTAGTGCTTGGGTCTGGAAGGGGTGGATTTAAAGTCTTTATCATTGGTTATTTAATGCATACAAAAGATTTACATCGATTGGATCTGAAGGAGAACATTCCAATTGTACCTTTCTCCGTGCCCTTAGGTATGGCCAAGAAGATAAAGATGATATAATTTTTTTCTCCTTTTTTTCAATCCTTCTCTCAAATGTTTGGCAAAAATGCAGACTGAGCACCGGGAATGACACAGAACCAAGCAGACTCTCCCCTCTAGAAGTTCACAGCCCATTGGAGAAGATAAATATTATACTCTCCACAGCAGTGCTGCCAACTTTCTCTGCATGTAAAAGTTCAGTGCTGACTATGGCTGCAGCCAGTATGCACAGAGTTCATTTCTGTTGGAGAATTTGCCTCTTCAATTCCTTGAGCAGGCTTTCCACAGAAGGAGGCTTGCCATGGCAGCAACTGTGTGTCACCTATAAGATCTTGCTTGGTATGTCCTTTTGGCTGTGGAGTCCCCTAGAGTCCCAGATACTCTTGTCTGGCAGACAAGTGTTGTATCTCATTTTCCCAGTCCCAATTTCGGCCCGGCACCTGTCCTGCTAGGATTGCCCTATCCTTTAGTGGTCGGTTCACTGTACTGACCTTGCATGGCAGGTCTTGACCACATCACTCAGAATATCACCTTACATCAGAAAGTGTGAACCAACAGGATGGCAGCTCATTCATTCGACAAATATTTACTCAATGCAAGGCACTATTCTACTCACTAGGGATACATAAATGAACATTCCCTGACTCCCGGGAGCTTACATTACAACGGTGGGAAACAGACAATAAAAATAAAAACAAAATACCTAAGCCTACATACGTACTTGAAAGAGTTTTTTTTGTTGTTTTTTTGTTTTTTGTTTTTTAAAGGGAGGGAGTAAATGTTGATGAAGGGGAAGAGGCCATTTTAGATACCCTTATCCAAAGAAAAGGATTTTAAGTGAGAATGGAAAGCAAGTCACTCAAGTATTGGGGGAGGGGAAGAACATTCAGAGTAGAGGGAATGGTGAGTGCACAGGCACTGACACCCGGGCTATTTCACAAGCTTGTTCCAGAAGAGCAATGTTGGCCGATTTTAAGCAAGGATGTGGCAAAGCTTGATATGTGACTTAACAGGAATGCTAGGAATGCTGCCTGGAGAATAGAGTGTGGCTGCAAGAATGACAACAGTTAACCAACTGGTGAGGAAGATAATGTAGTGGTACAAGTGAAAGGTGCAGTCTATTGAACCAGCGTGCTAGAAGCACGGTAAGTGCAGAAAAGTCACTCGATGTGGTATATATTTTGAAAACAGAGCTGACAGAAGCAGTTTGGGGCAGAAAGAATCAAATGTTTTGTTTGAAATTCCCATCAGACACTCTGATACAGATGTCAAGCAAGCAGTTAGATACATGAGTCTGGACTTCGAGGAGGACTGAGGCTGGAATTATAAATTCGAGAGGCTATTTAAAGCAAGCTTGCCCAACCCGTGGCCCATGGGCTGCATGCAGCCCAGGGTGGCTTTCAATGTAGCCCAACACAATTTGTAAACTTTCTTAAAACATAGAGATTTTTTTTTACTTTTTTTTTTTTTTTTTTAGCTTATCAGCTATCGTTAGTGTATTTTATATGTAGCCCAAGACAATTCCTCTTCTTCCAGTGTGGCCCAGAGAAGCCAAAAGATTGGACACCCCTGATTTAAAGCCTAAGGCTAGAAGAAATTACTTAGGGACTGGTAGAGGAAGAAAAAGAGTAAAGGACATGAAAGAGGAACAGCTAGTGTGATGGGGGAAAGGCAGGAGCACGCAGTGTTTTCAGTAGCCGGCAGCTGGGACCATGTTACTTCTTTGGCCGTTTCTCCACAGGTCCTTGCTACATGTGTCCAGATTCAGCTTATTCATCAGTGTCCAGGCCCTGCATCACCTCCTCCACAGGGTTTCCCGATGCTCCAACCCAGATGGCTCTCTCTTCTCTGAGAAGCAATTCTGTAGAGCATCACTCCTCTGATCTTTTTGTACTTCACGCATAAGTTCGTGTTCTCCTAAGCAGATCTTTAGCTTCTAAGAACATGGATTAGTGTTACATTATTTTGCATCCTTCTTATCATTCTGGTATATAGTAAAGGTGCAAAAATTTTAAGTGCATGTCAATCAAATACATTTAAAAACAAAGACGGAAAAATCCCAGAAGGCAACCCAACTATGAACTATCACTTTAAAGAAGGAAAGAAAAGAAGAAAAAAACTCGACACTGCTATTGAGCCAGGGAGTCTCTTTAGCCTCTATGTACTAAATAATAAGAGTAGAAACAGAAGACATATCACTGTAAATCATCAAAATTAAACCTCTTTTTTTTTTTTTTTTGAGAAGGAGTCTCACTCTGTCACCTAGGCTGGAGCAGTGGCGCTATCTCATCTCACTGATACCTCTACCTCCTGGGTTCAAGTGATTCTCCTGCCTTAGCCTCCCAAGTAGCTGGGATTACAGGCATGTGCCACCACGCCTGGCTAAATTTTTTTGTATTTTTAGTAGAGATGGGGTTTCACCATGTTGGTCAGGCTGGTCTCGAACTTCTGACCTCAGGTGACCCACCTGCCTCGGCCTCCCAAAGTGCTGGGATTACAGATGTGAGCCACTGTGCCCAGCCTACATTCACACCGTGTGCAACCATCACCACTATCCATCTCTAGAACTTTTCCATTATCTCAAACTGAAACTTGTGACCCACTAAACAATAACTTCCTGTTCTCCCTTTTCCTTAGCCTCTGGTAACCACTATTCTGCTTTCTGTTTCTTTGAATTTGACTGCGAATAGTTATTTTTAATGAATGAAATGTGCCTACCACAATGCTAATACTCAGTTAATGGTGGAGGAAATAATACCTGCACAAGAGCAGTCATAAACTCTTAACATCCAGCCTAAGGCAAAAGTCTATCAAAACAACATAGATGGCATGCATCTGTAGTTCCAGCCACAAGGGACGCTGAAGTGGAAGGATCGCTTGAGCCCAAGAGTTTGAGGCTGTAGTGAGTTAGGATCACACCACTGCATTCCAGGGTCAGAAGGAACTCAAGGGTTAGACAAAAGTGCTAAGCATCTAACACAAACAGAAATTACTGAAAAACAGGAGATTTACCTGTTAAGTATTAAGTATTACCATGCCAATTTGTCATGAAATCAGAAGCCAGGGCAATATGTTCCAGTTGGTCTTCCAGCCAACAGACTCATCCTCTCTAATCCATCCTCCAGTGGCCATCACTATAATTTTCCTAAAATATCAGTGTTTCATTCCTGTGGCAAATTCCTCAACAGTTTTCTTATTGCCCTCAAGTTACATTTCAGCATCTTAATGAGGCTCACAAGCCCTCCCACGGTCTATTTCACTTGTATCTTGTTGGCTTCCCTACACTCTTGCATGACTACTCTTCAGACCAGCTCTCTCACCAATCCTAGGATACCTCCTCTCTCATATCTTGGCATTCATGGTTATAATATTCCTTCCATCTGGAAAGCTCCTCCCTCTTCACTCTGGATCTGCCTGTTAATTTTTATTTACCCTTCAAGACTCTACTCAAATGTCATGTCATAACACTTAGAATAATTTTCTGGCTTCTCCCTGACCAAACTGAATTTGGTGCCCCTCTCTATACCTCTATAAGAACCTGTGGGTTTCACTTTTTAATGTGTATCATTTCTAGTCTGTTCCTCTACTCTAAATGTTAAGCAATTTGAAGGTAAGGACTGTGTCCTCACCATCTAGCACAGTTTGATTAGCAGATGGTAAACTCCCAATTACAATTCATTGAATGAGTGAATGGTATAACAAATACATGCAAACTCATAAGCTTTGTATTCAAGGCAGCATTTCAGAGTAAGCAGAGAACTGTTTTCTAGTTTAGTCAGAAAAGGAAACTCAGTGATTAAGCAAACATTGATAACTGTTAAATATAAATGTGAGAATCTCTGACTATGCCTAGGTATTTGTATTTTATTTCTTTAAACTCACCCAAAGTTCAGCATTACTTAAATATATTACATTTATATTTATATCTATATCTATCTACACATACAACAAATATATGTGTTTACAGATATACACATATCTGTAAATATGTATATATACATATAATCTAAACACACAAGCAAATATATATATATTTGTGTGTGCAGATAGAAATATACACAGATACATATATATATATATATATATACACACACATATCTGTAAATTGCTGTACCTATAAGGTTCACACTTAGTGTTGCTATTATCTCATTCTTGCAAGGAATAGTTTTTCTTCTCATTGAATACAATGATATATTTTTTACTCCATGGCCCTTTCAAATATGTGCCAAGTAACCAGTCAGATACTGTGAAATGACGTAGTGTGATTTCTGAGCATAGGTCATAAAAGCCACTGTGACTTCTGTTTTTCCCTTCTTGGATAACTTGCTCTGAGGGAAGCTAACTGCCATCCTGTGAAAACACTCAAGTAGCTCCTTGGAGAGCTCCATGTGTTAAGGAAATGAGGCTTCCTGGCAACAGCCAGCACTGACTTGTCTGCCTCATGAGTGGGCCATCTCAGAAGCACATTCTCTAGCTCCATTCCAGGCTTCGGGTAACTACAGCCCTAATGAACTTCTCAACTGCAACCTCATGAGAGACCCCAAGACAGAACCACTCAGTTATGCTGCGCCCAAATTCTTGACTTACAGAAACTATGTGAAATAATAAATGTCTATTGCTGCTTTAAGTTTGGGGGTAGTTTATTATGTAGCAATAGATAACTAATATCCTTGATATATACGTTGGGGAAGTTCACACATTTTTAAAAACACAAAGAATGTTTAAAAGCAATTGAAAGTAATAAAAAATTCATAGAATTGACTCCATTGTTGGGTTGCAAAGAAGACATCAACTTGAGTAATCTTTTCATTATTATCCAAACCAGGATTCTGAGAGTGAAAGAGGAACACTTTTAATAATTAAAAGAGAACACCAGGTATAAACTGATATGGTTACAGGAAAACCAGGACATGCAGTCACCCTATATGTCATCTGACCTGAAAAGAGATCGGCCAGAAAAAAGCTGTCACTGGGTGTAACCAGTGAAGAATGGTGTAACCATCTCAGGCTGTGAGAAGCAGCCCAGGACACCGGAGAAGAGGCCTGGGAACTTTTTGGACTAAAATGCAGCATGAAATCAAAAATAAAATCTGGAGAATTGAGTAAAAAAAGATGTTGCTTTCTCAAGTGAGCAGAGAACTTCAGAAAGATAACTCAAGGCTCCCCGGGCCTAGAAGTTCCCTGAGCTGGGACATAGGTAGTGATCCTGGCAGTAACAGTGGAAACCTAATGATGGTCTGAAGTTGGATCCAGCTGAAAGGAGTAATGAGATGCCTACAATGTAATATCTGAATGGAGCTTGCTACCCTGAGATTTCCTCCTGTAAAGAAGTTTTTGAGCTCTAACCACCAGATAAGTATGACACAGAAGACGCCCTGGGGAAGTTCAAGAAGAATGCATGGCTTCAGGGCTGTGATCATCAGGAGAAAACCACTTGGGGGTTTGAGTGTGGGCTGCACAGATTTACTGGAATTATGAAGCATGCTAGACACACCTCACAGGGCATATTGAATAGTGAACATTCCCATATATGAACGGAGAGCAGAGCCACAGAACCTTTGCTTCCAGTTGAACAGCAGCTTAGTAGCATGATTTGGAAATTGGGAAGCAGTGATTCCATTAATTAAGGGTTTTAATAACTTGGTTATTAAAAAGTTTGCCTGGGTCTAAACTTGGAATAAGATGGAAAGAATTTGTTTTTACCATGTTGGGCCTAAATTAACCTGGCTACACAAAGAGTTGCTTTTTTTAAGAAAAAAAAAAAGGCAGAAAGAAGAAAGAAGATGTGGTTTAAATTTTATTTTAAGAACAAAATAGCTTATTTTATATATATACACACATACACATATATACATATATACACATATATACATATATACACATATATACATATATACATATATACATACATTCTCACACATATATGTGTATGTACACATATGTACATGTATGTGTATATATATGTATGTATGTTTTTTTGAGACAGAGTTTCGTTCTTGTTGCCCAGGCTGGAGGACAGTGGTGCGACCTCGGCTCACTGCAATGTCTGCCTCCCAGGTTCAAGCAATTCTCCTGCCTCGTCTTCCCAGGTAGCTGGGATTACAGGCACGAGACACCATGCCTAGCTATTTTTTTTTTTTTTTGTATTTTTAGTAGAGGCATGGTTTCACCATGTTGGTCTCGAACTCCTGACCTCAGGTGATCCACCTGTCTCAGCCTCCCAAAGTGCTGGGATTACAAGCATGAGCCACCACACCTGACGCTTATTTTATTTTTTAAAAATTGTAGCTTTAATTTTATTTGTAATTTATTAGTGTCTCAAAATAGATGACCATTAAAACATGACGTATGTACACCTATACATGGTGAGCAAGTATATCTGAATTATTGAGATTTTTGTACGAGTGATTATGGTAGAAATAGAGCATAAAACAATGTCTTAAATCCAGAGGTTATTTTTGAGTTTTTAAACAAATATTTTATTATGTGCAAGTGAATAATATCCACCCAATTTATTGATATGACAGAGGTACTTGGGGAAATATTTGAAACTGTTTTACACATATTCAGAACTTGATAAACTGATGATTTAAAGAACCAATTTATCTCCTGTTTTTCAATTACAACACAGCCAGTTAAATGTTCACTCGACTATTCAAATTCAACTTACTTCTGTGAAAAGAATAACCCAGTTGCTTTTCTTTCTCCTTTTTCTCTACTGTGCTTTCCAGCATCCTTTCAGCTATACTTTCACATGCCCAAATATTAGAGAATATTTCAGCTTACTATAAGGAAGATGTTCTATAAGAGCTATTTAGAGAAGGGGAGAGATGCTTGGGGAGGCAGAAAGCACCCTGTTGGAGAAGGTGTTAAATTAAAGTGGGAGGAGGGATCCTTAACAGAGAACTTAAGCATTAGGTGCCTTTTATAAAATGTATGAACTCAGATGTTGGTCGTAAATATACAACCTTTGGGGCAAGGCGGCAAGGTAAAGTGTTTGAAGAACGGGTTCTGAGGTATCGTCCTCTGTGGGAGTTCTTCAGTTACTTGTTCATCATTAGGAGAAAGGGCTTAGCCTCTGGCTGCCTTCCTTGGTTACATAAGCCTTTCATCCCTGAGGGCCCAACCCTAAGGCACTGGTTGCTTATTTGAATGAAGAGCATTTTAAATTCTAGACTTTGAATCTGTTAAAAGCTTATCTGGTTGGCTTGGTATCATTTTCTTCTATGTTGGTAAATTCATGCCAGACACATTTATTTAACACAATGACTTTTATGTGAGGCAATAGGACAAAGTCTTCAGCTACCCATCTTGTTCCTACTTCATTAGTTCTCCCTGCCTTGGGAATGAGTAGCCTACCCTCATCTTTGCCCCTGGCTCCAAACACATCCAGCGCAAACACTGAGAACTGTTCTGTGGGACATACCAAGACAGTGTCTCATGCTCTCTGGAGGTCATCATAGAAATCTGATGTAGACTACAAATATGTAGATAATTCTCTTTGTGTTTGTCATCCAGACACCCTGTGAAGGCTGGCAAAAACTGTTCTTATTCTCCAAATATTCACTGGCGTGTATTTGTGTAGTAAAATTATGTTTCGGGTTTGGAAATTTTTTTTTAAAATGAACATCTGTTATTCTCTTTCAGTGGAGAGGTTCTCCACACAGCTGAGCAGGGCAACTTGGCTTCGTCCACCATCTATGTAAAGTCACAAATGGAGATTGTCACCCGGCAGCTTTTTGTTGATTGGCTGACCAGCTGCCGCACATCTCCCACAGCTGGTTTGGCTCTGAAAGGCTCATGGGAGAAGAGACAGTCAGGGTCAGCTTGTTCTGTGCACACAGCTCACGGGAGCTCCAGGAGCAGGGATAGATGTTTTGATCAGCCATTACTGAATGCTAAAGTCATAGGCCTGAGTGGGTGTGAGGGAGGGAGAGGGGTTTGGTATGTGCATTTTAGGATGTTGAATCATAGCAGCTTAGTTTTTAGAGCAATCATTTTTACCTCCTGGTGTCTCTCTTCCCTATTTCTGTGATATTAAATTATAGAGAATGTAACCTGTGCTAAGGTAAATGTACTAAAAAAAAAACTGCTTTAGTTTTTCCAAAGAAATAAGATCTTTGGGTCCATTTTATAAGTCCCATATTATTTTGAGAAGGAAGTTTGTGTTCAATATGTCTCAGTACTCCTGAATACAAAAATACTTCAGGTTCCATAGACCACTCCAACTGTGAGCTTCTAGACCCTGGATTTCAAGAGGGCCAAAATACACGGTTAAAAGCACTCTTTCCAAATTCTTCAGCAAAATTATATTGATAGTCATAACAATACATCCTATATGCAGTTGTAGATTACTCTTCCTGACTCAAGGCACACTATTTCTGATTCACAGCTCTAGCGAAGTTATTGTCTTCTTCAATTTCCTCCAATGGCTCACAGCTGTCAAAAGTACAGGTCACACTCTTTAGCTCAGCATTCAAGGTCCTCTATGTTTTGATCCTCTGATCCCAAACTATTTGTCCAAACTCGTTGCCGACTACTGCCGTTAATGCCTCTTTCAATCCAACCAAATGCATTACATACTGTTTTGTTACTGTTGTTGCCCCTCATTCTCCCACTTCTGCACCTTTGCATGTTCTGTTCCCTGATCTCCTCAAGTCCAAATGCCCCCTAATTGTCTAGATCCAGTTCAAATGCATCTGCTCCATAAAGTCTTCCCTGAGCCCTCTCCAACTGGACCAATCTCTGTCTCCTCCAAATATCAAATCCCTCTGCCCAACCCTCTCTCAAAGCACCTATTAGTACTTTCTGTCTGGAGTTATGTAAATAGCTCATAGTGCCAGCTGTCCTACCTTCCTCCAGCAGGGGCAGGCAGAACCTATGTCTAGTTTACCTTTCTACTTTTCTTAGCGCCTTACGAATAGCGCGTGCTTGATATATTTTTGTTACAAATATAGCAATTAATATTTGTAGATAACTTCAGAATTTACAAAGTGGGTTCACATTCATTACTTCACTAAATTTTCAAAAGTGAAAGTAGAAAGAACATGATTTTTAAATTACAAATAAGGAGAAGAGAAAGGCAACTAACTTTTAATCAGAATTAACTTTTACTTATTTATCAAACTATTATTTATATCATTATTAATGTCTGCCTCTTCTGCCATATTGTTAAACTCCATGAAAACAAGAACCATGCCTATTTTTTCACTGTTATATTTCTATTGCTCAGCACATTGCCAAACATGGTGTTAAAAAGACAAACATTGTTGAATGAATAAATGAGTGAATACCATCAGCCAAGCTGTGGGTTCAGTGTACTATATTTACTGTTTTACTCTCACAGCCAATATTATCTTCATTTAACAGCCAAGGAAATGTAGTCTCCAGGGCACACAATGCTTATGTTTGTAGCTGGAATTGAAACCCTTATAAAACCCTTCAACTGGTATTACTTTATCGAAACCCTTATTAAACCCTGTTTATATGATTATATTATACGATTATAGATAGCATGTGGTTTTCCATCACACAATCAGCCTCCCATGAGGTAGGTGCCTTTAAGTTGTTTTTCTTTTGTTGATGTTATTGTTGTTGTTTACCCCAATTGCTTTCTAATTCCATTTTTAAAAAGAATTGTTCAGAATTACTGTAACTTGACTTAAATATTTATCTTTGTAAGTTACAGACACCAGAGTTAAAAATAGTGGAAAAGGTGTTAGTCACTATTGCCAAGTCCAATAGTATCATTGTGTGAGGGTAGTTGGGGGTGCATTCTTGGAAGAGAGGGGATAATTTTCTAAAGATTTCTCTACCTCTACTGTATTTCCCTACTTTCCTCTAAAATAACTTTTTTATCTAAGAGCAAATAATAAATTCTCATCTCAATTTATTTTGTGCTAAGTCATCCAGAGGAATATTCATAGTTACATTTTGGTGATTCTCTTTGAAGAGAGGAAATGAATATGTGCTGAGTGACCTCTTTGTCAGGCCAGAACTTTTTTTTTTTTTTTTTTTGAAATGAAGGCTCACTCTGTCACCCAGGCTGGAGTGCAGTGGTGCTATCTCAGCTCACTGCAACCTCTGCCTCCTGGGTTCAAGTGATTCTCCTGCCTCAGCCTCCTGAGTAGTTGGGATTACAGGCGGCTGTCACCATGCCTGGCTAATGTTTGTATTTTTAGTAGAGATGGGGTTTCACCATGTTGGCCAGGCTGGTCTCAAACTCCTGACCTCAAGTGATCTGCCCGCCTTGGCCTCCCAAAGTGCTGGGATTACAGGTGTGAGCCACCACACCCATCCCAATGCCAGAACTTTTAGGTGAATAACCTGATAAAGTAAATATTATTATCACTGATATATTATTTATTTATTTATATATTTATTTAATTTTTTATAATTTCAACTTTTATTTTAGATTCAGGGAGTACAAATGAAGATTTGTTACATGGGTACATTGCATGATGCTGAGGTTTGGGGTACCACTGATCCTATCACTCAGCTAGTGAGCATAGTACCTAATAGTTTTTCAAGATTTCTTCCTTTCTCCCTCCCTCTCCACTCTAGTGTCCCCAGTGTCTATTGTTCCCATCTTTGTGTCCGTGTATACTCAATGCTTAGCTTCCATTTATAAGCGAGAACACGCAGTGCTTGGTTTTCTGTTCCCGTGTTAATTCACTTAGGATAATAATCTCCAGCTGCATCTATGTTGCTGAAAAGGACAAGATTTTGTTCTTCTTTATGGCTGTGTAGTGTTCCATAGTGTATATATACCACATTTTCTTTATCCAACCTACTGTCAGTGGGCACCTAGGTTGAGTCTATGTCTTTGCTATAGCGAATAGTATACAAGTATATGTGTCTTTTTGGTAGAATGATTTATTTTCCTTTGCGTATTTACCCAGTAATGGGATTGCTTGTTCGAAAGGTAGTTCTGTTTTAAGTTCTTTGAGAAATCTCTAAATGGCTTTCCACAGTGATTGAACTGATTTACATTCCCACCAACAACATATAATGGTCCCTTTTTCTCCTCAGCCCCACCAGCATCTGCTGTTTTCTGACTTTTTAATAATCGCCATTCTGACTGATGGGAGATGGTGTCTTATTGCGGTTTTAATTTGCATTTCCTTGATGGTTAATGATGTTGAGAATTTTTTCATATGTGTTTTGGCTGCTTGTATGTCTTCGTTTGAGAAGCATCCATGTCTTTTGTCTATTTTTTAATGGGATTGTTATTTGCTTGTTTGAATTGTTAAAGTTACTTACAGATTCTGGACATTAGACCTTTGCCAGATGCATAGTTTGCAAATATTTTCTACCGGTCTGTTTACTCTGTTGATAGTTTCTTTTGCTGTGCAGAAACTCTTTAGTTTAATTAGGCCTCACTTGTCAATTTTTGGTTTTGTTGCAATTGCTTTTGAGGACTTAGTCATACATCCTTTCCCAAGATCAAAGTCCAGAATGATATTTCCTAGGTTTTCTTCTAGTATTCTTAGAGTTTGAGGTGTTACATTTGAGTCTTCACTTGATCTTAAGTTAATTTTGTATATGGTGAAAAGTAGTAATCCAGTTTCATTCTTCTTTGTATGGCTACCCAGCTATCCCAGTGCCATTTATTGAATAGGCAGTCCTTCCCTCATGGCTTATTTTTGTTGACTTTGTCAAAGATCAGATGGCTATAGGAGTGTAGCTTTATTTCTGAATTATCTATTCTGTTCCATAGGTCTATGTGTCTGTTTTTGTACCAGTACCATGATGTTTCGTTTACTCTAGCCCTATAGTGTATTTGAAATCAGGTAATATGATACTTCCAGCTTTGTTCTTTTTGCTTAGGACTTCTTTGGCTATTCAGGCTCTTTTTTGGTTCCATATGAATTTTAGAATAGTTTTTTCTAGTTCTGCGAAAAGTGACAGAGGTAGAAAAAACTAGTTCTGGTAGTTTTTGGTAGTTTGATAGGAATAGCATTGAATCTGTAGATAGCTTTTGACAGTATGGCCATTTTAATGGTATTGATTCTTCCAATTCATGAACCTGGAACATTTTTTCATTTGTTTGTGTCATCTATGATTACTTTGAGCAGTGTTTTGTAGTTCTCCTTTTCGAGATTTTTCACCTCCTTGGTTAGATGTATTCCTAGGTATTTTATTCTTTTTGTGGTTATTCTGAATGGGATTCAATTCTTGATTTGGCTCTTTGCTTGAACGTTATTTGTGAATAGAAGCGCTACTGATTTTTATATATTGACTTTTGTATCCTAAAATTTTACTGAAGTCATTTGTCAGTTCCAGGAGCATTTTTGGCAGAGTCTTTAGGGTTTTCTAGGTATGGAATCATAGAATCAGTGAAGATAGATAGTTTGACTTCTTTTCTTATTTGGATGCCTTTTATTTTTCCTCTAGCCTGACTGTTCTGGCTAGGACTTCCAGTCCTATGTTGAATAGGAGTGGGGAGAGTGGGCACCCTTGTCTTGTACCATTTCTCAAGGGGAATGTTTCCAGCTTTCTGCCCATTCAGTATGATGTTGGCTATGGATTTGTCATAGATAGCTCTTATTTTTTTTTTTTCCAAGGGTTTTAAGAGCAAAGTGTCAGGAATCAGGAGCAGAGACCAAATATATATTTATCACAAAACCCTTGAATTATTGTATTGAGTACTTAGTGTGGAATACCTGGTCTATATGTCTTTCTCCTTTTTGAAAAGGTCAAAAGGCAATTGTTGAATCCTCAGCACCTGATACTAAGATGGCAGATAGTAGATGTGCACTAAATGTTTATTGGATTGATTACCTGCCCCACCTACTTTCTCTTTCTGAAATACCCTTGCTTCCTTTTTTTTTTTCTTTTTTTTTTTTTTATTATTATTATACTTTAAGTTTTAGGGTACATGTGCACATTGTGCAGGTTAGTTACATATGTATACATGTGCCATGCTGGTGCGCTGCACCCACCAACTCGTCATCTAGCATTAGGTATATCTCCCAATGCTATCCCTCCCCCCTCTGCCCACCCCACAACAGTCCCCAGAGTGTGATGTTCCCCTTCCTGTGTCCATGTGTTCTCATTGTTCAATTCCCACCTACGAGTGAGAATATGCGGTGTTTGGTTTTTTGTCCTTGTGATAGTTTACTGAGAATGATGGTTTCCAGCTTCATCCATGTCCCTACAAAGGACATGAACTCAACATTTTTTATGGCTGCATAGAATTCCATGGTGTATATGTGCCACATTTTCTTAATCCAGTCTATCATTGTTGGACATTTGGGTTGGTTCCAAGTCTTTGCTATTGTGAATAATGCTGCAATAAATATACATGTGCATGTGTCTTTATAGCAGCATGATTTATAGTCCTTTGGGTATATACCCAGTAATGGGATGGCTAGGTCAAATGGTATTTCCAGTTCTAGATCCCTGAGGAATCGCCACACTGACTTCCACAATGGTTGAACTAGTTTACAGTCCCACCAACAGTGTAAAAGTGTTCCTATTTCTCCACATCCTCTCCAGCACCTGTTGTTTCCTGACTTTTTAATGATTGCCATTCTAACTGGTGTGAGATGGTATCTCATTGTGGTTTTGATTTGCATTTCTCTGATGGCCAGTGATGATGAGCATTTTTTCATGTGTCTTTTGGCTGCATAAATGTCTTCTTTTGAGAAGTGTCTGTTCATGGCCTTTGCCCACTTTTTGATGGGGTTGTTTGTTTTTTTCTTGTAAATTTGTTTGAGTTCATTGTAGATTCTGGATATTAGCCCTTTGTCAGATGAGTAGGTTGCGAAAATTTTCTCCCATTTTGTAGGTTTCCTGTTCACTCTGATGGTAGTTTCTTTTGCTGTGCAGAAGCTCTTTAGTTTAATTAGATCCCATTTGTCAATTTTGTCTTTTGTTGCCATTGCTTTTGGTGTTTTAGACATGAAGTCCTTGCGCGTGCCTATATCATGAATGGTAATGCCTAGGTTTTCTTCTAGGGTTTTTATGGTTTTAGGTGTAACGTTTAAGTCTTTAATCCATCTTGAATTGATTTTTGTATAAGGTGTAAGGAAGGGATCCAGTTTCAGCTTTCTCCATATGGCTAGCCAGTTTTCCCAGCACCATTTATTAAATAGGGAATCCTTTCCCCATTGCTTGTTTTTCTCAGGTTTGTCAAAGATCAGATAGTTGTAGATACGCAGCGTCATTTCTGAGGGCTCTGTTCTGTTCCATTGATCTATATCTCTGTTTTGGTCCCAGTACCATGCTGTTTTGGTTACTGTAGCCTTGTAGTATAGTTTGAAGTCAGGTAGTGTGATGCCTCCAGCTTTGTTCTTTTGGCTTAGGATTGACTTGGCGATGAGGGCTCTTTTTTGGTTCCATATGAACTTTAAAGTAGTTTTTTCCAATTCTGTGAAGAAAGGCATTGGTAGCTTGATGGGGATGGCATTGAATCTGTAAATTACCTTGGGCAGTATGGCCATTTTCACGATATTGATTCTTCCTACCCATGAGCATGGAATGTTCTTCCATTTGTTTGCATCCTCTTTTATTTCCTTGAGCAGTGGTTTGTAGTTCTCCTTGAAGAGGTCCTTCACATCCCTTGTAAGTTGGATTCCTAGGTATTTTATTCTCTTTGAAGCAATTGTGAATGGGAGTTCACTCATGATTTGGCTCTCTGTTTGTCTGTTGTTGGTGTATAAGAATGCTTGTGATTTTTGTACATTGATTTTGTATCCTGAGACTTTGCTGAAGTTGCTTATGAGCTTAAGGAGATTTTGGGCTGAGACAATGGGGTTTTCTAGATATACAATCATGTCATCTACAAACAGGGACAATTTGACTTCCTCTTTTCCTAATTGAATACCCTTTATTTCCTTCTCCTGCCTAATTGCCCTGGCCAGAACTTCCAACATTACGTTGAATAGGAGTGGTGAGAGAGAGCATCCCTGTCTTGTGCCAGTTTTCAAAGGGAATGCTTCCAGTTTTTGCCCATTCAGTACGATATTGGCTGTGGGTTTGTCATAGATGACTCATTATTTTGAAATACGTCCCATCAATACCTAATTTATTGAGATTTTTTAGCATGAAGGGTTGTTGAATTTTGTCAAAGGCTTTTTCTGCATCTATTGAGATAATCATGTGGTTTTTGTCTTTGCCTCTGTTTATATGCTGGATTACATTTATTGATTTGTGTGTATTGAACCAGCCTTGCATCCCAGGGATGAAGCCCACTTGATCATGGTGGATAAGCTTTTTGATGTGCTGCTGGATTCGTTTTGCCAGTATTTTATTGAGGATTTTTGCATTGATGTTCATCGAGGATATTGGTCTAAAATTCTCTTTTTTTGTGGTGTCTCTGCCTGGCTTTGGTATCAGAATGATGCTGGCCTCATAAAATGAGTTAGGGAGGATTCCCTCTTTTTCTATTGATTGGAATAGTTTCAGAAGGAATGGTAACAGTTCCTCCTTGTACCTCTGGTAGAATTCGGCTGTGAATCCATCTGGTCCTGGACTCTTTTTGGTTGGTAAGCTATTGATTATTGCCACAATTTCAGATCCTGTTATTGGTCTATTCAGAGATTCATTTTTTTCCTGGTTTAGTCTTGGGAGAGTGTATGTGTCGAGGAATTTATCCATTTCTTCTAGATTTTCTAGTTTATTTGCATAGAGGTGTTTGTAGTATTCTCTGATGGTAGTTTGTATTTCTGTGGGATCGGTGGTGATATCCCCTTTATCATTTTTTATTGTGTCTATTTGATTCTTCTCTCTTTTTTTCTTTATTAATCTTGCTAGCGGTCTATCAATTTTGTTGATCCTTTCAAAAAACCAGCTCCTGGATTCATTAATTTTTTGAAGAGTTTTTTGTGTATCTATTTCCTTCAGTTCTGCTCTGATTTTAGTTATTACTTGGCTTCTGCTAGCTTTTGAATGTGTTTGCTCTTGCTTTTCTAGTTCTTTTAATTGTGATGTTAGGGTGTCAATTTTGGATCTTTCCTGCTTTCTCTTGTGGGCATTTAGTGCTAATAAATTTCCTGCTACACACTGCTTTGGATGCATCCCAGAGATTCTGGTATGTTGTGTCTTTGTTCTCTTTGGTTTCAAAGAACATCTTTATTTCTGCCTTCATTTCGTTATGTATCCAGTAGTCATTCAGGAGCAGGTTGTTCAGTTTCCATGTAGTTGAGTGGTTTTGAGTGAGATTCTTAATCCTGAATTCTAGTTTGATTGCACTGTGGTCTGAGAGACAGTTTGTTATAATTTCTGTTCTTTTACATTTGCTGAGGAGAGCTTTACTTCCAAGTATGTGGTCAGTTTTGGAATAGGTGTGGTGTGGTGCTGAAAAAAATGTATATTCTGTTGATTTGGGGTGGAGAGCTCTGTAGATGTCTATTAGGTCCGCTTGATGCAGAGCTGAGTTCAATTCCTGGGTATCCTTGTTGACTTTCTGTCTCGTTGATCTAATGTTGACAGTGGGGTGTTAAAGTCTCCCATTATTAATGTGTGGGAGTCTAAGTCTCTTTGTAGGTCACTCAGGACTTGCTTTATGAATCTGGGTGCTCCTGTATTGGGTGCATATATATTTAGGATAGTTAGCTCTTCTTGTTGAATTGATCCCTTTACCATTATGTAATGGCCTTCTTTGTCTCTTTTGATCTTTGTTGGTTTAAAGTCTGCTTTATCAGAGACTAGGATTGCAACCCCTGCCTTTTTTTGTTTTCCATTTGCTTGGTAGATCTTCCTCCATCCTTTTATTTTGAGCCTATGTGTGTCTCTGCACGTGAGATGGGTTTCCTGAATACAGCACACTGATGGGTCTTGACTCTTTATACAATTTGCCAGTCTGTGTCTTTTAATTGGAGCATTTAGTCCATTTACATTTAAAGTTTATATTGTTATGGGTGAATTTGATCCTGTCATGATGATGTTAGCTGGTTATTTTGCTCGTTAGTTGATGCCGTTTCTTCCTAGTCTCGATAGTCTTTACATTTTGGCATGATTTTGCAGCGGCTGGTACTGGTTTTTCCTTTCCATGTTTAGTGCTTCCTTCAGGAGCTCTTTTAGGGCAGGCCTGGTGGTGACAAAATCTCTCAGCATTTGCTTGTCTGTAAAGTATTTTATTTCTCCTTCGCTTATGAAGCTTAGTTTGGCTGGATATGAAATTCTGGGTTGAAAATTCTTTTCTTTAAGAATGTTGAATATTGGCCCCCACTCTCTTCTGGCTTGTAGGGTTTCTGCCGAGAGATCCGCTGTTGGGCTTCCCTTTGAGGGTAACCCGACCTTTCTCTCTGGCTGCCCTTAACATTTTTTCCTTCATTTCAACTTTGGTGAATCTGACAATTATGTGTCTTGGAGTTGCACTTCTCGAGGAGTATCTTTGTGGCGTTCTCTGTATTTCCTGAATCTGAACGTTGGCCTGCCTTGCTAGATTGGGGAAGTTCTCCTGGATAATATCCTGCAGAGTGTTTTCCAACTTGGTTCCATTCTCCCCATCACTTTCAGGTACACCAATCAGACGTAGATTTGGTCTTTTTACATAGTCCCATATTTCTTGGAGGCTTTGCTCATTTCTTTTTATTCTTTTTTCTCTAAACTTGCCTTCTCGCTTCATTTCATTCATTTCATCTTCCATTGCTGATACCCTTTCTTCCAGTTGATCGCGTCAGCTCCTGAGGCTTCTGCATTCTTCACGTAGTTCTCAAGCCTTGGTTTTCAGCTCCATCAGCTCCTTTAAGCACTTCTCTGTATTGGTTATTCTAGTTATACATTCGTCTAAATTTTTTTCAAAGTTTTCAACTTCTTTGCCTTTGGTTTGAATGTCCTCCCGTAGCTCAGAGTAATTTGATCGTCTGAAGCCTTCTTCTCTCAACTGGTCAAAGTCATTCTCCATCCAGCTTTGTTCCATTGCTGGTGAGGAACTGCGTTCCTTTGGAGGAGGAGAGGCGCTCTGCTTTTTAGAGTTTCCAGTTTTTCTGTTCTGTTTTTTCCCCATCTTTGTGGTTTTATCTACTTTTGGTCTTTGATGATGGTGATGTACAGATGGGTTTTTGGTGTGGATGTCCTTTCTGTTTGTTAGTTTTCCTTCTAACAGACAGGACCCTCAGCTGCAGGTCTGTTGGAATACCCTGCCGTGTGAGGTGTCGGTGTGCCCCTGCTGGGGGGTGCCTCCCAGTTAGGCTGCTTGGGGGTTAGGGGTCAGGGACCCACTTGAGGAGGCAGTCTGCCCGTTCTCAGATCTCCAGGTGCGTGCTGGGAGAACCACTGCTCTCTTCAAAGCTGTCAGACAGGGACATTTAAGTCTGCAGAGGTTACTGCTGTCTTTTTGTTTGTCTGTGCCCTGCCCCCAGAGGTGGAGCCTACAGAGGCAGGCAGGCCTCCTTGAGCTGTGGTGGGCTCCACCCAGTTCGAGCTTCCCAGCTGCTTTGTTTACCTAATCAAGCCTGGGCAATGGTGGGCGCCCCTCCCCCAGCCTCGCTGCCGCCTTGCAGTTTGATCTCAGACTGCTGTGCTAGCAATCAGCGAGACTCCGTGGGCGTAGGACCCTCCGAGCCAGGTGTGGGATATAATCTCGTGGTGCGCCGTTTTTTAAGCCCGTCGGAAAAGCGCAGTATTCTGGTGGGAGTGACCCGATTTTCCAGGTGCTGTCAGTCACCGCTTTCTTTGACTCGGAAAGGGAACTCCCTGACCCCTTGCACTTCCCAAGTGAGGCAATGCCTCGCCCTGCTTCGGCTCGTGCACGATACGTGCACCCACTGACCTGCGCCCACTGTCTGGCACTCCCTAGTGAGATGAACCCGGTACCTCAGATGGAAATGCAGAAATCACCTGTCTTCTGCTTCGCTCACGCTGGGAGCTGTAGACCGGAGCTGTTCCTGTTCGGCCATCTTGGCTCCTCCCTGCCAGATAGCTCTTATTTTGAGGTATGTTCCTTCAATGCCTAGTTTGTTGAGGGTTTTTATCATGAAGGGATGTTGGATTTTATCAAAAGGTTTTTCCATGTCTATTGAGAGATCATATGTTTTTGTCTGTAGTTCTGTTTATGTGGTGTATCATGTTTATTGATTTATGTATGTCGAATCAACCTTGCATCCAAGGAATGAAGCCAAGTATGGTCACGGTGAATTAACTTTTTTATATCCTGTTGGATTTGGTTTGCTAGTATTTTGTTGAGGATTTTTGCATCTACGTTTATAAGGGATATGTGCCCGTAGTTTTCTTTTTTTGTTGTATCTTTGCCAGGTTTTGATATCAGGAGATATTGCTTTCATAGAATGAGTTAGAGAGGAGTGCCTCCTCAAATTTTTGGAGTAGTTTCAGAATTGGTAACAGTTCTTTGTATAACTGGTAGAATTTAGTTGGGAATCCATCTGGTTTTGAGCTTGCTGTGGCTGATAGGTTTTTTTAAATTACTGATTCAATTTTGGAACTTGATGTTGGTCGTTCAGGGTTCCAATTTCTTCCTGATTCAATCTTGGGAGATTGTGTGTTTCCAGGAATTTATCAGTTTCCTCTAGATTTTCTAGTTTGTGTGAATAGATGTTCATAGTGGCCTCTGAGGATCTTTTGTATTTCCGTATGGTCAGTGGTAACATCACTTTTGTCATTTCTTATTGTGCTGATTTAAATCTACTCTCTTTTGTTCATTAGTAGTCTTGCTAAAAGTCTATTTACCTTATTTGTCCTTTCAAATAACCAACTTTTTGTTTCAATGATTCTTTGTATGAATTTTTGGGTCTCAATTTTATTCAGTTCTGCTCTATCACCTCTATTTTAAAAGTAAAAACATTCCTGCTTTTATTCCTAAGCATGACTTATTTTAAAATTCCAATAAAAATTTAATTTATCATTGAATGTCCAAATCTTCTGCCTTCTCTTTAATATGAAATTTGGGGAAAGATACATTTCTTCTGATTTAACAACATTCTTCATACCTAAAGTCAAAAGGGAAAACTTTGCTTTGTATTTTTCTGTGTCTTCTTTTATAGTGTTTTCACAATGTCGTTGGTGGCCAAATTATTGTGCTTGAAATTTTGTGTTTGGTTAACACAAGCATACAAAAGAGGGAGTTTAATGTTTAGTGTCTGATTATTACTATTATTTATTAAAATTTTTTGCCTACTTTTTGTCATGCTGGCAGTATCTCCATCTCAATTTGCATATGGGGAGCCATGTTTGAAAACTAATTCCTTCGAAAGGAAGAATGTTTCAATATTATGGGAATCCAGTTTATCCATATTTACAAGCTTAACTTATTCTACTTTTACTACTCCATCTAATTTGCATCTTTGATATTCACTGTGGCTGTAGTCAGAATAGTTTTCTCTTAATTTATGTGCAGGCCTCAATTACTGGTAAGCAACAGGTATTGGTCAATCACAAAGTGTTTTAGATCAAAACAGAAGACCTTAAGGCCAAAGTTTTGTGCTTTGACCATTCCCATGAGCCCTTCTTGGTATCCACAGCATGTTCTCATTATTGTGATATGGATTTAAAGAAAGGTTTTAAAAGCATGACAGATTAGCAACATTTAATCATCCTTGTATGGAACCATTACACTCAAAATGTGATCCAAAACTAACATTACACAGAATCTTTTGTAAAAATTTCTGATCCCATGGCTACCCATGCAGTGCAAAATATTTATGTGAGCACAAATTTTTCAAAGCAAAGCACTATCAAAAGGGTATTATATCATGTCTCCTTTTTACTGCCTTCATGGTCTTACTTAATATTTGTGCTAGACACTTTCACTGCAAGAACCCCCTTGAAAGAAACATCTGTAAAGAAAGTTTAGGACATTGAAATGCCAACACTAAAAAAACTTAAAACTTACCCCTAAACAGAGTTTTCTGAATAATCATATCAACTTAAATAGAAACAGAAGTTCCTGCTCTGAAGATAAGGGACTAGTCTTTTCTTTGGCTCCTATATCTTCACACATACTTCTGGGCTGTAGATCAGTTCTGCAGTTTCCAGGTCCAGAGAAATCAGCATCCTTCAAGAACCACAAGGCAAGAGGAGAGGTCCTTGCAAATACCTCTAAAGCTCTGTCCATCTACCCTGTCAACTCTACCTGCCTGCATGTGATGATAACAATTTTTTACATCATGGTTCTTAGTCCTGACCCCTCAGAATTTACAACTGTCATGAACCTTGTTGTTAGCTGTCAGTCTATGGTCATCAAGGTTTCCCCCTTCAAATGTCTGGTTCTGATCTTTGAATAACTCTGGCCTACTTACAGTCATACGGCCCTCCCGTAAACCCCTCCAGCCTCTTTCTCCCACTGGAATTTCCTACCATAGTAGCTCTTTACTGCCTCTGCCTGATCTAAGCAGGTATAACCCTAGAAGGTTGACCAACGGGGAGTTGACTTTCTAGGTCTGGACAAGACATAAGCAATGAGCATATTAATAATAAATGGAAATAATGTTGAAGGAAGTAGTTGCCTGACTAATGTCATGATGTTCTACACACCCATAGACACTGTCATTCTCTCTCTCTACGTGTCTCCATCTCTCTCTCTCTCTTTTCTCTTCTCTTCTTATTCTGACATGAAGCAGATGAATCAGAATGAGTGAAGGAGAATAGACAAAACAAAACCACAAGCACAACACGAAGGGAAAAATAGTGACACCTTTAACTGATGAGAAATAAACCAGAGAATCCGTGAGGGCCATTTTATACAAACATGTAAATGAATATTAACTCCTCAAGTTCAATAACTAACAGTGAGTTATAGGAAATACCTTGCAATGACCAACCATGCACAGAATACTGCATGTTTTCTTTGCTCAGTTAGCCACATCAAAAGTGTTTTCTACAAACTGCTAATGAAAGAAACACATGAGTACAGGCTAAGCATGCTTAGAAATCTCTATGATCTCTCAATCTCCATCTTCCTGGCATAAAGATGTTTCTGTGGGGATTGAAGCAGCAGACACACGTTTACACATTTATGCGTACATATATATACATATATATATGTCTCCATTATCAGAAATTCTTCTAGAAATTTTGTGAATTGCTGAGAAGAATGCTCATAATTTTAAGATAATGCTAAAGATACTAGAGAAGAAAAATTAGGAAGTTAGCAACAATCAATAAGTGGGTTTGACTGGTATTGAATGAGGGATGGTAGACATAAATAGCTCACAAAATCCTTACAAAAGAACCTGAAATACCAAGAAGAGTATTTTTCCAAAATTTGGGATTTGACAAAATGAAGACTAAAGATCCTTATAAATAGATAAATTGTCAATTAGCAAGTAGTTGAGATCTCACAATTCCTTAATATCTGGAAATTTAGAAACACTGAGCTATTTGGTGGTGTAGCCCCTATAATTTCATTTTTTAATGATAATTTATATTGTTTCTCACACAGCACTCTTGCTTTTATTAAAAATAAAATTTCTGCAATTTAAAAGTAGTTCCTAAAAACTGATTCAGACCCAAGAGACTTGAAGAGAGTGTATGTACCTAAAGGGGTCCATGCAAAGGTTATATCACATTATCACTTCATCATCGACCTATCCTGGGGAAATCACGAGGGGGTTAACCTCTATAGCTAATTCCTCTCTCAGGGTCGATCCCTCAGTTCTAGCTCTTCATCCGTAGCTTCCTGGCCTTCTTTCCTTAGGCATTCCTAGCCCCTACTGTGGTGCTCTGCCCTGCCCTCAAAATCTCCATTCCTGTGTGCTTTGTGTACTCCAAGGGGACAGTTAGCCAATAGGATTCCTCCATCTTCACGATGGTGCTCATGAAGCCTCAGGTCTTTAAGGGTCTTTCTTCCCATTCCCCTAAGTGTTGAGGACTTCTGGAGAGCGTGCCTCTGCCTTTGGTTGTCTAATGCAAACGAGGGACTATAGGACAAGGAAAGAGGATCTTTTCTGAAGAAATGCCAGTCAGAAAGGGATCCACACTCAGTCATCCCATGGTTTCCTCTCCTTCTCTTTTATCTCCCCAGATGCATGTGGCCACCATCCCCTGGCCCCAAGTACCTTCAGATCCTCATAGGTATCTTGTCTTAGGTTAAGTTTTTTTTTTTTTTTTTGAGTCAGAGTCTCACTCTGTCGTCCAGGCTGGAGTGCAGTGGCGCGATCTTGGCTCACTGCAAGCTCTGCCTCCCAGGTTCACGCCATTCTCCTGCCTCAGCTTCCCGAGTAGCTGGGACTACAGGCGCCTGCCACCACGCCTGGCTAATTTTTTTGTATTTTTTTTAGTAGAGACGGGGGTTTCACCGTGTTAGCCAGGATGGTCTCGATCTCCTGACCTCGTGATCCACACATCTTGGCCTCCCAAAGTGCTGGGATTACAGGTGTGAGCCACCTCGCCTAGCCATCTTAGGTTAAGTTTTCATTTCTCCCTTTGATAAGCTGAGAGCAGTTGGGATTTTCCAAGAGAATATTTAAGAGGAAACTGTGGGAATACTAATGGGAAGAGACAGGCTAAAAGGAAAACATGCCCTTTCTCAGAAAGACTCAGATCTGAATGCAAATGGTTTGGACTGGGTTGTCTTACTGTTGTGGGAATCTGGCCTCCTGGATCCTTTCCCATATAATTATCTCTGGGGACTAATGTTTGCAAGCCCCTTTTCAGTCCCCCATTGACCATCCTTCTCTTTTTCCATATCTACGAAGGAGTTGTGTTTGCTTTTCCTGATGGGCAATGGGACTCAGTAAATAATGAGCCATCTTCAGGTAAAGAGAGACCTCAGATTTCCAAGGAAAGAGAGAAATGTAACAAACTGAATTCCATATTACGGTAAAGGGTAAAGGGGTGCTTTTCAATGCTCTAGTAATAGGAATTTGGGATCCTTGGCTACAGACAGACTAATAATGGTGCATATATGTCTAGGCAGGCAGGGCTCCTGAGATTAGGCACTTGTCCATACCATGTATGAGTACATGATGTCTGATGCCTAGCCACCTTACTTGGCAGAACAGAAAAACACAGAGACCAAGGAGTCCACAATGTGGGTCATTCTCTAACCTCCTTCCAAGATACATTGGAATCCCCTGCTAGCAGAGATATTTGTGAGCATGAAAATGGCCCTCAAGTACAAGCTGCAGAAGAGAGGAGGAAAGGAAGTAGTAGACCTGGATATTCTAACCCAGATGACAATTTGTAATTCTAGTTTCAGGATTGAGAGTCTTTGAGAAAGTGCATTGGAACAGGAATTGGTATGCCTGGGTTTTAGGTCTGGTTCCTTATTTTCTTGCTTTACCTCTCTGGGTGTTGGTAGTCTTAAGTCCAATATGAAAAAGACTGAACTAGTTGGTTTTTAAGTACTTTCAGCCAATGCTTCTCAAATTGTGTATGGTGAAGTTCTAGTTTTGTTTTTGTTTTATGTACATTTGGTTGCAGACTAGTTCTTTCGTACAACACAATAAAAATAATTGCCAGAAAAGCAAGCACATGCCTAGATGTCACAGAAACACCAAACTGCTACGAAAGTTTCTAAATATTCCTGTCAATACCTGTCCTTATCTTGTCACAGACTGCAGCACCAGTTCTTGGGTCACATGTTGAATAACATTGCTTAGAATTCCAGCCTTCTGAGTATAAGTTGTGAATCTGGCCAACATGGTGAAACCCTGTCTCTACTAAAATACAAAAGATTAGCCGGGCATGGTGGCGTGTGCCTGTAGTCCCAGCTACTCAATTAAAGGCTGAGGCAGGGGAGTCGCTTGAACCCGGGAGACAGGTTGCAGTGAGCTGAGATCACGCCACTGCACTCCAGCCTGGAGACAGAGCAAGACAAAAAACAAAACAAAACAAAAAAAACCACAGACAAACGAACACAAAACCATAAAAGTACAACGCCTTGCAATTCACTTGCAAGAAAAATTGACATCAGTGTAGTATATGTGAAAAAGACTAGGTTGGTCTGTGTATCTGTTTCAGTGGCTCAAGCCACACCTGGGATGTCTACTGAGTTATGGAATAAAACAGTGTCATAAACTATTATAATACAATTTTTGTATAGTTTTTTTTTTCTTTTTTTTGAGACGGAGTCTTGCTATGTCACCCAGGCTAGAGTGCAGTGGCACGATCTCAGCTCACTGCAACCTCCACCTCCTGGGTTCAGTTGGCTAATTTTGTATTTTTAGTAGAGACATGCCTCACCATGTTGGTCAGGCTGGTCTTGAACTCTTGACCTCGAGCAATCTACCCACCTTGGCCTCCCAAAGTGCTGGGATTACAGGCATGAGCCACCACGCCCAGCCACTCCTTTCTTTTTGAAGTAGAGAAAACAAAAACAAATTCTATCTTCAGCTGGGCCTGCTGCTACAAAATGGAATACACACTGTGTTCAAGGCACTGGGCTGAAACATTCACAGTCACTGTCTTACTTAATACTCACACAAGGCTATGAGGAAGACATGATTATTGTCTCCACTTTACAGATGAACAAATTGAAACTTAGAGAGGTTACAAAACTGGCACAGTTCCGAAAAATGGAGGTTCTATGATGCAAACACAGGCTCGACTAACTTCAACATGTGTAATATAATCATTATGCTGTATTATAATTCATAATTACATTTATGGACAACAATAGCTATCTACCAAAATTATGCTCTGTGGTACAATGGAATATTTGCCCTAAATTAGGTCACAGTCTGGAGGGAAAGACAAGTATGTAACAAAAAAGACGGTCAAAGATTGCTGGGAGAACAGAGAAAAGAGAACACCTAACTCTTCCTGGAGGGAATCAGAGAAAGTGCCACATAGGAGGAAACTCGTGAGCTAATGTTTGGGGAATTAGTGGACATTAGCCAGGCAGAAAAAGCTGGTGGTCATTCCTGGCAAAGGAATGCAAAGGCAGGAAGGCTTAAGAGAATCTGGCACATTGCAGAACAGTAAATTCTTTCCATAGTCAGGGTGTAAGATATGGAATTTTGAATACTGAATGGAGGAGACATAAGAGACATGATGGGGAGAAAAGGCAGAAGGCAGAACACGGAGAACTTTGCACGCTATGCTAAGGACTTTGGACTTTTTCCAAGTGTAGCAAAAAAAAAAAAAGCCATTGAAGGAGTGTCTGTAACATGATCACATTTGTGTCTTAGATAACTTTAAGAATGGATTAGAGGATTGTGTAAGGCTTAGGGCCTTGGGTAGAAAAATTGCAATAGTTCATGACACCATTTTATTTCATAACTCAGTAGACATCTCAGGTGTGGCTTGAGCCACAGAAACAGAAACACAGGCCAACCTAGTCTTTTTCACATCTTTCAGAGTTGAAGGTCTAGAACCACCCAGATCTCCTCAGGCCACTCACTCATTCGCTAATTTCTTAATTCAATAGACAGCAATTTGACATTTGTTTTTCAAGTGCTAAGATCAGACTTAGAGCAAACTCTTACCATTCAGTTTTTCACAAGACAAACCCACATCCTCTAAACTAAGTCAGATTGAACAGGCTCTTCCCCCTAAGTAGTAGAGGTGTAAAGTTATCATTATGCATGTCTCTCTCTGCCCTCCACTCCCTAGCAGTTACCTTTGTGCATCCATCTTACTACCAGAATCCCACCAGGAACACCAGTCATATGGGTCTATGCAGAGTCCCTGCATTCTAGATAATTACATGTGGTGTCAGAGTGCTGAGCTACCCTTAGGCCAAAGCTCCGCAGAGATTTCTGCAGAGGGACTGCCCACTATTGTGGGAGAAGTGCTGAACAGGGTGAAAACTGCATTGACTGAAAGATGTCAGTATCTTTCCCTAGCAGACCAATTTTCAGAAAGATAAAAATTCTTGTGTGGTTTGTAGAGACATTTCAAATAAAACCCACATCGTATCCACAAAGGAAGTTATTTGTTTCAGGCTCACCCATCCAGACAAGATGAAAATTTTGCCTTCTTGCTTGCATAGATTCTTGCACTGGATTCTTCAGTGTAAGAACAGGAACCAACACATCATACCAAAATACTTTATTTTTTGCCATGCTTTTCTTTCCGGATTCTACATAGTTGCTATCTTCAATAGTCTCAATAACAAAAATTTGCTTGAGGATCTATTGTGTGCAAAGCACTCAACAGGACACAGAAAAAAAAAATGTGTGAAGAGCATTACTGTCTGTGAGATCAGTCTAACTGAGACAGGAAAAAAGGTTCATAAGAAAAAATAAATAACACATGGAATATATTATGTTTTAAGTACAAGGTACCGGTAATGATTTCACATGAGGAAGAAATTCGTCTGAATTGACAGGACAGGGAGGATTAAATTATCAGAGAGAACAATCCTGGAGGGGCTCACAGATGAATAGTATAAACACAAGGATTGGAAGATAATATTTAACATTCACACTACATTGCTAAACTGTTCTAGGCACTGTATGCATCTTAATTTATTTTATTCCTTATATCCTTATGAGATAAGTTCTAAATGATCTCTTATATTAAAGATGGGGCGAATACAGCACAGAGATTGAGTGATTTGCCCAATGTCATATGGAGCTAAGAGGCTGTTAAGCACTCTTCTATATAACACAGCATAAAACGTGTGAACAACAGGCAGGCTTCATCCAGAGGCAGTAGGAGAGAGTAGGGGTGGGCGATGGTGTGCGTGGGGCAGATGGCAAGATCTGAAGGGAGCGGGGACATGCACAGAATTGCCCCCCAAACCCTGATATTCTCAAGGTGTGTGACAGCCTGAAAGCCATTCACTTCTGAATTTTAAGAATCAGCTCATTTTATATTTAAAAACATAGGTAATTTCAAAAGTCAGAACTCAAGTGGTGCAATTTTCCATAATCACAGAGTGCAGTGTTATTGGGATTCAAGGGGAAACTGGGGTAAGTGGTATTTTGTGTATCTACAAAAATGAATATTAATATGGCCTTCAATTGTTAAAATTTACTAATTAGTATTTCTCTAGAATTAGTACTTACAGAGCTGACTGACATTTGTGTGAACATCAATTTTAATTAAAAAACAATCGTGAAGGTTATTTGGCCTCTTAATTTATCCTTTTCTCTGGAATTGTTTCTTGCTCCTTCCTCTTTCTGCCAAAAGCCAGAGACAGTAAGCAGTGACATCCTGAACAGGTCATTCCAATGCTCATCACAGTCCCACTTGGGTGGAAATGTGGAGTCAGCTCGCCTCCTCCCCACTCTAGTCAAAGGACACTGCATCTGGTTTAAGGAGAGGAGAGAAGAGTAGAGGGATGTGGCAGAATGGTGACATGGTTGGCATTTTAGGAAGGGAAATCTTTTGTAATCAAAGAATAAACCTCAGTTGAGTTGACACTATCTATTCTGGAACAAATTCACCAAACTCTTTTCCACCCCAAAACATGTTACGAAAACAATGATCTCATTTGAAGGGGCAGAGAATGGTTAGATGAAGACTTCATCAGACAAGGTTACTGAAAAGGAAAAAAAAAATAAATCAACATCTGAGTTTTGTAAGTGCCTTAAAAAAAGTTGCTGAGAGGAAAACCAATAACTCTCTCCTCTCTACTCTTCCTCTAGCTCTAATTCAAACATCACACAAAATCCACACTCTTATTTTGAGATTTCGTTTTCTTCTATAGTCTTGTTCCTCTTCCCCTTCCTGAAGTTTTTAATATTTTGAAAACTTTTCCGTCATATGACATTCATTTTCACACCTTCGACAGCTTATGTATTTCTGAGTCCTTTTAGTGAGCCCAGGTCTCCCAGACAAGCCTCACTTCAGGATAAAGTGGGGAGGCAGGTTCTTGCCAGGCATGACACAAAATGTCTTTTTTCTTATTGGTTGAACAGAGCCTTTCTACATTAGTCCCACAGTGCTGTGGAGTCCAGGAAAGGCATGATCAAGAACAGGGCCAATCAGGAGTTATAAACAATGTTCCAGACTGCTTAGAGGAGACCCCTCTATGCGGCCTCAACTCCCCAGGACCAGAGAGGGAATGTGCCTTTCCCATCCTCTCCTTGTCTCTGAATAATAGGTGATATTTATTTAAGGTACTCATACTGAAGCCTCCATTTGTAATTGTTCAGATCCCTCTGGAAATAATTTTTAAAAACATAAAATTGTACAAAGTTCCCTGGTGGAAAAAAAAACATATCAGGTACTTAATTGCTTAAAATAAATCTTTATTGAATAGATGAAAGCAATAACTTCTGGCATGCAGAGTAGAAACAGAAGCAGTATGATTCTCAGGAGAAGTGAAGTGTCAAAGGAGGACCTGGAGATCGCAAGGGAAGAGGGAGTGGTGTTGTTGGGGGAGCCCGGCACGGAGCGTGATTTGCTCCTTGGAAAGTCAGAGGTGATGGGTGTTTCTCATCTGGGCAGAGAAACAAACACAAGGAGTCAGGATCTGCGGCTTCCTGGGTGGAAACAGGGCCAGACAAGACAGTTCAGACGGGACTAGAAAAGGAAGCAGAGGGGAAGCAATTGGCAAAAGGTTTTCCAATAGTCAGAGATGGTAACAAGCTGGTCCCAGATGCTTGGACCCAAATACTTAGAGCAATAAGTTGACTTCATAAGGTAAATTGTAAACTAGACAGTGCTGAGCCATATCTAATTTATACTTTAGGTGTCCTCATGATTTTCTAGAAAAAAATTACTATAAATTTTAATTATTTTGGTTATTTTCCAGTTTTCTTCAATGTTTCTTGTTAAATTTTAATTTGAATCTCTTTTCCTAAAGCCACCTTGTAAATGAGTCTTTATTTTGAGATTTTTTTTTTCTTCCATTTATTTGCTGAATTTAATCAATACTCTTCATTTCTTCCTGGCTGGCTTTTGTTTGTTTATTTTTTGGTCCACTTGGGTTTTTGTTTTTCAATTTTTCATTCACTTCAAATACAGGTAAGTAAGGCTTGAAAGAGATGGGTATTTGTAGAAGCCACAGCCTGGCAGAGAAAGGAGCATCTGCAAAGGCACTGAGGCAGGAGCAAACCTATCTTATTTGAGCAAAATTAAGAAAATCCGCATGGCTGGATTAGAAGAGCAATGGGATTATTTTTATTATGTGTCGGGCACTGTCTTAGGGGCTTTAAAAATATTAACTCATTTTGTTCTCAAAACAACACTACGAACAGGATACGATTTTTAGCCTCATTTCACCAATGAGGAAGTGAGGCACAGACCAGTTAAGTAATTTACTCAAAAACACACAGAAAATAGAGCCACAGAATAGTCTGGTTCCATCTTTTATACTAGGAGAAGGAGGAAAAGAAAGAGGAGGAGATGGAGAGGAAAGTGGAAGGGGAAGGAGAGGAAGAGGACAGGGAAGACTAGGACAGGTGAAAGGTAACAGGGTACCTCAGCAGGTAGGTCTCACAGAGCATTTCTGGGACTCTCACTTTTACTCTGAGTGAGATGGAACATCATGGGAAGATTTTAATCAAGGAAGTGACATAATTTGATTTACATTGGAAAAGGATCCCTCTGGCTGCTGGGTTGAAAACAGACTGTAAAAGAGAAAATGATGGAAGCAGGAAGACCAGCAAGGAAGCTATTAAAGTAACACAGGGTGTCAGATCAGCTGATATTCACAAATTCGGATTTTTCATGCAAAAAAAACCTCATCTTTGTGTTTCTTTAAACATATTGGCAACTAATTCAAGCCTTTGTAAAATACTGTGACTGCTCATTAAAAGACATGTTGACAGACACCACCCCCTCACCCGTAACACACACACACACATGCGCGCCCTCTCCTCTTGCATGACTCCTCTCTCAGGGCTGAGCTGTTTTTCTGAGGGTGCCACAATGAATCAGCTGCTTAGTCATCTCTGGAGTGCGGGAGCTAGCAGAACAGCAAAGAGGCATTACAAACCCAATAGCGGGTTTCACTTCCTTGAGCAGTATTTATTCTGCTCTCTACCTCATGCTGCCCAAACTGTTGGAGAGGCCCTATCCACTCTCCCTGCCTTTTCAGCCCTTATTCTCCCAAATGCAGCCACAGAGGAGGTAAGAGAGACAATCCTGGTTGGTGGCAGACATTATCCTAGTATCATTTTTCCTGCCCCTGGAGACCTGAGATGCTGAGTTATAAATGCCCCCTTCACATTTGAAACTATATTTTGCAAGCCCTAGGAAGGCAGCTGTGCAAAGCTTGCAAGGAGGACAGAAGTGTGCAAACTTTTTTTTATCCCCTCCTTAATAAAATCATACAAATTGATGCAGGTGAACCCGCTAGCCACCAGTGGATATCTGATATCAGTCTGAAAATTTTAGACCTGATTTCTGAGGTGTGCATGAGCTTTGGCCTTTGTTTTAATAACCAAGGGCTGAGATTCTCTTTGAGAAGAAGGTCCCCTCCCATTCTCTATGCATTTTTTATTTGTATAAATTTAAAGGGTACAAGCGAAATTTCGTTACATGCATGTATTGCACAGTGGTGAAGTCATGGCTTTTACTGGATTTGTTATCTGAAAAATGTACTTTGTACCAATTAAGTAATTTCTCATAATCTCCCCACCTTCTGTGCCCCCACCCTTCCAAGTCTCTAGTGTCTATCATTCCACACTCTTTGCCCATGTGTACACATTATATAGCTCCCACTTATAAGTGAAAACATGCAGTATTTGACTTTCTGTTTCTGAGTTGTTTCACTTAAGGCAATGGCCTCCAGTTCCATCCATGTCACCGCAGAACACATTATTTCATTCTTTTTTATGGCTGAATAGTATTCCATTGTGTTTATATACCACATTTTCTTTATCCTATTATCCATTGACAGGACACTTAGGTTGATTCCATATCTTTGCTGTTGGCCACACATTTTTTTAGATGTGGTTACTACAGCAACACACTTGTCAGGTCAGCCTTGGGAAGACAGCAATAACTTCTGTCAGGATACAGAAACAAATTTATCTTCTTAGTAGCTGGCCAGATAATTTCCTAAGGGAGAAAGGGCTTTGATAGCAATGAGGTGGGTAAAAGACATAGCCTTGGTCTTAAGTGAAGAAGGAAAGTAGACGGAAGACTGGGACCAAGCACTGCAGAGGAAATGTGAAGAGTGATGGGAGTCTGGCTGGAGAAGTGGGGGAAGTCGGGGGAGGCTTAGAGAAATAGGTAGCTGCAGGAGGTGGGGGACTGAGCAGAGCATTGGGAGATGTGACTCTTTCCTATGAATCTCCAGATCACCACTAAAATTACCAAAAAATCTTTGCTGCAAAAACTGGTGAAGGGCCTTGGGTATTAAGGTTGGCCTGGGGCAGAAACAGAGTCACCTGCACAAATAAGGGAAAGGGTCAGGTCTAGGCTGAATTACTTGACACAGGCAGTTAAGTATTATACACAGAGTCAGGATGCAGTTGCAGGACAGGTATGGAGCCAGAGCTAAAGTATTTATCACTCCAAACTCAGTTCCGGGTGATTATTTCTGGCCCTCATTCAGCCTTCCTCTCTGGCTCTCTGGAGGTCTCCTTCCTAGTCTAGTATTTCTAATTCAAGACAGCAAGCACAGTTTAACAATTAAATGAGGGTTTTGTCTCACGTGAGGTAGTGAGTGTAGTTGTCAAGAATGATTTAAATCCTGACTTTGCCACTTTTACAAGTGAGTACTTGGTTAAGTCCATCGGTTTTCCAATTATGAAATGGTCTAATAGGGTTATCTATCTCACAGGGATGTTGTGAATGTTAAATAACTAACACATATAAAGTATCTAATATTATGCCTAGTACATGGCAATATTTTAGTAAATATGCCTACGTATTATTACTTAATACTGGGAGAAAAAAGGGAGTTTAGCCACAATACCAAAACTTCCTTTTCTGTTCACTGAGTATATTTTTTAAAATTTCTATTTGTAGTCATAGTTTTATTTTTTAAATGTTGTGTTATTGAGGTATAATTGACATATAATAAACTATACATACTTAAAGTATCAGTTTGATGAATTTTGAGGCTGTATCTGTATCTATCCATGAAACCATCACCACAATCAAGAGAGTGAACACATATATCATCCCCCAAAATTTCCTTGGGCCCTATCTTAGTCTTTTGGGGCTGCTATAACAAAATATCATAAACTAGGTAGCTTATAAACAACAGAAATGTATTCCTCACAGTTCTTGAGGCTGTACAAGATCAAGGCACTGGCAGATTCATTGTCTGGTGACAGCTCTCTCTCTGCTTCAAAGGTGGAGCCTTCTTGTATCCCCACAAGGTGGAAGGGGCAAATGAGCTCCCATGGGCCTATCTTATAAGGGGAACAATCTTCTTCATGAGGGCTCCTCCCTCATGACCTCATCACCTCCCAAAAGGGCCCACCTCCTAATGCCATCACCTTCGGGGGTTTGGGCTTCAGCGTATAAATTTGGGGGGAACACAAACATTCAGACCATAGGTATCCCCTTGGGAGTCCCTCCCTCCCAGTTTTCCACATCCCCCTTTACCCACTGCACTCCCAGCAAACTACCGATTTGCTTTTTGTCACTTTGATTCATTTGCATTTTCTAGAATTTTACATAAATATAATCATACTCTGTCTTCTTTTACCCAGGGTAACTATTTTAATATCCATCCATGTTGCTCCATGTATCAATTCTTCCTTTTATTGCTAAATAGTATTCCATTGAATGGATATCATCCACTTTATCTATTCACCTGTAGATAGATATTTGAGTTGTTTCCAGATGTGGGCTACTACAAATAAAGCTGTTATGAGTATTTGTGTACAAGTCTTCATGTGGTCATAGGTTTTTATTTATCTCATGTAAATACCTAGGAGAAGTGGCTAGACCCTAGAGTAGATATTTTTTAATTTTTTAAGAAGCTGCCAAAGTCTTTTCCAATGTAGTTGTGTCATTTTTACATCTCCGTAAGTAGTTCTTCCACATTTTCATTCACATCTTCATAACAAAGTTAGCCATTCTAATAGGTGTGTAGTGTTATCTCATTGGGATTTTAATTTGCATTTTCCTAATGACTAACTATATTGAGCATCTTGGCATTTGCTTACTTGTCATCTGAATATCTTCTTTTTTGTTTGTTTGTTTGTTGTTGTTGTTGTTTTTGAGAGGGAGTCTCGCTTTGTTGCCCAGGCTGGAGTGCAGTGGCAGGATCTTGGCTCACTGCAAACTCCGCCTCCCAGGTTCACGCCATTCTCCTGCCTCAGCCTCCCGACTAGCTGGGACCACAGGCGCCCACCACCACGCCCGGCTAATTTTTTTTGTATTTTTAGTAGAGACGGGGTTTCACCGTGTTAGCCAGGATGGTCTCGATCTCCTGACCTCGTGATCCGCCCGCCTCAGCCTCCCAAAGTGCTGGGATTACAGGCATGAGCCACCGCGCCTGGCCTGAATATCTTCTCCAATGAAGAGAAGTATCTGTTCAAATATCTTGCCTAGTTTTAAGAATTGGGTAGTTGGCTTTCATATTACTGACTTTTGTAAATTCTTTATGTATTCTAGATACAAGTTCTTTTTCAAATACACACTTTACAAATACTTCATCGCAGCCTGTGGCTTGTCTTTTCATTCCCTGAACAGTGTTTCTGATGAGCAGAAAATTATACTTTTTATAAAGCCCAATTTATCTTTTTTTCTCTTTTATGGATAGTGCTTTTGATATTGGGCAAAAGAAATTTTTGCCTAACAGGTACCAAAAATTTTCTCACGTCTCATCTAGAAGTTTTACAGTTTTGCTTTTACACTTAGGTCTATAATCCATCTTCATGTATTTTTAATATGGCATGAGACATAGACCAAAGTTCTTTTTTTTTGGTTTTGTTTTGCATAAATATATTCACTTATTTCAGTAGAGTTTTTTTTCAGTTTTTTAATTTGGTTAATTATGTTCATTTTTTAAAATATTAAGTCAGTACTACACTACTGGAATAAACACAATTTGGTCATAGTATATTACCCCTTTTACATATTATTGGATTCATATTGCTAAAATCTAGTTTAAAATTTTTGCATTTATATTCACGAGGGATATTATACTATAGTTTTCTCTTTTTTAATGTTTTTGTCTGGTTTTGACATCAGGTTAATAGCCTCATAGAATAAGTTGGAACTACTCTTTTAATTCTCGGAAGCATTTGAGAAGGATTGGTGCTAATTCTTCTTTAAATATTTGGTGGAATTCTCCCGTGAAGCCATATGGTCTCGCACTTTTCTTTGGGTGGTTTTTAATTACTGATTTAATCTTTTCGCTTATTACAGATATGTTCAAACTTTCTATTTTTTCTTGAGTCTGTTTTGGTAGTTTTTGACCCACTGGTTATTCAAGAGTGTGTTGTTTCATTTCCATCTACTTGTGAATTTCCTAAATTCCTATCTGCTACTGATTTCTAATAAGTTATTGATTTCTAATAAGTTATTTCATTGTCATCAAAGAATATATTTCATATGATTTTAATCACTTAAAATATACTGATCTAGATACACTCTTTAAGCCAGGCCTATATTAAGGTTGCCTCTAGCATCTGTCAATCTTTACTCCTGATGAGTTGGAGTTTCTTTTGAAGCTAAGTAGTCTTGTGTAGGCTGCATGTCGCCAGCGAGGGCTGGGATCAGCCTTCCTATATGGGTTTCTTCCTACTTAAGACCACAAATAATCCGTCTGGTACAATTTCGGGAATGCCTTTCTTTCTCTAGTTGGTGGAGCCGAAAGGCATCCCAATCCTGGGCAGATGAGTGTAGTAGGCTGACATAAATGTAATGTTTATACTTATGAGGTTACTTTGCAAAAGCTATTTTACAAAATTCCAGTGAGTGCTGGGAAGATGTGGTTAGATTTCTGATGGCAGGGCTTTTTTTCATTACAGGTTTCATTTCCCTACCTGGCATTCAGCCAATGTCCCTTTCACTGACTGCTAAAATCAGAACAATAAACCATTCCCTTCCTCAGAGGTCTCAACAAAATTCCCCCTCATAACAAGCTCATATTTCCTGGCCTCTGCCAATTCCTTAGGATGTTTCAGCATGTTTTTCCTTATTTTCTGAAGACCTTAGATACAAGGATTTATAAAAGAGTACTTTCAAATATTTTCAGGCAAGTATGATTCAGAGCTCACTTTGGAGTTATTTATCTGAGGAAATATCTAAGCCAATGAGTCGAAACCTAAGTTTAGATTGTACAAAGAGAAGAGAAGTAGAATAGGTAGACACATGGGTACATAGAATAGTCCACAGTTTCCTTTTTTTGACATGGCTGCATGATCATTGTCAGGTCAAAGAACTCTTAGAGGTTTTTTCACTGCTTATAAACAGGAAAATTAAATAGAGCTTCTAAGTATACTGTGATATTCGCCACAAATAAAAATATCCCATTTTTCTTTCATTGCTTCTCCTTGGGCCTTGCCAACAGGCAAAGGGGGATGTCTTACTCATGACTGTGTTTGACGTACAGCACATCCCTGACTCAATGAACTGAGAATACTAATTAAATATTTTCTTTAAAAAGTTAAACTTCAGGCTGGGTGCAGTGGCTCATGCCTGTAATCCCATCACTTTGGGAGGCTGAGGCCAGTCATCACCTGAGGAAGGAGTTCGAGACCAGCCTGGACAACACGGTGAAACCCCGTCTCTACCAAAAATACAAAAACTAGCTGTGCATGATGGCAGGAGCCTGTAATCCCAGCTACTCGGGAGGCTGAGGCAGGAGAATTCCTTGAATCTAGGAGACGGGGGTTGCATTGAGCTGAGATTACACCATTGCACTCCAGCCTGGGCAACAAGAGCACTTTGGGAGGCTGAAGTGGGTGGATCAGCTGAAGTTAGGAGTTTGAGACCAGCCTGACCAACATGATGAAACCTCATCTCTACTAAAAATACAAAAATTTAGCCGGGCGTGATGGCGGGCGCCTGTAAACCCAGCTACTCAGGAGGCTGAAGTAGGAGAATCGCTTGAACCCAAGAGGAGGAGGTTGCAGTGAGCCAAGATTGAACCACTGCACTCCAGCCTGGGTGACAGAGTGAGACTATCTCAAAAAACAAACAACAACAAAAAACAAAACAAAGCAAAACAAAAGTTTAACTTTGTATTAAATCTCAAGTTAAGGGAATTAACATCTAGTCGCAAGAAGGAGTTAAATAACCTGGAACAGAAATTATAAAAACACAAATCTCTAAACCTGTGTATGGACTACTGTTTATTACTAAATTCAGCTGTTGCAATCGCCATTTAATTCAAAGTAACTCTAGTTGGAACTGTAAGACATAAGAACAAACTTCACCCTGACTTCTTTCCTAGAATCAGGAATTGTTTTTTTCTACCTGAGCTAAAAGGCTGAGGCATCTTGATTCCTTAGTGACTCTAAATAGCCCTAAGTCATAACTTTTAATAACAGTTTTCTTCCCTGATTGCCTAAAAAGACAAATACGATAGGGACTCAAATTATGTTTATAATTATGAAAACATTTATCTGTTTTCTCTTTTCCTTTACTGATATGATGTGTGGGCCCTAGATATTTTTGTTAAAGCTGTCTTAGCACTTTGATTTTACCAGGGCCAGGCCTTTTTTCTTTCAGATTATTTAAAAACATATTTCAACTTAATAAAACAATGTTAAGCAAAGTTGTATAGTAGTTTTCTCACATACACATTTGTGGGTTGTCTGCCGTGTAGCTTATTTAAAACAAATGTTTGCTACCAGATTAGATGTCCCCCACCCCCAACCCTTCATAGCCCACCTTTACTTAACGTATCCTGGAGGGTAAACATATTGCTAAAGAAAATATAATACATTCTGAATACAATGGAAAATATTTTATTAACTCTTTGTGATTCATTCTTAGCAATGTTCCAATGAGTCCATTGACTCATAAAATTGAGAACTTTTAAATTATTAGTCAAATATTCACTCCCCTCCTTTTCATTTATACCAGTAGTGGGTGTAATCCTTATCCTATATTCTCCATGAATATTTCTCAGATATAGTTATAAGGGTGATCCTCCATAGTCCCATGGATTTACCTCTGATTTTGTGTCTTACCTGAGAACAAATCCTAATTTCCAGTCCATTTGTCCTTGAGAGAGAAGACACAGCTTTCACATCGTCCTCTATGCACCTTTTTATTTCTGGGAGAAACACCACACTGTCCTGTTTTCCATGTGTTTTAACACTTTGAGTGTTTGAATGAGTCTAGGGAGGTATATCTACCCCCACTCCAATTGCCCGCCAAAATTATATCTCAGTGTTTAAAGTTCCCAGTGTATAAAGTTCCACCATTGAAAATTAAGTCCCAAGAGTGTAGGTTGTCTACCTCCAGGGGTTTTCCTCTAAACGCAAGTATCCTTGGGAGGGGCGACCTATTAAACAATAGTGTATCAGAAGGAGTTATTTATTTCTTATATGATGACTCAGGACATGTGGACAGAATTTGACAGGAGAGTGGGATGAAAAAAACAGAATTAGAGAACACTGGTCTAGGACAAAATCCTAAGAGGGAGATCAGATTTGTGGCTCCAGTTAGGAACAGTTTTGGGGTACTCTAGAACTCCACTGGGAGAGGGAGGCAGACTGTTAGAGGAGCACAGAGCCAGAATCAGGAACCAGTGGCAAATACTGCCTATTTCACAATGATGGGCAGAGCTAGAGCCTGGTGAATGTGTATTTTATAATCCCCCAAGTCAATTGGAGATTATTCTGTCAGATGAGGCCACTTGTGCCTCCAAACAATTCAGTATGGCCAGTCACATGATGTGGATGCTAGCAAAGTAATAGAAGCATCAGGATAAAACAGGAGTCAAGATCCATCACACATTCCATAGGATCCTCTGTAGATTCCCATCTGGAAGCCCTGGAGTATGGCAGGAATATTTTCCAAAGTATTATGAAATTTCCATTAAGCAGGGTGGGATTATTTTGCCAGAGATTTTTTTTTTAAGACATTTTCACATGGGAAACCATGTCTGAAGATCGTAGAGAAGAGTCAGGGGATACTTTTAACTTCAGATTAAATATGTATAACCTTGGAACCCACAGCTTCCCACACAGGCTTTCAGATAGGCAGAGTGAGTAGATTTAGAAACATATACACAAATATGCATAAATAAATACACATATATATACATTGTGGCTATATTCTACATAGGACAAGATAATTTACAGAACATATATCATTATAGATGCCATGTAGACTCCTAAACTACTTTTAAGTAAAAACAAGCTATTCTTAACAAAAATGATCAAGAAAAAAGTAAAAATCTGTTTTTGTCTGTGATTAAGTCTGTGTAGGTCTTATAATTGTAAGCCCCAAAACTATCTCCTGTTCTTGAAGTAGGATCTATGAAGGTATCCCCAAGGCCAAATGACCAGAAGTTAAGGATGGAAAACCATGAGGAGACAGACAGCATCTGGACACAGGCCCACTACAATAAACAGACTCATACATTGCGCCCCACCCATCTCACTCTTCTAATTCCAGAGTCACTAATACGGCATCTGGTGTTCATAACAAAGCAACCTAGCACAGGGATTGGAGAACGGATACAGCCAGCGTTGAACAGCTCCTGCCCTCTGTCTCTGCCTCAGCAACAGTTTTGGTCAGAGGAAGCTGAGCTCTAACCAGATGTCGTTGTGAAGCCTCATCTTTCACCATCTCTCTCGCCGTACAACTTTGAGAAGTCCTTAATCCAGCTCAGTCTCAGCCTCTTCATATACAAAACAAGATAATTGGCCCGGGTGGTCCTAATGTTTTTCTAAACTCTTAGAGTTGAAGATCTTAGCATTGGAAACAATCACCATGAACTTACAATGTGAAATGTTGAATAATGGATATAAAATAGAGACTACTAAAATAGTAGGAAAAATAGAGTCATAAAGTGAAAAACTGGGTTTTTTAAAATGGATTTTAGAAACAAAATGAAATAAATTAATGACAAAGTTATGTTTTGCAACCCAAATGAGCTTAGCTAGCTCACATCTCTTTCCACAGTAGCCAATTATCTTTACTTTGCAACACTTCCATCTAGTTGAATTGGTCAACTCAGTTATTAGTCAGTGATCTGAGAGAGAGAAAACTTTCCTGGGGGGATTACTGTTCTATTCCTATGGATTCATGGCTGTTTTGATACTTAACTTTAGTCAGATACCAAAGAACATCTGGTGTTTCATAAAATGTCACCTTCGAATAGAAATTTGGCAATCACGTGCTGAGTTCTGGAAAATGACATACTGTCTAACCAGAATCCATGTGTGGGCTCCTGTAATAGATCTGAAAAGAAAGTAACTTGGTCTAATTTGCCCAAAAACGCTGACTGTGGGCTGCACTCTAAGGTGACTTTTCTGAGTGGACACATTCTCCAGCACCATTTCTAACATAACCAGTCCACAGATACCAGCTGGCACGTGGAGTAGCCAGCCTGGTCAGGGAGGAAATGGTAAAAACAAAGGGATAGAGGAATTCCAGAGACAGAGAGCATTAGTGCTGGTTGAGCATTGTGGATTAGTTCTTGTCATTCAAATATAAAGCATGGTCAACTGCATCAAAGGAAAGAAAAGACTGATGCTGTTTTATCTGTCTTTACATTCTCCCTTTTATTCTGGGACAAGTATTTGGAGTTTCTTAAGCCCTAGAGCTAGACTGGAGCCCTTCAGCTCCGTACTCTACCACTTAGTTATTATGAACACTTGGGTGGATTACTGATCCTCTCTGTGCCTTGGTTGCCTCTTTTGTAAAATGGAAATAAAAATGCTTTCTATCTCATAGAGTTGCTTTGAGAATTTAAGGACTTAATATACATTAATTTTTAAAAAGATTAGTGCCCAACACAGAGTAAGCACTGTGTAAGAATTTATTATTATGCTAATCTTCAAAAGGGAGAATCAGTGGATAAAATTTTAAAAATTTTTGGTAGAGTGCTTGAAAGATGGTCAGATTTAGACTTTATTTCCTTGGAGCAGTCTTAATCCTTTACCACCTGGACTTCATCTGATTCTTTCTGCCACCTGCTTCTTTATGGGGGAAAAAAAGAGGCAGAGGGTTCTCAGACTAGAAACAAATTATTACTGTTGCTGAGGTTCCTCTTCTTTTCCACCCTTGGGTCTGCTCAGGAAAGAAAGCAATTTGTAGGTCTGAAATTAACGTTTTCCTTCTCTTACTGGGCTTCACTGCCTGAAACAATGTTAGAACTGTCTCATGCTTCCCAGTGAAGATGGGTTTCGTCCTGCAAGCCAGACAGGCTTGCAGGCTATGTCTGACTAGGGATTGACAGCAATTATGTCACTGCTGAGCCACAAACCAAACAAAACTTAGGGCTTTGGAATTTAGACAATAGCTGAATTACAAGGGTACTGTCCCAGAAGGGACCGTGCTTATGTTTTGCAGACCTGGACAATAAAATGGCTGTGTCTTTCAAAATAATTGCCCAGGTCTTTGTTTTACTGAGGTGTGCCTTTGCCTTGACAACAGAGAATTTCCAACATGGGGAGAAAGCAGGTTCCCTATCATAATCTTCAGGATAGCTTGATTGACTATAATTTCCAATCTTTCGAATCTGCAGGACACCAGCAAGCACTGACTTCACCATGCTGGGAAAAAACATATTGGTCCAGAGAGGAGGATGTTGTTTTGATTGGCAACTCAGCCAAACAGGGAGATCATTGCAAATTCAGATGGGTGGAGGGTTTCTCAGAAATGCTTAGTAATGGCCAGAGGATATGCCATGGTCTGAGATAGATGCTTAGCCAAAGATAATGTCCCACAGGAGGCTAGTTGGTTTCAAGTAAAACAGGTCCAGGTCTAATAGCCCAGGACCAGCCCTAGGCTCCAAATGGTAAAGGGAGACTCAATGGCCCCCAAAGCATTCTGAACACTCCAAAATCCCCTTTTTCTGGGATGCTTATTATGTCCAGAGGGGAAAAAAGACTAATAAAACCAATTCTCATTAAGATGTTTAGGCCTGAATGTGACTCTTCTTCCATATTCTAGAGTTATTTAGTTTTTGAAAGAGAACTGTAAAAGAAAGTGATAAATCACCTCCCAGGGTAAATTCCAAAGGTAGAATTCCAGGACGTGTGTAATCCATCATATTATCATCACCTATGTCACCACCTTCTTCTCACTCACAAGGCTAATCCTGAAGCACTTTCCTGAACAAACAGTTCAATTCTATAAACATTTAAGGGTGATAATGTGCAAGGATCTGTGATTCTAAACCAGTGGAATGCAGCACAGAAGTTAAGGGGCCTGGGGCAGGAGTTAGACACTGGATAAAATCCTAGCTTCACCTCTTACAGGCTTTATGAGTTCCAGCCTCTTGACTTTCAATTTACAAAACAGAACTGATAAATTTACCTCTTTACAAGGCTGCGGTGGGGATTTGGTAAGATGAAGGTTTTTGCACAGTGCCTGGCATATAGTAAGGGCTCAGTAGATGTTACTTGTATGTAGTATTAAGTAGAACTCAAGCACATACAAGAGCAGGTTCTTCAAAGCTCAGCTGATGACTACCTCATTGACCACTGAAGTCCTAGCAGCTAGCACAGGATGAATACTCAATAAATATTTGTTAAGTGAATAAAGTTACAAGTTTTTTCCCTGTTTCATTTGCCCACCAGTCCATAACCTTCATCCCTTGCTTCCTCTATCACAAAGGAACTTTGATAGAGTCAGAGGAAAGAGTATCATGAGTAGGTGAAGTTGGCTATGCTAACAGGACTGGTCAAAACTAAAAAAAAGCAAGAGCCCAGTGGGAAGACGGCAGCCTAGAGGAACCAGACATCTGGGAAGGTCACAACTAGGAACCAGGAAGGGGGAGAGACTGAATAAAAGGGCAGGTCCAGGGCATGCGGATTCTGTGTGCTTTTTTTTCCAAGGACTGGCTATGCTGGGAATTGCAGCAAGCTGAATCCATCAAAGTTGAAATATAAAAGCTTCTTTCAAGTTTTGCCAGGAACTGTCTGTGTGTGACTCATTCCAGGTAGGATGTAAAAGACCATGCTCAATAACCAGACACATATGTATTTATTGTGCTCCACCCTTTTCTCCCTGATTCCTTTCTCCCTCTCCTTCCAGGATTTCCTCCTGTTTGCAAGTTTGATGGGAATGGAGAAGGCTGGGAAGCTCTGCTTCTTTACATTTTTAAACTTGAGGCAACAATCTGCTTTTATAAGCATCAGTAAAACCAGAGTGCTGTCCCCTCATTTCTGTAAAATTAGATTCAGTTTTTGTTTCAAATAAAATAAATGGTGTGCACTCAGACTGCTGAATGCAGAAAGATTGTTAATCACAAACTTATCAGCTGTTAGTCTTAGGTCTAGAGTTTCCCTCACTCTAGTCAACCTTTTTGATGTGCTGTGTTCTAACCTCTTCTTACCAGGAATGTTCATCAAGGGGAACATTTCTAGCCTTCGGTTTTAAAGCCCCTAGCTCACCAGCTCACCACCTTATTGAGGAAGAGAAAGTATCATATGGAATTATGTTTTCAGTCTTGCAGACAGTGGTTGGAGATTGCAAGGCCAACCTGAAGTAGGTGTGGTTTTTTGTTTTGTTTTCAGCTAAAATTGCTTGTTGGTATTGGCAGGAGGCTTAGTAGAAAAGGAGGGGAGAATTTGTCCCTGGCAGTTTTTAAATCCACAAAAAGCCAGCATTTGCTTTGCAAGCACATATCTCCTAAGTTTTGTGGGCTCCTGCCCACAGTAGGCAAGCAGTTTACTCTTTGTCTGCAGCAACTCACCATACTTCAAGACTCCTTCGATGTTGATTCCCCATTTGGTTCAAGCTCTCTGACCTACAGCAATTTTACTACTACATCAGCGCTGAGAGTAGACAGCAACAAAGACATCAAAAGACCCTTGGCTTATTTTTACACCCTATTGCTCAGCCTTTGTTGTTACTGCATTAGTGATTTTCCTGCTTTCATTTTGTGGCTTTCTACTTCTGTAGCTATTCTTTCTTCAGCTCTTTTAATAAACATTATTCATACTTTCCTTTCCTACTTTTTAAAAATTCTAATTGTCCCAGCTCAGTAGCGGCCTTGCCAGACACAGGCCCAGTGGAGCAGGCACCAAAGCTAGGAATGCAGGGCAAGCTGAATCCAGAGGTCACAGGGGCACAGGAAAATCCCAGGACACAAAGGCCCCAGTGCAGGTTGCACAGGAGAGGCAAGTGACTAAGTTAGACACAAAATATAGACTAGGTGCTGATGCCAGGAACAAATAGCATAAAAAGTCAAAACTAAAGCCAGAATTCAAAGCAGGAGCACTGCGAACCATGGCTCCAATTTCAGAGGTAAATTAGCAAGGAATGGCCTTTTAACCACTAGAATAACTACCATTGCTGGAATATTGACCATAGACCGGAAACTGCATGATCCCTTACATTGAAACTCTGCATGGGTTAGTCGCCATGATCCCTCATGTGCAGAGGAAGAAACTGAGGCTCAGAAGTGGAATTATTTGGCCACACCACACTTTAGACCTAGGTGTGTATGACTATAAGCCATCCTCTTCCCATGAGTCTCACTGCTACTGGGTAAGCTTTTGGTGTTCTATGTCTGGCTACCTCTTCTTTTTTTTAAAACAAACAAACAAACAAATAAAAAACTCTTTTATTTTAGATTCAGGAATACAAGTGCAGGCGTGTTATATAGATAAACTCGTGTCACGGGGGTTTGATGTACAGATTATTTTGTCACCCAGGTACTAAGCCTAATAACCAATAGGTATTATTTCTGCTCCTCTCCATCCTCCCATCCTCTGGTAGGCCCCAGAGTCTGTTGTTCCCCTCTTTGTGTCCATGTGTTCTCATAATTTAGCTCCCACTTGTAAGTGAGAACATGCTATATTTGGTTTTCTGATCTTGTGTTCGTTTGCTAAGGATAATGACCTTCAGCTTCATCCATGCCCCTGCAAAGGACATGGTCACATTCTTTTTTATAGCTGCATAGTATTCTACAGTGTATATGTACCACATTTTCTTCATTCAGTCTATCATTAATGGGCATTTGGGTTTATTCCATGTCTTTGCTATTGGGAATAGTGCCAAAATGAACATATGTGTGCATGTGTCTTTATAAAAGAATAATTTATATTCCTTTGGGTGTATACCCAGTAATGGGATTGTGGGGTCAAATGGTATTTCTGTTTTTACGTCTTTGAGGAATCGCCACACTGTCTTCCACAATGGCTGAACTAATTTACACTCCCACTAATAGTGTATAGTGTCCCTTTTTCTCCACAACCTCACCACCAGAGTCTATTTTTTTTTATTTTTTAATAATAGCTATTCTGACTGGTGTTAGCTGGTATCTCACTGAGGTTTTGATTGGCATTTCTCTAATGATCAATGATATTGAGCTTTTTTTCATATGATTGTTGGCTGCATGTATGTCTTCTTTTGAAAAGTGTCTGTTTATGTCCTTTGCCTACTTCTTAATGGGTTTTTTTTCCTTATAAATTTCTTTAAGTTCCTTATGGATGGTAAATATTAGACCTTTGTCAGATGCATACTTTGCAAAAATTTTCTCTCACAATGTAGGTTGTCTGTTTACCCTGTTGATAGTTTCTTTTGCTGTGCAGAAAGTCTTTAGTTTAATTGGATCCCATTGGTCAATTTTTGCTTTTGTTGCAATTGCTCCGGGTGTCTTTGTCATGAAATCTTTGCCAGTTCCTATGTCCTGAATGGTATCGCCTAGGTGGTCTTCCAGGGTTTTCATAGTTTTAGGTTTTACATTTAAGTCTTTAATCCATCTTGAGTTAATTTTTGTATATGCTATAGGGAAGGGATCCACTTTTAATCTTTCACTTGTGGCTAGCCAGTTATCCCAGCACCATTTATTGAATAGGGAATCCTTTCCCTATTGCTTATTTTTTGTCAGGTTTGTTTAAGATCAGATAGTTGTATGTGTGCAGTCTTATTTCTGGGTTCTCTATTCTGTTGCATTGGTCTATGTGTCTGTTCTTCTACCAGTAACATGCTGTTTTGGTTGCTGTAGCCCTGTAATATAGTTTAAAGTCAAGTAGTGTGATGCCTCCAACTTTGTTCTTTTGCTAGGATTGCTTTGGCTGTTCAGGCTCTTTTTTGGTTTCATATGAATTTTACAGTAATTTTTCCTAGTTTGTGAAGAATATCAATGGTAGTTTAATAGTAGTAGTATTGAATCCATAAATTGTTTTGGGCAGTATGGCCATTTTAATGATATTGATTCTTCCTATCCATGGGCATGGAATGTTTTCCATTTGTTGTCTCTCTGATTTCTTTGAGCAGTGGTTTGTAGTTCTCCTTGTAGAGATATTTCACCTCCCTAGTTAGCTGTATTTCTAGGTATTTTATTCTTTTGTGGCAATTGTGAATGGGAGTTCATTCCTGATTTGGCTCTCATCTTAACTGTTGTTGGTGTCTACAAATGCAGTGATTTTTGCACATTGATTTTGTATCCTGAAGTTTTGCCAAAGTTGTTTATCTGCTTAAATAGCTTTGGGAAAGCAATTGAGGGATCATGATGGCAGGCGGGAAGCAAGACTAGATTGCAGCTCTGACTCAGATGGACAGAGAAGCGTGTGGAGGTTTGCATCATGAATTTTAGCTCCAGAATGACTGAAGAACAAACGAGGAATCCCTAGAGGACCCACAGACCCTCTGAAGGAAGTGGACTGCTCCTGCAGGACCCAGGAGACACCTCAAATACTGTGAGTGACCACACTGTGGAAGTGGGAAAGGGAGATCCTCTGATCCCGAACACACCTCCCCACTGGGGAAACTGAAGGTCTAGTTTGCAGGAGAAGTTTCTGACCTTAGCTGGAACTGAGTCAATTTAGAGAGGTAAGCAAAATACAGGAGTAAAAGAAGCAGTGAGAAAGGCCCTGGGAGCTCACTGGGTCCCCAAGCAAGCCATTCCTACCTGGCATCACAGGGATCCTTTTGGAGGGTGACCAGAGGAGAAGGGAGTAAAACTACGCAGGGAGAAGCAAATCCCTAGCTGAACTTTGTAACAATTTGAACTAGGGTGAGAAGCCTCCTGGCCAGAACTGGGGGGAGGGTGCAAATCCGGTATGCAGGCTTCACAGGCTGGGGAAGAACCAAGCCCTTTTCTTTTGCAGCTGGGAGGTGGGTACCCTGGGGCAAGTTCTCAAGCCTTCGCTGCCCGCAGTCTGGAAACAGACTCAGCACTGTTGGGGGAGCACGGTGGGAGTGAGACCGGCCTTTTAGATTGCATGGGAGCCAGGTGAGGCCTGTGACTGCAGGCTTTCCCCCACTTCCCTGACAACCTGCATGACTTGGCACAGCAGCCATAATCCTCCTAGGTACACAATTCCATTGACCTGGGAACCTCACCCCCATCCCCCACAGCAGCTGCAGCAAGACCAGCCCAAGGAAAGTCTGAGCTCAGACACTCCTAGCCCTGCCCCCACCTGATGGGCCTTCCCTACCCTCCCTGGTAGCTAAAGACAAAGGGCATATACTCTTGGGAGTTCTAGGGCCCCACCCACCACCAGTTCCTCTCCATACTACCACAGTTGATACTCTCTGGAAAGCGCCACCTCCCAGCAGGAGGCCAACCAGCACAAAAATAGAACATTAAACCACCAAATCTAAGAACCCTCACAGAGTCCATTACACCCCCCTGCCACCTCCACCAGCACAAGTGCTGGTATCCATGGCTGAGAGACCCATAGATGGTTCACCTCACAGGACTCTATGCAGACAACCTCCTGTACCAGCCTGGAGCCAGATAGACTTGGTGGGTGGCTAGACCCAGAAGAGAGATAACAGTCACTACAGCTCCACTCTCAGGAAGCCACATCCATAGGAAAAGAGAGAGTACTACATCAAGGGAACACCCTGTGGAACAAAAGAATCTGAAGAACAGCCTTCAGCCCTAGACATTCCCTCTGACAGAGCCTACCCAAATGAGAAGAAACCAGAAAACCAACTCTGGTAATATTACAGCACAAGGCTCTTTAACACCCTCCAAAAAATCACACTAGCTCACCAGCAACGGATCCAAACTCTGTATGTCAGAGCTAAAAGTGGGAGATGCAGTCACTCAACTATGAAATTTAAATACAATGGGAATAATTGGATCCAAAGGTGGCAAAGGCCAAGTGGCAGCACTCAACTGTCAAAGGCAAGGTGGGCATAGTTACTGTAATGGGCAGCAGAGACAAAGTGGCAATCAGAATAGTATGACTTGTGTAGAGTTCTGGCATTGGCTAATTAATCACGGTGTTCCTAGAAGTGAAATTGATAGGAAGCCTACTGCATTCCTACTTAAATTATACAAACAAACAACTTCTAGATTGAATGGATGAAAGACTAATTTGAATTATAAAAACAGAGAATCATGGCCTCTCAATCAATTTCCAGACTTGAGCCAGTTTTCAGACCCAGAACCCCTTGAATGAAGGGGAGGCCTGGTCCCCTTGAGGAAGGATCCACTACATTGCTGACATTTATGCAGTGAATCTTTCTCCCATCCTTCCCTAAGGAGACCTCTGGCCTTTTATCAGGGTAACTGCATTGCGGAAAGGGAAATGATCAGACATTTGGGGACTATTGGACACTGGCTCTGAGCTGACTTTGATTCCAGGGAACCCAAAACCTCACTGTGGTCTTCCAGTTAAGGTAGAGGCTTATGGAAGTCAGGTAATTAATGGAGTTTTAGCTCAGGTCTGACTTACAGTGGGTCCAGTGGGTCCCCAGACTCATCCTGTGGTCATTTCCCCAGTTTCAGAAAGCATAATTGGCATAGAAATACTCAGCAGCTGGCAGAACCCCCACATTGGCTCCCTGACTGGCAAGGTGAGGGTTATTATGGTGGGAAAGGCCAAATGGAAACCATTAGAGCTGCCTCTACATATAAAAATAGTAAATCAAAAACAATATCACATCCCTGAAGGAGTTACGGTGATTAGTGCCACCATCAAGGAGACTTGAAAGACGCACAAGTGGTGATTCCCACCACATCCCTGTACAACTTTCCCATTTGGCCTGTGCAGAAGACAGGTGGATTTTGGAGAATGACAGTGGATGACTGTAAGCTTAACCAAGTAGTGACTCCAATTGCAGCTGCTGTACCAGATGTGGTTTCATTGCTTGAGCAAATTAACACATCTCCTGGTAACTGGTATGCAGCCATTGACTTGGCAAATGCCTTCTTCTCCATTCCTGTCTGTAAGGCCCACCAGAAGCAATTTGTCTTCAGCTGGCAAGGCCAGCAATATACCTTTACTGTCCTACCTCAGGGGTATATGAACTTTCTGGCTTTGTGTCATAATCATATTCAGAGAGGTTTTTTTTTTAAGGTAGAACCTAGCATTTTATTTAGATCTTCATTAAACTGTTGGAATTGAGAACCAGACATACGTAATAAACCTCCAAAAATAGATCCTGAAAGGCACTTTCTGCTTAGGGCAAGCAGTCATGGAATAAGCATGTAAACAAGCTGGCTTCTCTGTACCACACCAGCCAAGTCAGCTTTCTCCACGGCCAGCTGCACCAGCTCTGCCCTTCCTTCTGTTAACACCAGCCAGATCCCCTGTAGGTCTAACCCAAGGTTTTTCTGTAGGACACCTTGGCCTACCTGGGAATGCTGGAAACATGTTGTTAAAGGAATCATGGTGTTGAGAGAAAAAAGAAATCTTTTAAAAGCTGCCATCTGAGGTGATGGCTTCTCTGTACTTACGCCATACCCCAGAATACAATAAGCAATTAGAAAATGTTCAAGTATGAAGGGATTTCCTCCTCCCCACCAAAAACACTGCTCTCTGAAGGAAGCTGGTTTCTCTGTAGCTACACCAGCTGTTCAGAAAGCTCATTGGACCTGGTTTTGAAAATAAAACAAAGTTAAAACACTGGGAGGAGTTATTGTGCAGTGTGGAGTACTCAGGCTTTCTTATAAAGAAAAAAAAAGTTATCTGGTACCAAAGTGTGTAACCTACAGACCCTCAGGTACTGCCCTGTGACTTCTCTGTATGATATCACAAGGCTGCCAAGTGCCTGTTTTTCTAGAACTAGGAGTTGGTGACGTTTGGCTACTGCTGAAACCATGCATAGGATTGGTTTACTAAATTAAAACCTTATTACCTACATCCTCCAAAAGACAGTTGGAAGTGGAGAGATTTTGATTTGGTACTGTTAGAGGTGGCAATGAAGAGCATAAGCACCAGGGAGATGGTTTAATGGTAACTGCCTTTTTTGATGTTAGGCTGCAGCTCCAACTGGGAACTTGCGTTACATGCAAGATTGATTGGATAGGGAACACTCCCTGACAAAGAGCTACATAATTAGAAATGGATCAAGTTACAGGGAGGATAAGGGGAAGGCTTCACATTCATAATAGAGCTCAAGACATTACAAATTCATGCTGACAGGGCTGTGGCATTGCCAGACAGAGGCTATAAGTGGAACTACAAGTACTTTACGTGCGTATTACAAGGACATTTTCAGCATCTGGTGGGAAAGTCAATGCAATTATGACTTTGGAGCATTGGGTGATAGGGCACAAAGGTTCAATTTCAAAGCATTATTTACTACAGTGTTGTTTCTAGGCAGTTACATGGATCACCTATGCTCACTAAATTCATTATAATGGTGAACAAAACACCTAGGGACAGAATAGCAAGCCCAACTTACAGTCCCCCACAAAAGCTAAAATTCATGTCATTGACTAGAGTGACTGCAACGGATCAGGAGCTGAAAGAGGACAGGAAAATTTAGGAAGGAGGGCCCTTTCCCTCAGAGCTTGAAGGCTTCTCTGTATCCTATGCCAACAAGTCTGGGGAGAAAAGGCTAACACTTTCAATATTTAAGCTTTTTGGGCACTTCCCATGGGAAGCTGTCCCTACCAAAGTGGCCATAGGCTACAGTCCTCTGATAAATTGGCTTCTTCAGATCCAGATCCCTGGAATAGACAAGTCCGTAACTTAATATGTAGCATTAAATTAAAATAAAGCAAAACAATCAGCAAGACTCATTTTCAAGAGCTCTGGCAAATGAGTTCTCTGGGATATGCTAGGAAAAATATTTGTGGCAAAAGTGTTACTTCCCTGGTGTCCAAACTCCTTGCACAGTCCTTATTAGTAACTATAGTTATTTTTCCATCCCTGGCTCAACAAATACGAAAACTTGTCATTATTCTGAGAAATTTCAATTGTCAAAAAGCTCATCTGAGATCACAGAATACTTACCAAGGTCCCACCGCCCACACCCTACCATGGTTTTTACATTGTAACAAACCTTGAGCATCCCGTTTTATCTCTATTTTCTCAACACTCTTAGGTAAGAAGAGCACAAAGCTCAAATATCAAATCTGGAAGATTCTCTAGAGTCGTTAGCCTAAGCCATGGAGCACCGTAATTTTAAATTTCTCAAATAACTAAGTCTTCACCAAGGTAGTAGTTCAAAACTGTTCTAGGAATTAAAATATATTCCCATTTGAGGAGTCTTCCTTCACACCTTCACCTCCTCAGCCTTAAGTATATATACACACACCCATACCCTCAATACTTGACTAGCAATAGGCTTTACCATCTTTACCTGACAATGACCCCAGGGCGGAGATAGAAATTATTCTTCACAATCTCTAATAGCTTTCTCAGAGAGATTTTGATCACTTTTTGCTTTGGCAAGATATCACACTGGTCCATTACATTGATGACATTATGCTGATTGGATCCAGTGAGCAAGAAGTAGCAAACACACTGGACTTATTGGTGAGACATTTGCATGCCAGAGGTTGGGAAATAAATCTGACTAAAATTCAGTGACCTTCTACCTCAGTAAAATTTCTAGGGGTCCACTGGTGTGGGGTCTGTTGAGATATTCCTTCTAAGATAAAGGATACATTGCTGCATTTGATCCCTCCTACAACCAAGAAAGAGACACAATACCTAGTGAGCCTATTTAGATTTTGGAGACAACACATTCCTCATTTGGGTGTGTTATTCCAGCCCATTTATCAAGTGACCCGAAATGCTGCCAATTTTGAGAGGGATTCCAGAACAGGAGGAGACTCTGCAAGAGGTCTAGGCTGCTGTGCAAGATGCTCTGCCACTTGGGGCATATGATCCAGGAGATCCAATGGTGCTTGAGGTGTCAGTGGCAGATATGGATGCTGTTTGGAGCCTTTGGCAGGCTCCCATAGGTGAATCACAGCAGAGGCCTCTAGGATTTTGAGCAAGCCCCTTCCATCTTCTGCAGATAACTACTCTCCTTTTGAGAGAGCTCTTGGCCTGCTACTGGGCTTTGGTGGAAACTGAACGTTTGACTATGGGCCATCAAGTCACCATGCAACCTGAATTGCCTTTCATGAACTGGGTGCTTTCTAACCCATCTAGACATAAAGTAGGTCATGCACAGCAGCATTCCATCATCAAATGAAAGTGGTATATATGTGATCAGGCTCGAGCAGGTCCTGAAGGCACAAGTAAGTTACATGAGGAAGTGACTCAAAAGCCCATGGTCTTCACTCCTTCCCCCCTGCCTTCTCTCCCCCAGCCTGCACTGATGGCCTCATAAGGAGTTCCCTATGATAAGTTGACAGAGGGAGAGAAGACTAGGGCCTGGTTCACAGATGGTTCTGCACGATATGCAGGCACCACCCAAAAGTGAAGAGCTGCAGCCCTATAGCCCCTTTCTAGGACATCCCTGAAGGACAGCAGTGAAGGGAAATCTTCCCAGTGGGCAGAATTTTGAGCAATGTACCTGGTTGTGCACTTTGCATGGAAGAAGAAATGGCCAGAGGTGTGATTATATACTGATTCATGGGCTGTAGCCAATGGTTTGGCTGGATGGTCAGGGAATTGGAAGAAGCATGATTGGAAAATTGGTGACAAAGAAATTTGGGGAAGAAGTATGTGAATGGACCTCTGTCAGTGGTCAAAAACTGAAGATATTTGTATCCCATATGAGTGCTTACCAATGGGTGACCTCACTGAAGGAGGAGTTTAATAATCAAATGGATAGGATGGCCTGTTCTGTGGACACCACTCAGCCTCTTTCCCCAGCCGCCCCTGTCATTGCCCAGTGGGCCCATGAACAAAGTGGCCATAGTGGCAGGGATGGAGGTTACACATGGGCTCAGCAACATGGACTTCCACTCACCAAGGCTGACCTGGCTGCAGCCACTGCTGAGAACCCAATTTGCCAGCAGCAGAGACCAACACTGAGCCCTCAATATGGCACCATTCCTCGGGGTGATCAGCCAGCTACCTGGTGGCTGGTTGATTATATTGGACCTCTTCCATCATGGAAAGGGCAGAGGTTTGTCCTCACCAGAATAGACACTTACTCTGGATATGGGTTTGCCTATCCTCCACGCAGTGCTTCAGCCAGGACTACCAACTGTGGGCTCACGGAATGCCTTATCCACCACTGTGGTATTCCACACAGCATTGCCTCTGACCAAGACACTCATTGCATTTGGCAGTAGACTCATGCTCATAGAATTCACTGGTCTCACCATGTTCCCCATCATCCTGAGCAGCAGGATTGATAGCTGGAATGGGCTTTTGAAGTCATAATTACAATGCCAACTAGGAGACAATACTTTGCAGGGCTGGGGCAAAGTCCTCCAGAAGGCTGTGTATGCTCTGAATCAGTGTCTAATATGTGATACTGTTCCTCCCATAACCAGGATTTATGGGTCCAGGAATGAAGGGGTGGAAGTGGAAGTGGCACCACTCACCATTACCCCTAGTGACTCACTAGCAAAATTTTTGTTTCCTGTTCCCGCGACATTACGTTCTGCTGGCCTAGAGGTCTTAGTTCCAGAGGGAGGAATGCTGCCACCTGGAGACACAACAATTCAATTAAACTGGAAGTTAATATTGCCACTTTGGGCTCCTCCTACCTTTAAGTCAATAGGCTAAGAAGGGAGTTACAGTGTTGGCTGGGGTGATTGACCCAGACTATCAAGATGAAATCAGTCTACTACTCCACAATGGAGGTAAGGAATAGTACTTACGGAATACAGGAGATGAACTAGGGCATCTTAGTGTTATCATGCCCTGTGATTAAGATCAATGGGAAACTACAATAGCCCAATCCAGGCAGGACTACAAATGACCCAGACCCTTCAGGAATGAAGGTTTGGGTCACTCCACCAGGAAAAAACCTCAACCTGCTGAGGTGCTTGCTGAAAGCAAAGGGAATACAGAATGGGTAGTAGAAGAAGGTAGTCATCAATACCAGCTATGACCACGTGACCAGCTGCAGAAATGAGGACTGTAATTGTCATGAGTATTTTCTCCTTCTTTTGTTAAACATGTTTGTGCATGTATACACTTTTACTAAGAAAATATCTTAATTTTATTTCCTTTCTCCTTTATCATGTGACATAAGATTTATTGACTTCATATCAGCATTTAAGTATCATTAACTTTATGTAATAGTATTTGAGTTGAGGATTGGTGGGTTTCTGGTTGTACGAAGGATAGTTGTCTTATGTTAGGCATAATTATGACCTTATCATTGTCTTTATCTGAAGACTATGTATTATCACAGGATATGTATATGGGTTCAAGTTGACAAGGGATGGACTTGTGATGGTTAATACTGAGTGTCAACTTGATTGGATTGAAGGATACAAAGTATTGATCCTGGGTGTGTCTGTGAAGGTGTTGCCAAAAGAGATTAACATTTGAGTCCGTGGACTGGGGAAGGCAGATCCACACTTCATCTGGTAGGCATAATCTAATCAGCTGCCAGTGAATATAAACTGAGCAGAAAAATGTGAAAAAGAGAGACAGGTCTAGGCTCCCAGCCGACATCTTTCTCCCATGCTATATGCTTCCTGCCCACAAGTCTGATATATGTATATGTGTGTGTATGTATGTATATATATATATTCTATTACTTCTCTCCCTCTAAGAGAACCCTAATACACAAGGAAATAGAGAGCATAAAGAAAAAAACAATGAAAATTTCAGGAAAAATTGGACACACTTATAGAAATCCAAAATGATCTGGAAAGTCTCAGCAATAGAATTGAACAAGTAGAAGAAAGGAATTCAGAGCTTGAAGACAAGGTCTCCAAATTAACCCAATCTAACAAAGACAAAGAAAATAGAATAAGAAAACATGAACAAAGCCTCCAAGAAGTCTGAGATTATGTTAAAAGACCAAACCTAAGAATAATCGGTGTTCCTGAGGAAGAAGAGTAATCTAAAACTTTGGAAAACATATTTGGGGGAATGATAGAGGAAAACTTCCCCAGCCTTGCTAGAGACCTAGACATCCAAATGTAAGAAGCACAAAGAACACCTCGGAAAGTCATCACAAAAAGATCATTGCCTAGGCACATTGTCATCAGGTTATCTAAAGTTAAGATGAGGGAAAGAATCTTAAGAGCTGTGAGACAAAAGCTCCAGGTAACCTATAAAGGAAAACCTATCAGATTGACAGCAGATTTCTCAGCAGAAACCTTACAAGCTAAAAGAGATTGGGGCCCTATCTCCTCAAACAAAACAATTTTATCAGCCAAGAATTTTGTATTCAGTGAAACTAAGCATCATATATGAAGGAAAGATACAGTATTTTTCAGACAAACAAATGCTGAGAGAATTTGCCACTAACAAGCCACCACTACAAGAACTGCTAAAAGGAGCTCTAAGTCTTGAAACAAATCCTGGGAACACATCAAAACAGAACCTTTTTAAAGCATAAATCACATAGGACCTATAAAACAAAAATACAATTTAAAAGCAAAAACAAACAAACAAAAGAAATCAAGGTACACAGGCAACAAACAGCACAATAAATGTGATGATACCTCACATCTCAATACTAACGTTGAATGTAAATGGCCTAAATGCTCCACTTAAAAGAACTGCAGAATGGATGAGAACTCACCAACCATCTACTGCCTTCAGGAGACTTACGACACATAAGGACTCACATAAACTTAAAGTAAAGGGTAGAAAAATGCATTTCATGCAAATGGACACCAAAAGTGAGAAGGGGTAACTATTCTTATATCAGACAAAGCAAACTTTAAAGCAAAAGCAGTCAAAAGAGAAAAAGAGGGACATTATATATAATGGTAAAGGCCTTGTCCAACAGGAAAATATCACAATCCTAAACACATATGCACCTAATGCTGGAGCTCCCAAATTTATAAAACAATTACTACTAGACCTAAGAAATGAGATAGACAGCAATACAATAATAATGGGGGACTTCTGTACTCCACTGACAGCACTAGAAAGGTTATCAAGACAGAAAGTCATAAAGAAACAATGTATTTAAACTATACCTTGGAACAAATCGACTTAACCGATATATACAAAACATTTCATTGAACAACTGCAGAATACACATTCTATTCAACAGCGCATAAAACTTTCTCCAAGATAGGCCATATGATAGGCCACAAAACGCACCTCGATAAATTTAAGAAAATTGAAATTGTATCAAGCACTCTCTCAGACCACAGTGGAATAAAACTGGAAATCAACTCCAAAAGGAACCTTCAAAACTATGCAAATACATGGAAATTAAATAACCTGCTCCTGAGTGATCATTAGGTCAAAAATGAAATCAAGATAGAAATTAAAAATTTCTTTGAACTGAACGACAATAATGACACAACCTATCAAAACCTCTGGGATACAGCAAAGGTGGTGATAAGAGGAAAGTTCATAGCCCTAAATGCCTACATCAAAAAGACTGAAAGAGCACAAACTGACAATCTAAGGTCACACCTCAAGGAACTAGAGAAATAAGAACAAACCAAACCCAAACCCAGCAGAAAAAGGGAAATAACAAAGATCAGAGCAGAACTAAATGAAATTCAAATGAACAAACAAGCAAAAATACAAAAGATAAATGAAACAAAAAGCTGGTTCTTTGAAAAGATAAATAAAATTGATAGACCATTAGCAAGATTAACCAAGAAAAGAAGGGAGAAAATCCAAATAACCTCATTAAGAAATGGAACGGGAGATATTACAACTGACACCACAGAAATACAGAAGATCATTCAAGGCTACTATGAACACCTTTATGCACATAAACTAGAAAACCTAGAAAAAAATAGATAAATTCCCAGAAAAATACAACCCTCCTGGCTTAAGTCAGGAAGAATTAGATATCCTGAACAGACCAATAACAAGCAGCAAGATTGAAATGGTCATTTAAAAATTACCAAAAAAAAAAAAAAATTCCAGGACCAGGCAGATTCACAGCAGAATTCTACCAGACATTCAAAGAAGAATTGGTACCAATCATTTTGACACTATTCCACAAGATAGAGAAAGAGGGAGCCCTCAGTAATTCATTCCATAAGCCAGCATCACCCTAATACCAAAACCAGAAAAGGACATAATCAAAAAAGAGAACTACAGACCGATATCCCTGATGAACACAGATGCTAAAATCCTTAACAAAATACTAGCTAACTGAATCCAACAGCATATCAAAAAGATAATCCACCATGACCAAGTGGGTTTCATACCAGGGATGAAGGGCTAGTTTAACATATGCAAGTCAATAAATGTGATACATCACATAAACAGTATTAAAAACAAAAATTACACGATCATCTCAATAGATGCAGATAAAGCATTGGACAAAATCCAGCTTCTCTTTATAATTAAAACTCTCAGCCAAACTGGCACACAATGGACATGAGCTCAATGTAATAAAAGCCTTCTGTGACAAACCCACAGCCCACATAATACTGAATGAGAAAAAGTTCAAAGCATCCCTTTTGAGAACTGGAAAAAGACAAGGATGCCCACTCTCACCACTCCTCTTCAACATAGTACTGGAAGTCCTAGCCAGAGCAATCAGACAAGAGAAAGAAATAAAGGGCATCCAAACTGGTAAAAAGGAAGTCAAACATTGTTACTCTTTGCTGACAATATGATCGTTTGCCTTGAAAACCCTAAAGACTCCTCCAGAAAGCTCCTAGAACTCATAAAAGAATTCAGCAAAGTTTCCGGATACAAGATTAACATACACAAATCAGTAGCTCTTCTATACACCAACAGCGACCAACAAAGAATCAAATCAAGAATTCAACCCCTTTTACAATAGCTGCAAAAACAAACAAACAAAAACAAACAACAATAATAACAAAAGCACTTAAAAATATACCTAAGGAAGGAGGTGAAGGACCACTGCAAGGAAAACTACAAAACACTGCTCAAAGAAATCATAGATGACACAAACAAATGGAAACACAACCCATGCTCAAGGATGGATAGAACCAATATTGTGAAAATGACCATACTGCCAAAAGTGATCTGCAAATTCAACACAATCCCCACCAAAATACCACATTATTTTTCACAGAATTACAGAAAACAATTATAAAATTCATATAGAACCAAAAAAGAGCCCTGATAGCCAAAGCAAGCCTAAGCTATAGGAACAAATCTAGAGGCATCACAATACTTGATTTCAAACTATACTATAAGGACATAGTCACCAAAACAGGATGGTACTAAAAATTGGCACATAGACCAATGGAACAAAACAGAGAACCCATAAATAAGCCCAAATACTTACAGCCAACTGATCTTCAACAAAGCAAACAAAACAAAGTGGGAAAAGGACACCCTTTTCAACAAATGTTGCTGGAATAATTGACTAGCCACATGTAGGAGAATGAAACTGGATCTTCATCTCTCACCTTATACAAAAATTGAACCAAGATGGATTATGGACTTAAACCTGAGACCTGAAACTATAAAACTTTTAGAAGATAATATTGGAAAAATCCTTCCAGACATTGGCTTAGGCAAGGATTTCATGACCAAGAACCCAAAAGCAAATGCAATAGAAAACAAAGATAAATAGCTGGGATTTAAACTAAAGAGCTTTTGCATGGCAAAAGGGACAGTCAGTAGAGTATACAGACAACCCACAGAGTGGGAGAAAATCTTCACGATCTGTACATCTGACAAAGGACTAATATACAGAATCTACAATGAATTCAAACAAATGAATAAGAAAAAACCAATCTCATCAAAAAGCAGGCTAAGGACATGAATAGACAATTCCCAAAAGAAGATATACAAGTGGCCAATAAACATATGAAAAAATGCTGAACATCACTAATGATCAGGGAAATGCAAATCAAAACAACAATGCGATACAACCTTACTCCTGCAAGAATGGCCATAATCAAAAAACAGTAGATGTTGGCGTGGACATGGTGACCAGAGAACACTTCTACACTGCTGGTGGGAATGTAAACTAGTACAGCTGCTGTGGAAAACAGTGTGAAGATTCCTTAAGGAAATAAAAGTGGAACTAGCATTTGATCCAGCTATCCCACTACTGGGTATCTACCCAGAGAAAAAAAGTCATTATACAAAAAAGATACTTGCACACGCATGTTTATAGCAGCACAATTTGCAATTTCAAAATCGTGGAACCAACCCAAATTCCCATCAATCCGCGAGTGGATGGATAAACTGTGGTGTATATATACATATATGATGGAATACTACTCAGCCATAAAAAGGAATGAATTAATGCATTTGCAGCCACCTGACTGAGATTGGAGACTATTATTCTAAGTCAAGTAACTCAGGAACAGAAAACCAAGCATCGTATGTTCTCACTGGTATGTGAGAGCTAAGCTATGATGAAGCAAAGGCATAAGAATGATAGAATGAATTTTGGGGACTTGCAGGGAAGGGTGGCAGGGGGGCAAGGGATAAAAGACTACAAATAGGGTGCAGTGTATACTGCTTAGGTGATGGGTGCACCAAAATCTCACAAATAACCACTAAAGAATTTACTGATGTAACCAAATACCACCTGTACCCCAACAACTTATGGAAAAATAAAAAGATAAAAAGAAGCTTTTGGGTTGAATTGATGGGGTTTTCTAGATATAGGATCATATCATCTGCAAACAAAGACAATTTGACTTCCTCTCTTCCTATGTGGATGCCCTTTATTTTTCTCTCTTGCCTGATTGCTCTGGCCAGAACTTCCAATACTATGTTGAATAGGAGTGGTGAGAGAGGGCATTCTTGTCTTCTGCCTGTTTTCAAGAGAAATGGTCCCAGCTTTTGCCCATTCAGTATGATGTTGGCTGTGTACCACATTTTTTTTTTAATCCAGTCTTCCATTGATGGGCATTTAGGTTGATTCCATGTCTTTGCTATTGCAATTAGTGCTGCAGTGAATGTACGTGTGCATGTGTCTTTATCATAGAATAATTTATATTCCTTTGGGTATATTACCCAGTAATGTGACTGCTAGGTCGAATGGTAGTTCTGTTTTTAGCTGTTTGAGGAATTGTCACACTGCTTTCCACAATAGTTAAACTAATTTACACTCCCAACAACAGTGTATAAGCATTCCCTTTTCTCTGCAACCTTGCCAGCATGTTATTTTTGACTTTTTAATAATAGCCATTCTGACTAGTATGAGATGGTATCCCATTTTGTTTTTGATTTGCATTTCTCTAATAATCAGTAATATTGAGCTTTTTTCATATGCTTCTTTTGAAAAGTGTCTGTTCATGTCCTTTGTCCACTTTTTAATGGGGTCATTTTTTTACTTGTAAATTTCTTTAAGTTCCTTATAGATGCTGGATATTAGACCTTTGTCAGATGCATGGTTTGCAAATGTTTTCTTTTATTTTGTAAGTTGTCTATTTATTCTCTTGATGGTTTTGTTTGCTGTGCAGAAGCTCTTTAATTAGATCCCATTTATCAATTTTTGCTTTTGTTGCAATTGCTTTTGGCATCTTTGTCATGAAGTCTTTGCCAGTTCCTATGTCCCGAATGGTATTGCCTAGGTTGTCTTCAAATTTTTTTTTACAGTTTTGGGTTTTACATTTAAGTCTTTAGTCTATCTTGAGTTAATTTTTGTGTATGGTATAAAGAAGGGGTCCACTTTCAGACTTCCACATGTGACTAACCAGTTATCTCAGTACCATTTATTGAATATGGAATCCTTTTCCTATTGCTCGTTTTTGTCAGTTGTTTTAAAGATCAGATGGTTGTAGATGTGCAACATTGTTTCAGCAGTCTTTATTCTGTTCTGTTGACCTATGTTTCTGTTTTTGTACCAGTACCATGCTATTTTGGTTACTGTAGCTCTGTAGTATAGTTTGAAGTTGGGTACTGTGATGTTTCCTATGTTGGTGTTGGAAGCAATGTACAAAATGTACAAAAATTGCTAGCATTCCTATACACTGACAACAGTCTTCCTTGGATGTTGTTGATATGTAGGAATGCTGGCAATTTTTGTACATTGATTTTGTATCCTGAAATCTTGCTGATGTTGTTTATCAGCTTAAGGAGATTTGGGGCTGAGAATATGGGGTTTTCTAGATATAGAATTATGTCATGTGCAAACAGGAATCGTTTGACTTCCTCTTCTCCTATTTGGATGCCTTTTATCTCTTGCCTGATTGCTCTGGCCAGGACCTCCAATACTATGTTGAATAAGAGTGGTGAGATAGGGCACCCTTGTCTTGTGCCGGTTTTCAAGAGAAATGCTTCCAGCTTTTGCCTACTTAGTATGACGTTGGCTATGGGGTTTGTCATAGATGGCTCTTATTATTTTGAGGTATCTTCCCTCAATTCTTTGTTTGTTAAGAGCCTTTAACATAAAGGGATGTTGAATTTAATGGAAGCCTTTTCTGCATTTATTGAGATGATCATATGGTTTTTGTCTTTAGTTCTGTTTATCTGATGAATCATGTTTATTGATTTGGATATGTTGAACCAACTTTGCATCCCAGTAATAAAGCCTGCTTTCATGGTGGATTAACTTTTTGATGTACTGCTGGATTCAGTTTGTCAGTATTTTGTTAACTTAACATAGACTTTTGCATCTGTATTAATCAAGGATATTGGCCTGAAGTTTTCTTTGTTTGTTGTGTCTCTGCCATGTTTGGTATCAGGATAATATTGACCTCATAGAATCAGTTGGAGAGGAGTCCCTCCTCCTCAACTTTCTGAAATAGTTTTAAGAGGAATGGTACCAGTTCTTCTTTGTACATCTGATGGAATTCAGCTGTGAATCTGTCTGGTCCAGGACTTTTTTGGCTGGTAGGCTATTTATTACTGATTCAATTTCAGATCTCGTTATTGGTCTGTTCAGGGATTCAATTTCTTTTTGATTCAGTCCTGAGAGGGGTTATGTGTTCAAGAATGTATCCATTTCTTCTATATTCTCTAGCTTGTGTGCATAGAGTTGTTCATATTAGCCTCTAATGGTGATTTGTATTTCTGTGGGGTCAGTGGTAATATCCCTTTTGTTGTTTCCGACTGTGTTTACTTGCATCTTCTCTCTTTTCTTCTTTATTAGTCTAGCTAGCAGTCTATCTATCTTATTTTTTTTTTCAAAACCCCACTCCTGGCTTCATTGATCTTTTAGATGGTTTTTTTGTATCTCAAAAGCTGTCTTCAGTTCAGTTCTGATTTTGGTTATTTCTTGGCTTCTGTTAGCTTTGTGGTTGGTTTGCTCTTGCCTCTCTAGTTCTTTTTGTTGTGATGTTAGGTTGTTAATTTGAGATCTTTCTAACTTTATGATGTAGGCATTTAGCACTATAAATTTCCCTCTTAACGCTGTCTTAGCTGTGTCCCAGAGATTCTGGGTATGTTGTAGCTTTGTTTTCATTAGTTTTAAAGAACTTATTTATTTCTGTCTTAATTTTAGTATTTACCCAAAAGTCATTCTGGAGCAGGTTGTTTAATTTCCATGTAATCATATGGTTTTCAGCAATTTTCTTAGACTTGAATTCTATTTTTTTGCACTGTGGTCTGAGAGAGTGGTTAGTATGATTTTAGTTCCTTTGTATTTTCTAAGGATTGTTTTATGTCCAATTGTGTGGCCAATTTTTGAGTACGTACCAGGTGCAGATGAGAAGAATATATAATCTGTTGTTTTGGGGTGGCGTGTTCTGCAGAGGTATATCAGATCCATTTGGTCCAGTGTTGAGTTCAGGTCCTGAATACCTTTGTTAATTTTCAGCCTCAATGATCTAATACCACCAGTGGGGTTGTAAAGTCTCCTGCTACTATTGTTTGAAAGTTTAAGTCTCTTTGTAGGTCTCTAAGAACTTGTTTTATGAATCTGAGTGCTCCTGTATTGGGTGCATATATATTTAAGATGGTTAAGTCTTCTTGTTGAAGTGAACCCTTTACCATTATGCAATGCCCTTCTTTGTCTTTTTTGATCTTTGTTGGTTTAAAGTCTGTTTTGTCTGGAGGTAGGATTGCAACCCCTGCTTTTTTTGTGTTTTCTATTTGCCTGGTAGATTATTCTCCATCCCTTTATTTTGAGCCTGTGGGTGTCACTGCATGTGAAATAAGTCTCTGAAGACAGCATACCATAGGGTCTTGCTCCTTTATGCAGTTTGCAAGTCTGTGCCTTTTCATTGGGAGCATTTAGCCCATTTACATTCATCGTTAGTATTGATACATATAGATTTGATCCTGTCACCTGTTGTTAGCTGTTTTTATGCCAACTTGTCTGTGTGGTTGCTTTATAATGTCACTGCCCTGTGTATTTAGGTGTGTGTTTTGTAGTGGCTAGTAATGGTCTTTTCTTTCTATATTTATTGCTGCTTTCAAGAGCTCTTGTAAGGCAGGTCTGGTGGTAATAAATTCTCTCAGCATTTGCTTGTCTAAAAGGATCTTATTTCTCCTTCATTTAGGAAGCTTAGTTTGGCTGGATATGACATTCTTGGTTGGAATTTCTTTTCTTTAAGAATGTTGAATATGGGCCCCCAATATATTCTGGCTTGTAGAGTTTCTGCTGAGAGGTCCACTGTTAGTCTGATGGACTTCCCTTTGTAGGTGACCTGTCCTTTCTCTCCAGGTGCCTTTAACATTTTTTCTTTCATTTTGACCTTGAAAATCTGATGATTATGTGTCTTGGGCATCATGATCTTGTCAAGTATTTTGTGGGGGTTCTCCATATTCCTGGAATTTGAATGTTTGCCTCTCTAGTTGGGTTGGGGAAGTTGTCATGAGTGATATCCTTAAATATGCTTTCCAAGTTGCTTCCATTCTCCCCATCTCTTTCAGAGATGCCTATGAGTCATATATTTGGTCTCTTTACATAATCCTATATTTCTCAGAAGTTTTGTTTGTTCCTTTTTTTCTCCTTTCCTTACTATTGTCTAACTATCTTATTTCAAAAAGCCATTTTTCAAGCTTGAGATTCTTTCCTCAGCTTGGTCTCTTCTACTGTTAATATTTGTGACTGCATTATGAAATTCTTGTAGAGTGTTTTTCAGCTCTATCAGGTTGGTTACATTATTTTCTATACTGGCTATCTTGTCTTTCAGCTCCTGTATCATTTTACTGTGATTCTCAGCTTCCTTAAATTGGGTTTCAATATTCTCCTGAATATCAATGATCTTCATTACTATCGACATTCTGAATTTTATTTCTGTCATTTCAGTCATTTCAGCCCAGTTAAGAACCCTTGCTGGAGACCTAGTACAGTTCAGGTTGGGGAGGGGCTATGCTACTGAGATCTAGTGGGTAGAGACCAGAAATACTTCTAAACATCTTGAAATGCACAGAATTATCTGACCCAAAATGTCAGTGCTAAGGTTGAAAATCCTGGGGTAAAAGAAATGGGGGTGTTTAAGCAAGGAAAGAAAAAATTTAAAAGGGTCCTAAATTCTATATGCAAATGTTTTCTCTTTTTTACAGCATTCTTGCTTATTTCACAGTTGTGATGGCCTCTCAAAATTCTCAAATAATAGTGTATATATATACACACACACACAAACACATATATGTATGTATATATACATAATTATTTGATACTACGTATATATTATCAAATAATTTTGGTAACAAATACTTATTTGTAACAAATAAAGTAACAAATATATTATTGTTGCATGTTATATTATTGTCATATACTATTGTTTGATTCTCTCTATTTCTATATATATATATACACACACATATATATTGTGTGTGTATACACACACACACACACATCTTTTCTGTTCCTAAAATTATTTGTTTCCTCAGGGTATTCTCATTTGTCTGTTTCTGTTTATACATGAGGTTCTACATAGTGACCTCAACCCTGACTGCACATTAGACCAGTGAATCCCAAGCTCTGGGAGTAAGGCCTAAGCATCTGTAGTTTTCTAAAGTTCCCAGGTGATTCGGAAACACAGCTAGCGTCTACATGAACAAGTATCAGAAGCTTAAGTGGTTTTCTTTCGTACAAATGAAGCTCTCTGCCCCACCACACTTTCTTAGGTGAATACAGATTTTGATTTTGGAACCCTTAAGAAGAGTTGCATTGGAAGAAAAAGATGGGATTGGAAAAAAAGCTGCTGCCACGAAGAACTTAGTCTTCAAAAATTAAAGAAACTATTGATGCCCTGGGTGGGTGCAGCAGAAAGACCCACAGAGGCTCATGGGATGGGTGCTAAGCCTCAGGATGGTAGGGAGAAGCATAAGAATAATAGAAATATTGGACAAAGAGCCTGATATAGAGCAGATCCAGCTTTATCAGTTCACTTTCTCTTCTCAAGGGCCACTACCTTCTGCACCTGCTTTCTATAGAACCAAGTTGCTGAGCCCTGCCAACTTAGCTCTGTATTTCCTTTGTTGGGTGGGAAGTGTTGAGTTTCTCCCTAAAAATGTCAATTTATAGTCTCCATCTATATTTGGGAATCAGTGTACACTGCCAGTCATTTTTAAGGCACATAGTCACAATTTTACACAGCATATTCAACAAAAAGCTGGAAAGTCAGTAAAATCACAAACATAGAAAAGGAAATGTAGGTGTCCTATCCTACAGAACTGGCGAGGTAGCCTATAATGTGAATTGGTTATGTCAAAGTCCTCCAAGGTCTCCATTACTTTTTCACATTAACTCAAGTCTCTGAGGTTTCTACATGGCCACACAGCATCTCTAGGTTGCAAAGCTCCTCCCTCTTCTGCTTCATCCCTGTCTTCCCACAGATAAGTGCAGACAAGTAACCACAGTCCTGATTTCTATTGGTGTTGGATGAGACCAGCTAACTTCAGAGACCCTGCTCTGACAGTATTAAGAAGGCGTATAGCTGGGGTGTGATCACCATGTTTGCAGTGTTTCTTTCGTGTTCATGTTAAGAAAGGCCTCCTCCAGCCTCTCAGCAATGTCAAGGTGCATCGGGGAAATAAATAGATCAGTGTTCCCTCCTCAGGATTGGTCAGTGTGGGAAAAAGGGCTCATGTATGAGGCAACCACAAAGTCAGGGAGAGGACAGTCTTATTTAGCTACACAGACACTTGGGTGAGAGATTCTAGGAACTCAGAATCGCAATGAACTAACACACATCTGAAATAAGGAGCTTTTCAATGAGGATGAAGGGTAACAGATTACAGTTTAGCCCAGAACACACATAATAATTTTGCTTTTATTACATTACATAGAGACATGGATCCTTCCCCAAAAACAATCTTCTCCATGGGCTGAAATTCATTCACCGTATATTAATTGAGCAGCTAGGAAGAGTTCTGAGCACTGAGGATGCAACAATGAACAAATCAGAACAATTCCCTGTATTATAGAGCCTCACTGTCCAATACAGTCGCAGTGACCAGCATGTAGCTCTTTAAATTTAAAATAATTAAAATCAAACAAGGCCGGGTGCAGTGGCTCACGCCTGTAATCCCAACACTTTGGGAGGCCAAGGTGGGTATATCACTTGAGGCCAAGAGTTCAAGATTAGTCTACTAAAAATACAAAACTTATCTGGACGTGGTGGCAAATGCCTGTAATCCCAGTTACTCGGGAGGCTGAGGCAGGTGAATTGCTTGGACTTGGGAAGCAGAGGTTGCAGTGAGCCGAGATCGTGCCACTGCACTCCAACCTGGGCAACAGAGTGAGACTCTGTCTCAAAAACAACAACAACAACAACAAAACAAAACAAAGAAACAAATCTAAACTTCAGTTTCTTGATTGCACTAGCCATATTTTAAGTCCTCAAAAGTCCTCAATATATGGCTACTTGTTACTGTACTGGCCAGTACAGATGTAGATAATTTCCTTCAGTGCAGAAAGTAATATTGAACAGCACTGTCAAGAGACGGCTTCTGAAACAGTATGGATCTGTGTCTCCACCCAAATTTCATGTCAAATTATAATCCCCAAAGCTGGAGGTGGAGGTGATCGGATCATGGGAGTGGTTTCTCATGGTTTAACACCATTCCCTCTAATGCTGTTCTCATGGTAGAGTTCTCATGAGATCTGGTTGTTTAAAAGTGTATGGCACCTCTCCCTTCGCCTTCGCTCTCTTCCTCCTGCTCTGGCCATGTGATGTGCCTGCTCCTGCTTTGCCTTCCACCATGACTAAAAGTTTCCTGAGGCCACCCCAGAAGTTGAGCAGAAGCCACTATGCTTCCTGTACAGTCTGCAGCACTGTAAGCCAATTAAAACTCTTTTCTTTATAAATTACCCAGTCTTGGGTATTTCTTTATAACAATATGAGAATAGACTAATACAGCTTCCAACCTAGAGAAGTATCCACATGTAGTCTCCCACTTTGGTTAAAATTCTGAATTATCCCATTGATATGATTTGGTTCTTTGTCCCCCGCCCCCAACAAATTTCATGTTGAGTTGTAATCCCCAGTGTTGGGGAAGGGACCTGGTAGGAAGTGCTTGGATCATGGGGATGGATTTACCCCTTGCTGTTCTCATAGTAGTGAGTGAGTTCTCCTGAGATCTGGTTGTTTACAAGTGTGTGGCACATCCCCCTTCATTCCGTCTTCCTCCTGCTCTGGCAATGTGAAAACCTGCCTTGCTTTCCCTTCCCCTTCCGCCATGTTTATACATTTCCTGAGGCCTTCCCAACCATGCTTTCTGTACACCTTGCGAAACTGTGAATCAATTAAACCCCTTTTCTTCATGAATTACCCAGTCTCAGGTATGTCTTTATAGCAATGTCAGAATGGACTAATACACCCATTATGTAAAAGGTTTTTTGAGAAGGGCAGTGCCACAAACCATTATCAGTTCTTTTTTTTTTTTTTTTTTTTTTTTTTTTGAGACAGAGTCTCGCTCTGTCGCCCAGGCTGGATTGCAGTGGCCTGATCTTGGCTCACTGCAAGCTCTGCCTCCCGGGTTCACGCCATTCTCCTGCCTCAGCCTCCCAAGTAGCTGGGACTACGGGCACCAGCCACCACGCCCGGCTAATTTTGTGTGTTTTTAGTAGAGACGGGGTTTCACCTTGTTAGCCAGGATGGTCTCCATCTCCTGACCTTGTGATCCGCCCGCCTCGGTCTCCCAAAGTGCTGGGATTACAGGCGTGAGCCACTGCGCCCGGCCCCATTATCAGTTCTTAATGGAGTAGTACAAAAAGCATTGTTGCTGGAGTCAAAGATGAATTCAAATCGCTGTCTTGCACTAAGCCAGCTAAGAAAATTCTGCCAGGAATCAATCATTTTATGAAAACAACAATAGTAATTGTATTTCATAGTAATTAAATGAGATGATAGTATATAATGTGGCTAACTCCAGAGCCTGAACACACAGAGGCACTAAATAAGTAACTGTCATGGAGTAGTCTATTATGAAATGGGTCACAGGACAAATAGGTTTTAATGAATGTAATAACTAGCCAATTAGCTAGGCACTGTTCTAAGTGCTTTACAAATGCAGACTCAGGCCGGGTGCAGTGACTCATGCTTGTAATCCCAGCACTTTGGGAGGCCAAGGCAGTAGGATCACTTGAACCCAGGAGGTTGAAGCTGCAGTGAGCTATGATTGTACCACTACACTCCAGCCTGAGTGACGGAGCAAGGCCCTGTCTCTTAAACAAAAAAAATGTAGGCTCATTCAGTCCTCACAAAAACCTTTGAAGTAGGTGCTATTATTTCTATTTAATAGATGGGGAAATTAGGATAAAGAGAGATTAATTTGCCCAATATTTGGGCTTGTATTAGTTAAAAGTTTTTTTATTATTATTATTATTCTATAGCTTCATAAACAACTCTGAAATCTCAGTGACTTAACACAGTACAAGTTTTCTTCCTTGCCCAAGTCACAGGCCAATTAGACATTCAGTGAAGGCCATCATGTAGGGATTCGGAGTTAGTCTGAATCACCAAAGGTGGTAACTACCAACTTTTAGGTTCTCAGAATCCTCTTGTGGACCCTCTGCATCCAGGCTGGAGAAAGAATAAGGAAGAGCTTAAAGCAATCTTTCTCAACCTCAGTATTTGTATGGTTAATTTTATGTGTCAATTTGGCTGGGTTAAGGGATGCCCAAATAGCTGGTAAAATATTATTTCTGGGGATGTGTATGAGAGTATTTCTGGAAGGGATTGGAATTTGAATAAACAGACTGAGTAAGGAAGATCTGCCCTCAGCAATGAGGGTGGCAACATCCAACTCATTGAGGGCCTAAATAATACAATAGAGAAAGGACAAATTCTCTCTCTTCTTCAGCTGGAACATCCATCTTCTCCTGCCCTTAGGCATGAGAGCTCCTGGTTCTCCGGTCTTCCAACTCTGGGACTTTTACCAGTTGCCCCTCAGTTCTCTGGCTTTCTGCCTCTAAGTATCAGGGCTTCAGACCCAGACTGAATTATATCATCAGTTTTTCCGGGTCTCCAGCTGGCAAATGTAGGACTTCTAAGACTCCATCATTGTGTGAGCCAATTCTCACAATAAATATCCAGTTATATGTATGTGTGTATATCCTATTGGTTCTGTTACTCTGAAGAACTTTAATACAGTTTTATTGACATTTTGGACTGGATCATTTCTCATTGCTGTTCTATGCATTATAAGATGTTTAGCAGTATCCCTGGCCGCCAGTGACCATCTGCCAGTTGTGATGAGGGGTGGGAGGGTATATGTGTGTATACATGAGTGTGTGCCCCCTAGTTGAGAATAATGGCTTAAAGGATCACTCCAAGGTTTTAGAGGTTAAGCTAGAAAGTGGTCATATTTCTTTTACTAAAATTTTATTGCCTAGAACTCAAATGGCCACAGGTAGCTTCTTGAGGGTTGGAAAATGTAAGCCAGCAGTGTGTCCAGGAACAAGAGGAAGTCTGGGAAGATTAGATGAGCAACGCTGGATTTGCCTGAGATATATAGACCTCCAAAAACATACTAAAAGCTTCAGAGAAACTAGCAGAGATATGCAGGATATTCTAAACAGTATTGGGGACAAAACCATACACTTTTTTTTTTTTTTTTTTTTTTTAAGAGGAAGTCTCGCTCTGTCTCCCAGGCTGGAGTGCAGTGGCATGATCTCAGCTTACTACAACCTCCACCTTCCAGGTTCAAGCGATTCTCCTGTCTCAGCCTCCCGAGTAGCTAGGATTACAGGCACCTGCCATCACAACTTGTTCGTTTTTGTATTTTTAGTAGAGACGGGGTTTCACCATGTTGGCCAGGCTCGTCTTGAACTCCTGACCTCAGGTGATCTGCCTGCCTTGGCCTCCCCAAAGTGCTGGGATTACAGGTGTGAGCCACTGTGCCTGGCCAAAAACACAGGACTATCAAGATTTTTTTTTATGGCTGATATCATCACCCTATATAGTTTTGCCAGAATACAAAGTTAATGCAATAAATCACTAGATGCCATGTTTCCTGGGTAGATATATTTGTCAGATAACATGATATAGCAATCAACATTTCCCAGTCATCTGTGGGAAAACTGAACATGGGAATAAAGCTGGGATGATAGGAATGTTTTCATGAGGCTGTCCAGACCCAATCACGTTCCAGAAAGATGAACGTCTGCAATATGTATGGCCAGGAGTGCAAGAGAGCTAGAACTGCATTTTTGGGAGAGGAGAAGTGGAGAATCTTTGGATACATGTCACAAATAATGAAGAGTCAAAAACAAGGAGAGGTAGAAGCAAGAGTAAAGTTGCCATTCATTTACTATCAATAGTTTCAAATAAATATTTCGGCCTACTGTAAAGGCATGTTGTAAAGTTGATTAATAAGTGACATTTTCTAGAATCCCACTTGAAGCACTAGCATTTTTGTATTTCAAAGCAGGTTAGGTCATTTTTTTTCTGTACAGAAAAAAACATATGTCTTTTGTAAGGATCATCTAAATCGCAGTTGGCTTCCTGATGGTGTATTAAAAACCTTTAAATAGGTTGGGCACAGTGGCTCATGCCTGTATTCCTAGCACTTTGGGAGGCTGAAGTGGGCAGATCACCTGAGGCCAGGAGTTCAAGACCAGCCTGGCCAACAAGGTGAAACCTCGTCTCCCTAAAAATACAAAAATCAGCCGGGTGTGATGGCACGTGCCTGTAGTCCCAGCTACTAGGGAGACTGAGGCACAAGAATCGCTTGAACCCAGGAGATGGAGGTTGCAGCGAGCTGAGATCGAGCCACTGCACTCCAGCCTGGGTGTTGGAGTGACTCTGTCAAAAAACAAACAAACAAACAAACAAACCTTTAATTTTCCCTGCTTTACGGCAGCCAAATTAAAGTCAAAATGCTTCTTGAGTTTTTTTATTATATGGCTTGAGGAAAATTATTTCTCGGCTGCCTAGTTTGTACATTTTTCTCTTTACTACATAATCATATTGAAAAGAACTAGAAATGCTCAACTTTCTACCAACTGGCATCAAATCAAATTCTAGGAGCCAAGGCTAGCTTCTCCAACCACACTTAGCTTCATCCCACCCAACCCCTGCCCTAAGTAAAAGACAACAACACTACATCTTTGTGCCAATAAAATCAATCTAATTCAGCCTAGGTCATTGGATTAAAGAAAAAATAGTCTTCCAATAAATCAAAGTTATTGATAGCCTAAGTCTCACTAAAATTAATAATTTTATTTTTTGAAAAAAAACCACAAAAGCTAATATTAAATGAAGAAAAGGGAAAAAGGATGGGAAAAAGAAGAAAGGAGGAGAATAAGATACTCTGAGCTGTAGATAAGTCTTGGTAAGCTAATTTATTTCCAGTCTCATACAATACAAATGGTCCCCAACTTAAAATGATTTAACATTTTTCAGCTTTATGATAGGCTTATCAGGACATAACCTGATGCATTTCAACTTATGATATTTTCAACTTACAAATAAATGTATGGAGGTGTAAGCCCAACATAAAGAACATCTGTAGACCTCATCAGTTACGTTTTCCAGAGAGTGGAAGAAAAGGTCAGAGTCATGAAATGACATCAACTGATAACTAGAGACAATGACTTTTCCCTAGATGTTTCTAGTAAGAAACAAATTAATAAACACAACTAATAGATGCATGCACATGTACATTAATTCACCAAATAGTTATTGAGAAATGCTATATGCAAAACACTCTCCTAAATTGGCAGGTGAGGGATGGAAAAGGTGAGAAAAATGTAATATGTTTCCTCAACAAATTTGAAATGTAGTAGGGATGTCAGATAAGTAAACAAAATACAAGTACACAAAATACTTGTCAGATACAAGTAAACAAAATACAAAAAGAACAGAGACAGGAGGGGAGAGACATGGAGTGGAGAAGAGAAGGGGAGAGGAGGCAAGGAGGAGACTGAAGGATTGAAATTTCCTGACTGAACGAAGAAATGTGGTACAGCTTTTAAAAACAAGGGATCTGAAGAAGTGTAGTGAGGCTGCCAACATGAAGAATGTCTCTCCTTTCTGGGCAAGATCAGACTTGGTTCTCTGGATTATGATGAAATGGAAATTTCAGGGCACTAAGAGAAACCATAAGGTTTTACATGCCCTTTATTATCCATCAAATGTAGTGCCAAGCCATCCTCAGCAATTACTCACATGGATGTCTGGCCTCTGCCTGAAAGTGGGATTCTTCATTTCTCCAAAGGTTCTGGGCCCCAGGTCTAGCATTGCTCCCTCAGTGACCTGAGGCTGACAGCAGGAGGGCCTGCCTTGCATAGCACAGTGTCATCCTATCACTACTCTTCTGTTAAATTTGGAATATTATGAGCAGGTTTTTCTTTCTTCTTTTAGAGATACAAAAAGAAAGCAAGCACTGAAGAAAACAGAGTTAATTGGAGAAATGGATTGATTTAGCCAAGTGCCTGTTCTCAGGTGTACAAATGCTTCTGATAAAAGGATCATCTTCCACTACTGTTAAGCCCTGCAGGCTTGGCCTGAGAGAGTCAAGAATAAAGCTGACTGTGCAAACTTGCAAACCTAGTGCATAACAGAGAAAATAAAGACATCATTTGCCGATTGTAAAACAAAGAAAAAAACAAAACCCCAAAAACTAAAAAGCAAGCAGGCACCTTCCAACCTAAAAAGGCCTTTTAGTAGTGAATTTGGCAATATTACATGTTCTCTTTCCTTGATGCAATATACAGCTCAACTCTTGGAGAGCTACAGTGTAATGGTTAAAAGAATAGATTTAGAATCAGATAGTTTGGGTATGAATTTTGGTTCTAGTACCTTTTGCTGTGTGACCTTGGACACATTTCTTAACTTTTCTTCAGTTTCTTTCCAAACCTACAAATGTGGGATAATGGTAGTATTACTTTATAGAGTCATTATAAAGTGATTAAAATAAATTCTTTAAAAAATTTATAATAGTACTAGAGTCACAATATGAGTTTAGTAAATGATAGTACTTTATAGAGTCATTGTAAAGTGATTAAAAGAAATTCTTTAAAGAATTTAAAATAGTACTAGAGTCACAATATGAGTTTAGTAAATGCTGATTATTAATAACATTACTTTAGAAAAACAGGGAATAATGATATAATATTAATTCCTTATGTTTTTCATAAGAAGGAAAAATCATGGGTATCAGGGCAGCTCAGGTCCCATGGTGTATGTAGAGGGGCTCTTCCTGAGTGTCTCCCATTACAGTAAAAAAAATTGAGTCAGTAATGGCCCATAAATGCAGAGATACAGCTCTGTTTTCTCTAGCAGTCTGGCTGCCTATTACTAGATTCTTCTTTGCCAACGAAAATATCTTACACCTCACCATCAGAGAAAGACAGTGGCACTAGGCTTGGGAGCCACCATTTATCTGGTTACTCCTAAGATGTTATTTCTGATTTTCACTACCCAACATAGTAACAAATTATTCCAGGTTTGTGTCTCATCAAAAGTTTTTAAGTATTACGTTTACATCTTCCTTCCAGTTATTGATAACACATCATACAGGATTTTGTCGGGAACAAAGACATACACATGGGTTTCTCTACAAGTGTAATTCAGTACATTTTGTTCTATAGAGATCCTACTGCTTCTTTCTTTCTACTAAAACATCCTCTCTCCCTCTCTCTCTCGCTCACTCTTGCTCTCTCTCTCTCACCCCTCCCCTTGCTATCTTTCTCTCTTCCTCCCTTCATACTGTTTAGTTCATGATATACTATCATATTAGTCTGTCCAAGTTCTTTTTATCACCATACCCCAACCTGTCCAAACCATTCTCCTATGTCTAATGAATTCATGTGTTAATAAATGTACTTTCAAAATGTGCATGATTTTTCCATGTGAATGTATTTTAGAACATATAATTGATATTCTATTACGTGTATATCATCCTATTTCTTACATTTTTACTCAGTACCATCTTTTTTAGCTCCATACATGGGGCTATGTCTACTTCTAGTCTGCTGGTTCTAACTGCTGCATGATGCTTTCTGGCATTCACCTACCACATGTGGTTATCCACTTTTCCCCCGAAGGACACCCTGATTGCTTTCAATTCCCTATCACCACCAAAATGGCTGCAATAAATTATGAACCTGCCTAAGTTCATAATGATGAACCTGAGATATATGCCCAAAGGCCAAATTGCTGGGTTGCTGACATACATATAGTAAATCTGACCAAGAGCTGCCACTTTGCTCTTTGATGTGGCTGCACCAGCTGGAGTACTCTTAATTATCACCCTTCATACAGCATTTCACAATTATAAGCCCCATCTCTTTATGTCTTCACAGTGATGTCCTGAAATCACATTGACCACCTGTGTTAAATGTCAAGTTCTATTAGCTTCTAGCCATTCTCTATGCATTGGAATATATAGTAAGACAAGGTCATAAATTTACTTGTTGATTCTCTTCCTTGATATTTTCTTGTTAGAATAACTGAGCACTTTCTTGGCAATGGTTCTTCCAATGTGGTATCAGTTAATCACCAGATTTATTTTAGAGCTTTGTCTATGGTTTCTTTTCCCCTCATCCTCTTTCATATTTCAGGTTAAATCCCTTTTGAACAGGTTAGAAGTTCTATCAAACACAGTTTTCCTTTTCTCATGGGGTGCACATCATCCTTGCCAAGGCTCAGATGTTCTGGCATGAAAAATCATGGCCTACAACACTTTAAAATAATTTCTGTGGCCAATGGTTCACTTCCCTGGTGCCTTTTCCTCTTCCAAGGCTCCACATGCTTCGATTTGTAGCCTGGACTTCAAAGTCACCAACAATACATTCCAGATTCCTTTGGCTGCGGTATTATTAATTCCCAAAGAGATCAGCAAAACAGCCAGCAGTTAGTGGGTTTGAGGAGAGACTCAATTGCTGCTACTTTTTCAGAAGATGCAATTACTCCTTCCTCTGAGTTACTTTCTGTACACATTAACTTCTAGACAACGGTTTCGATTCCATTGTTCTTTTGGGATATTGTTCCTCCTGACTTCTCTCCTGGATTATTTTCTTCATCTTGATAAAACTGGTATGATATTTTCCCATTACAACTGTCCACCTAACTCAGGAGCACAAAAACAGTTTGTTCCATAACAGCATAAACCTTGTGATTTCAAATTTCTATTTGTGATGATGGCAGAAAATTAATCTAGTCACTTTCAGATACTTACTCTCATCCAGTCAAATTCAAAAGTATTATACTAACCACTCAATTCACATAAATATTTCTTTCTTTTCTTCTCCAAGCCAGTTTGGGATCAATAGCCCTGGAGAGAATAAAGGGGAATGCCCATACTTTCTAATATTTGTCCTGCACTATCTCTGCATTACTAAAGAGCTCATTAAGTCTGGTCTCAGGCTCAGCAGCTGACATTGACTAGTAGCTGAAAACTGGCTAAAATGTGACAACCATCTTCTCCCTAGGAAGATTTGTGACTTCAGTTGATTTCAGGAAACTATAGCCACTTCTACCTCTTCCCCCAGGCAGAAGTCAACGAGCATCCTTTGTGTCTGTCTGTTGCCTTGATAACCAAGTGGCCTCTTAGAGTTGGCAAATAAATGTACACTACCAACTGACATCCGGAGTTCTATAGAGCCACAATAAAATTACAAAGTCCCACAAATTGCGAACCAGGGAAGAAAATTGGGTGCAGCATGCAGGGAAATCTTTGCTTTCTTTGAGCCTTGCTGCCCTGTTTCCATATAGCCCTGTGGTGCTGGCTGCAATTCTAAAGCCGTGCTCAGTAAAATTCATCCAAGGTATAGAATGACTTTATGCCCTGCTCTTTGACTTCCCAAACTTTGCAGGGAGACCTATCCAGCAACCCCTCTCCTCATACACAAACATACAGACACATGTTCCTATGCATGCAGAAATGCATACACACATGCACAAATGCATACATGCATGCAACACATCACCACCAACACCAACACCCCTCTCTGTTTTTCATTTTCAAGCACTCTTTCTTCAGCTGTCTCCTGAAGCTTGTCATTGTTACCTCCTGGGGCAAGGAATAGGAGTAGATAACTTTCCTCAACAACAACCTTTTAATTCGGTAATTTGGATTCTGGGTCATTATTTTCAAGGTGGCTTGTATCCACAACAACCATTTTCAATTAAACTTCCCAGTGGGAAAGGGAGCAGTAGGGGTACATTCCATTACTATGGTTGACTCTTGAACAACAAGGGGACTAGGAGCATTGACTCCCATGCAGTGGAAAATCCATGTATAACTTTTGACTACCTCAAAACTTAACTACTAATAGCCTACTGTTGACCAGAAGCCTTAGCCATAACATAAAGTTGATAACACATACTTTGCATGTTACATGTATTATATACTGTACTTTTACAATAAAGCAAACTAGAGAAAAGAAAATATTACTAGGAAAATATAAGGAAGAGAAAATACATTTACAGTACTATAATGTATTTATGTATATCATACATTTATGTGTCTGTTTACAAGTTGAACCACCTGTCTAAAATGGTGAGCAACTGCAGCTGCAGACCTCAACCTATGGTACATATCAAGTAATTCAACTTTTTCTTATAATGTCATAACTTTTCTTGGCTTCTTGGGAGCACTTTCAGCATCGCTAGTGGTACTTCGTATGGGACTCATGGTGTTATTCAAGGTTTGCACTATTGCACTAAACACAATGCAAGATACATGACAACCATGAGACATCACTTTTTACCTCGATATGCAGTTCACTGGAGAGACAAACTGCTCACACAGAGACGATTCGCTTAACGAGATGTTTTAAGTGGATAGTCATGACACTTGGGCTCACTGCAATAATGACAGGTTATTTCATGCGGCTGTGATTTCATACTGCATCTTTACATTTGTTTACATTTCTCTCCACTGAAAATGGCAAATGGCACCATTTATGTTTGTGTGCTTAAGTTTTGATAAATTTAACTTTTATAACAGATTTGTGTACATTTCATACTAGTAAATTATAAAATAGACTAATATCTACATATACTTAGGGCATTCTTGGCATACCTGTTTTCTTAATTTTTTTTTTATATTTCCAGGCTACATGGTTCATCTATGAATTTTTTTAAATTTCCTCTGGGTCTTTGAGTCTTCATTTCTGAAATTTCCTGCATCATATAAAACTTTGATTAGATAAATGTGTTATGCTTTTCTCTTGCTAACCTGTCTTTTGTTGTAGGAATATCCACTTTGACCCTTAAGATGGGTGAGGAAATTGATTTTTTGTTGCAAATCTCCAAAAAATCTTCCAATATATTTATTGAAAAAAAATTACATGTAAGAGGGCCCATACACTTCAAACCTGTGTTATTCAAGAATCAACTGTACTTTACATACCACTCTGCTACACAATAATTTATAGAAGCCTTTCTTTCCATTAAGCCAGCTGACAGAATGACCTTTCTCAAGCAATGGATGGCACAACTATTACTATTTGCAAAGTGAGTCCTTGAAGAGGAGGGCAGCCAAGATGGCCAAATAGGAACAGCTCTGGTCTACAGCTCCCAGTGTGAGTGATGCAGAAGACGGGTGATTTCTGCATTTCCATCTGAGGTACCGGGTTCATCTCACTAGGGAGTGGCAGACAGTGGGCGCAGGACGGTGGGTGCAGCGCACGGTACACGAGCCGAAGCAGGGCGAGGCATTGCCTCACTTGGGAAGCGCAAGGGGTCAGGGAGTTCCCTTTCCTAGTCAAAGAAAGGGGTGATCGGGTCACTGGAAAATCGGGTCACTCCCACCCTAATACTGTGCTTTTCCGATGGGCTTAAAAAATGGTGCACCAGGAGATTATATCCCACACCTGGCTCAGAGGGTCCTACGCCCATGGAGTCTCACTGATTGCTAGCACAGCAGTCTGAGATCGAACTGCAAGGCAGCAGTGAGGCTGGGGGAGGAGCTCCCGCCACTGCCCAGGCTTGATTAGGTAAACAAAGCAGCTGGGAAGCTCAAACTGGGTGGAGCCCACCACAGCTCAAGGAGGCCTGCCTGCCTCTGTAGGCTCCACCTCTGGGGGCAGGGCACAGACAAACAAAAAGACAGCAGTAACCTCTGCAGACTTAAATGTCCCTGTCTGACAGCTTTGAAGAGAGCAGTGGTTCTCCCAGCACGCAGCTGGAGATCTGAGAATGGGCAGACTGCCTCCTCAAGTGGGTCCCTGACCCCTGACCCTCGAGCAGCCTAACTGGGAGGCACCCCCTAGTAGGGGCAGACTGACATCTCACATGGCCGGGTACTCCTCTGAGACAAAACTTCCAGAGGAACAATCAGACAGCAGCATTCGCGGTTCACAAAAATCTGCTGTTCTGCAGCCACCGTTGCTGATACCCAGGCAAACAGGGTCTGGAGTGGACCTCTAGCAAACTCCAACAGACCTGCAGTTGAGGGTCCTGTCTGTTAGAAGGAAAACTAACAAACAGAAAGGACATCCACACCAAAAACCCATCTGTACATCACCATCATCAAAGACAAAAAGTAGATAAAACCACAAAGATGGGGGAAAAAACAGAGCAGAAAAACTGGAAACTCTAAAAAGCAGAGCACCTCTCCTCCTCCAAAGGAACACAGTTCCTCACCAGCAACGGAACAAAGCTGGACGGAGAATGACTTTGACGAGTTGAGAGAAGAAGGCTTCAGAGGATCAAACTACTCCGAGCTACAGGAGGAAATTCAAACCAAAGGCAAAGAAGTTAAAAACTTTGAAAAAAATTTAGATGAATGTATAACTAGAATAACCAATACAGAGAAGTGCTTAAAGGAGCTGATGGAGCTGAAAGCCAAGGCTCAAGAATGACGTGAAGAATGCAGAAGCCTCAGGAGCTGATGCAATCAACTGGAAGAAAGGGTATCAGTGATGGAAGATGAAATGAATGAAATGAAGCGAGAAGGGAAGTTTAGAGAAAAAAGAATAAAAAGAAACGAACAAAGCCTCCAAGAAATATGGGACTATGTGAAAAGACCAAATCTACGTCTGATTGGTGTACCTGAAAGTGACAGGGAGAATGGAAACAAGTTGGAAAACACTCTGCAGGATATTATCCAGGAGAACTTCCCCAATCTAGCAAGGCAGGCCAACGTTCAGATTCAGGAAATACAGAGAACGCCACAAAGATACTCCTCGAGAACAGCAACTCCAAGACACATAATTGTCAGATTCACCAAAGTTGAAATGAAGGAAAAAATGTTAAGGGCAGCCAGAGAGAAAGGTCGGGTTACCCACAAAGGGAAGCCCATCAGACTAACAGCAGATCTCTCGACAGAAACTCTACAAGCCAGAAGAGAGTGGGGGCCAGTATTCAACATTCTTAAAGAAAAGAATTTTCAACCCAGAATTTCATATCCAGCCAAGCTAAGCTTCATAAGTGAAGGAGAAATAAAATACTTTACAGACAAGCAAATGCTGAGAGATTTTGTCACCACCAGGCCTGCCCTAAAAGAGCTCCTGAAGGAAGCACTAAACATGGAAAGGAACATCCGGTACCAGCTGCTGCAAAATCATGCCAAAATGTAAAGACTATCGAGACTAGGAAGAAACCGCATCAACTAATGAGCAAAATAACCAGCTAACATCATAATGACAGGATCAAATTCACACATAAAAATATTAACTTTAAATGTAAATGGACTAAATGCTCCAATTAAAAGACACAGACTGGCAAATTGGATAAAGAGTCAAGACCCATCAGTGTGCTGTATTCAGGAAACCCACCTCACATGCAGAGAGACGCACAGGCTCAAAATAAAAGGATGGAGGAAGATCTACCAAGCAAATGGAAAACAAAAAAAGGCAGGGGTTGCAATCCTAGTCTCTGATAAAACAGACTTTAAACCAACAAAGATCAAAAGAGACAAAGAAGGCCATTACATAATGGTAAAGGGATCAATTCAACAAGAAGAGCTAACTATCCTAAATATATATGCACCCAATACAGGAGCACCCAGATTCATAAAGCAAGTCCTGAGTGACTTACAAAGAGACTTAGACTCCCACACAATAATAATGGCAGACTTTAACACCCCACTGTCAACATTAGACAGATCAACGAGACAGAAAGTTAACAAGGATGCCCAGGAATTGAACTCAGCTCTGCACCAAGCAGACCTAATAGACATCTACAGAACTCTCCACCCCAAATCAACAGAATATACATTTTTTTCAGCACCACACCACACCTATTCCAAAATTGACCACATAGTTGGAAGTAAAGCTCTCCTCAGCAAATGTAAAAGAACAGAAATTATAACAAACTGTCTCTCAGACCACAGTGCAATCAAACTAGAACTCAGGATTAAGAATCTCACTCAAAACCGCTCAACTACATGGAAACTGAACAATCTGCTCCTGAATGAATATGGGGTACATAACAAAATGAAGGCAGAAATAAAGATGTTCTTTGAAACCAACGAGAACAAAGACACAACATACCAGAATCTCTGGGACACATTCAAAGCAGTGTGTAGAGGGAAATTTATAGCACTAAATGCCCACAAGAGAAAGCAGGAAAGATCCAAAATTGACACCCTAACATCACAATTAAAAGAACTAGAAAAGCAAGAGCAAACACATTCAAAAGCTAGCAGAAGGCAAGAAATAACTAAGATCAGAGCAGAACTGAAGGAAATAGAGACACAAAAAACCCTTCAAAAATTAATGAATCCAGGAGCTGGTTTTTTGAAAGGATCAACAAAATTGATAGACTGCTAGCAAGACTAATAAAGAAAAAAAGAGAAGAATCAAATAGTCGCAATAAAAAATGATAAAGGGGATATCACCACCGATCCCACAGAAATACAAACTACCATCAGAGAATACTACAAACAACCTCTATGCAAATAAACTAGAAAATCTAGAAGAAATGGATAAATTCCTCGACACATACACCCTCCCAAGACTAAACCAGGAAGAAGTTGAATCTCTGAATAGACCAATAACAGGCTCTGAAATTGTGGCAATAATCAATAGCTTACCAACCAAAAAGAGTCCAGGACCAGATGGATTCACAGCCGAATTCTACCAGAGGTACAAGGAGGAACTGGTACCATTCCTTCTGAAACTATTCCAATCAATAGAAAAAGAGGGAATCCACCCTAACTCATTTTATGAGGCCAGCATCATCCTGATACCAAAGCCGGGCAGAGACACAACCAAAAAAGAGAATTTTAGACCAATATCCTTGATGAACATTGATGCAAAAATCCTCAATAAAATACTGGCAAACCGAATCCAGCAGCACATCAAAAAGCTTATCCACCATGATCAAGTGGGCTTCATCCCTGGGATGCAAGGCTGGTTCAATATACACAAATCAATAAATGTAATCCAGCATATAAACAGAGCCAAATACAAAAACCACGTGATTATCTCAATAGATGCAGAAAAGCCCTTTGACAAAATTCAACAACCTTCATGCTAAAAACTCTCAATAAATTAGATATTGATGGGACATATCTCAAAATAATAAGAACTATCTATGACAAACCCACAGCCAATATCATACTGAATGGGCAAAAACTGGAAGCATTCCCTTTGAAAACTGGCATGAGACAGGGATGCCCTCTCTCACCACTCCTATTCAACATAGTGTTGGAAGTTCTGGCCAGGGCAATTAGGCAGGAGAAGGAACTAAAGTGTATTCAATTAGGAAAAGAGGAAGTCAAATTGTCCCTATTTGCAGATGACATGATTGTATATCTAGAAAACCCCATCGTCTCAGCCCAAAATCTCCTTAAGCTGATAAGCAACTTCAGCAAAGTCTCAGGATACAAAATCAATGTACAAAAATCACAAGCATTCTTATACACCAATAACAGACAAACAGAGAGCCAAATCATGAGTGAACTCCCATTCACAACTGCTTCAAAGAGAATAAAATACCTAGGAATCCAACTTACAAGGGATGTGAAGGACCTCTTCAAGGAGAACTACAAACCACTGCTCAATGAAATGAAAGAGGATACAAACAAATGGAAGAACATTCCATGCTCATGGGTAGGAAGAATCAACATTGTGAAAATGGCCATACTGCCCAAGGTAATTTATAGATTCAGTGCCATCCCCATGAAGCTACCAATGACTTTCTTCACATAATTGGAAAAAACTAAAGTTCATATGGAACCAAAAAAGAGCCCTCATCGCCAAGTCAATCCTAAGCCAAAAGAACAAAGCTGGAGGCATCACGCTACCTGACTTCAAACTACACTACAAGGCTACAGTAACCAAAACAGCATGGTACTGGTACCAAAACAGAGATATAGATCAATGGAACAGAACAGAGCCCTCAGAAATAATGCTGCATATCTACAACTATCTGATCTTTGACAAACCTGAGAAAAACAAGCAATGGGGAAAGGATTCCCTATTTAATAAATGGTGCTGGGAAAACTGGCTAGCCATATGTAGAAAGCTGAAACTGGATCCCTTCCTTACACCTTACACAAAAATTAATTCAAGATGGATTAAAGACTTAAACATTAGACCTAAAACCATAAAAACCCTAGAAGAAAACCTAGGCATTACCATTCAGGACATTGGCATGGGCAAGGACTTCATGTCTAAAACACAAAAAGCAATGGCAACAAAAGCCAAAATTGACAAATGGGATCTAATTAAACTAAAGAGCTTCTGCATAGCAAAAGAAACTACCATCAGAGTGAACAGGCAACCTACAAAAAGGGAGAAAATTTTCGCAACCTACTCATCTGACGAAGGGCTAATATCCAGAATCTACAATGAACACAAACAAATTTACAAGAAAAAAACAAACAACCCCATCAAAAAGTGGGCGAAGGACATGAACAGACACTTCTCAAAAGAAGACATTTATGCAGCCAAAAAACACATGAAAAAATGCTCACCATCACTGGCCATCAGAGAAATGCAAATCAAAACCACAATGAGATACCATCTCACACCAGTTAGAATGGCAATCATTAAAAAGTCAGGAAACAACAGGTGCTGGAGAGGATGTGGAGAAATAGGAACACTTTTACACTGTTGGTGGGACTGTAAACTAGTTCAACCATTGTGGAAGTCAGTGTGGCATTTCCTCAGGGATCTAGAACTAGAAATACCATTTGACCCAGCCATCCCATTACTGGGTATATACCCAAAGGACTATAAATCATGCTGCTATGAAGACACATGCACACGTATGTTTATTGTGGCACTATTCACAATAGCAAAGACTTGGAACCAACCCAAATGTCCAACAATGATAGACTGGATTAAGAAAATGTGGCACATATACACCATGGAATACTATGCAGCCATAAAAAATGATGAGTTCATGTCCTTTGTAGGGACATGGATGAAATTGGAAATCATCATTCTCAGTAAACTATCGCAAGGACAAAAAACCAAACACTGCATGTTCTCACTCATAGGTGGGAACTGAACAATGAGAACACATGGACACAGGAAGGGGAACATCACACTCTGGGGACTGTTGTGGGGTGGGGGTTGGGGGGAGGGATAGCATTAGGAGATATACCTAATGCTAAATGACGAGTTAATGGGTGCAGCACACCAGCATGGCACATGTATACATATGTAACTAACCTGCACATTGTGCACATGTACCCTAAAACTTAAAGTATAATAATAATAAAATTTAAAAAAAAAGTGAGCCCTTGAAGAGTTCACAATTAGTTAAATCCCCTTTGGTAAAAAAATTCACTTGTTCCTAAAATATGATTTGCAAAACAACAAAATCCCCACCTAGTTGTAGGCAGAGGATATTGCATTCAGAGCAGTATCTACATGAGTACCTAATCTAGGCAAAAGGCCTCAAATACAGGATCTGGCTCAGCCCCTAGGTAAGGCTCTTTAGCAGACATTTATAGTATGATCACAGTGTTTACTAATTCTATAAGAAACCATTAAAACCTCATCTCTGTTAAAAGTCTGAAGAGACTTCTAGATTGTTTCATAATCTTAGCCAAATATTTTTAATTACTTCTTTTTACTGTGCTTGTAATTTTTCTATTTGATAAACAATTTAAGTACTTTTATCTATATTATCATGCACTATTTTACATTATAAATTTTAAGTATTTAAAGAAGTTTTATAAGTTTTTAAATTCACTTTTATAAAGTTTGGTACTTTTATTAGAAACGTTTATAAAAGACTTTGAAATGGGCACAGAGATTACTTGGTGTCTATTGGTTTTCTCTTAACTACCATGAGAAATTACCACTGTAGCGGCGGGAAGATGTGATACTTTTCCTCATCCATCATAAGGGTCAAGGTGGATACTCCTATAAAAAAAGACAGGTTAGCAAAAGAAAAGCATAACACATTACTTAACCAAAGTTTAATATGATACAGGAGCCTTCAGAAATGAAGACCTAAGGGCCAAGTACAGTGGCTCATGCCTGTAATCCCAACACTTTGGGAGGCCAAGGCAAGCAGATTGCCTGAGGACAGGAGTTCGAGACCAGCCTGGCTAACATGGTGAAACCCTGTCTCTACTAAAATTACAAAAATTAGCCAGGCATGCTGGTGCATGCCTGTAATTCCAGCTATGTTGGGAGGCTGAGGTATGAGAATTGCTTGAACCTATGAGGCAGAGGTTGCAGTGAGCCAAGATCACGCCACTGCACTCCAGCCTGGGCAACAAAGTAAGGCTCTGTCTCAAAAAAAAAAAAAAAAGTAAAGAAAAGAAAAGAGAAAGAAAAAGAATGAAGAGCCAAAGACCCAGAGGAAACTGTCTATTTTTATGCTTAGGTTTGATGAAGAATGGACAGCTGTGTAGAAATGTGACTGGACAAAAGGGTGTGATCTAATGGTAATAGACTGAGGGGGAAACCCGGCAAGACCTGTCTGCTCAGATTCTTCTTGGCTTCTCTCTATAACATTCCTTTCTCCCAGGTATGGGGCAGGACCTCTCTGGAATGAGCATCTTATGAAATATTTTCAGGCAAGTTAGGTCAGAGAATTTCTTTTTTGATCAGTTCTCAAGCAGAAAAGTAGGTGAAGGTCACAATGACCTTCTTGCTTCTGAGGTCCTCCCAAGCTCTTTCATTTCTGAATATTTGGGGTAGTGTCTTCTGAGCCCCAACACCATAAACCTAGTAGATCAAAACAACACAAATTTATTATTTTATACCTTTGGAGGTGAGAAGTCTGAAATGGGTCTCGCTAAGCTAAAATCAAGGTGTTGGTAGAGCCTCTTTTCTTCCGAAGGCTGTAGAGGAAAATCCATTTTCTTGTCTCTCCAGCTTCTAGAGGTCAGTGCATTCCTTGGCTTGTGGCCTCTTCTTCTGTCTTCAAAGCCAGCAGTGTGGTATCTTCAAGTCTCTCTCTGACTATGACCTCTCCCTCTGCTCCCCTTTTCTATTTTAAAGGACACTTGTGGTTACATTGAGTCCATCTGGATAAACCAGGAGAGTTTCCTTATTTTAAAGTCATTAGATTAGCACTGAATTTCATCTACAACCTTCATTCCTCTTTTCCTTGTAACATAACATATTAATAGGTTTTGGGAATTAGGACATAGACATCTTGGGGTAGGGGGCTGGAGGGGTACTATTCTGCCTACCACAGTGTGCGTTCACTGGAATGCTCATTGTTATCTAATGGACAACCTGGGAGTTATCTGATTCTATAGAAACATTCTCCTTGCTTTGACAAGGCTGTTTACTATTTCCCAGGCCCTGGGCTGTGCATCTCACTTAATATCTAAACTAGTGATATCCCCATCTTACTAAAGAAGAAGGTGAGCCTTAGAACCAGTGAGTCACTTGTTCAAAGTCACATGGCACATCTCTTTCTATGGATCTTAGCCTCACTTGCTGGGGCACCTATAACAAGATATAGATTAACAAGAGAAAAGCATACCAATGTATTTATATATTCCATATGCAAAGGTGCCATATTTTGGGGTAGCATGTCCTGATTCCCATCACTGTTTTATCATTTTATTAGATGGAGAAACTGAGGGTGATGCAAATAATTCTTCTCTGTAGAAATACAAATGCATTTTGTCTAACTGGTATGTAATTGATTTATGCCTTGTAGGAAAGATCTTGCTTTGTCACCCAGGCTGGAGTGCAGTGGTGCAATCTCAGCTCACTGCAACCTCTGCCTCCTGGGCTCCAGTGATTCTCCTGCCTCAGCCTCCTGAGTAGCTGGGGCTACAGGTGCCCACCACCACGTCCGGCTAATTTTTGTATTTTTAGTAGAGACAGAGTTTCACCATATTGGCCAGGCTGGTCTCAAACTCCTGACCTCAAGTGATCCACCCGCTTCAGCCTCCCAAAGTGCTGGGATTACAGGCATGAGCCACCATGCCTGGCTGGAAAGATCATTTCAAATGTTACATTTTATTGTCCTATAAACATTAAATAGTTCTGCATCAATTGGTAAATTTGTTTCTGTATTGCTGAGTGCCTATATGTGTCTATTCTTCAGATTCTCTTTGAATCAGTTTTAACATCTTACTGATTCCTTCATTAATTAATGTATTAAATAAAATATTTGATATGTATTCATTTTACATTCAGATGAGAGTGATTATTTTATTTTTTAAAAATTAAATTTTGACACCCTTGAAATTACCCAATAGCCAAGAATTATCTACCTGAATTATATACAGAAGTTGATACTCTCTAAAACAGTATTTCCCCAGGTACACTCTATCTAACCCAAATTCTGTGGGTGTTAATAAATATTCCCTGAAAGAAGGGTTTCATTTTTAAATAATTTGGGGAAATTTTTTATTCAAAGAACCTCTTGCAGCACTAGTATTTTATGTACAACATTTTAGAAAATTTTATTCTAGGCCAAGTGCAGTGGCTCACACCTGTAATCCCAGCACTCTGGGAGGCCAAGGCAGGCAGATCACCTGAGGTCAGGAGTTTGAGACCAGCCTGGCCAACACGGCAAAACCCTGTCTCTACTAAAAATACAAAATTTAGCTGGGAGTGGTGGCACATGCCTGTAGTCCCAGCTACTCAGGGATGCTGAAGCAGGAGCATCACTTGAACCCAAGAGGCAGAGGTTGCAGTGAGCCGAGATAGTGCCAATGCATTCCAGCCTGGGGAACAGAGTGAGGCTGCATGTCAAGAAAAGACAAGACAAGACAAGAAAAGAAAAGAAAATCTTATTCTAGATTCTTGGATCATTGTAAACTAATCACAAACCATTAGCCAAGACCCACATACAATTATTGTGCTCATGTCAAAAAAAATCATTCTATTTCTTTGCCTTAGTTTTCCCACCTTCAAAATGCTCTTGGCTGTCTGGCTGTCTGTAACTTAAGCCTGCTTGCAACCAGTAAGGTTTTAGGTGTATAGGTGTGTCTCAGAACCAAGAGTATCTCTGATTTTTGTTTGATTTGATTTTTCTAGATATTCAAGAGATTGAGATAGGATCTAGAATATCAAATTATTGATTTATAATGGATCATCAGTGGCCCAAAAGCTCATGTTCGTCTTTCAAGATTCCACCTTCCTGGTAATAGTGGGCCTGGTGGCTGGTAGTCAAATGACTCTTTGGTGACTGTGAATCAGAGTAAAGTGAGGTATGCACTCTCTCAGATCAAGTAATAATAACAAAGTATGATAATAATCACTAACACTCTTAGATGTTTACTATTTGCCAGGTCCTGGGCTGAACACGGTGCATAAACTCATTTAATATCTAAACTAGTGATATTTCCATCTTACTAAAGAAGAAGCTGAGCCTTCTAGCCAGTGAGTCACTTGTTGAAAGTCACATGGCACAGGTTGAGCTGTGATTGAGGCCCACACAGTAGTGAGCATTATAATACCCAGGCCTATAGTCCTTTGGCTGATTGGGGCCAGATGTAGTTCAGATTTCTGAATTTTTAAGATTTGAGAGAAGTAAACAGTTCATATACTGTACATTAAAACACCCCTAGTGGGTACTCTACCTTTTAACGTTCCTACTAGGAATATGGGCAGCCTCTCATGATTAAACACATTAATTAATATATCTGTCATAAAAGATAAAAATACTCACATTAAGATAATAAAGACTATGTCCTCATATTGCAGGTAAACGTTGTTGCCAAATAGGTCTCAAAAGAGTTTCCATTTTCAAAGTTTTTTGAGTTTTAGAACTTCACATAAAGGATTCCGGACCTGCACTGTTCACTAGGTTTAGTATCTCTCCCTTCCCGGGGTAGTGCCGACAATACTGCTGATTCTTACTCTTACTTTAGGTTTGATGAGCCAAGCTTCCAGCTCCAGGTTTTCTTGAGTCAGGGTAAAATACATTTGGCCTCTAGGGGGAGCTCCAGGCCTCCAGTTTCACTCCACTTCACCACTTCCCCAGACCCCAATCTACACCCTGGAAAGCAAAGCGCTCCAACCCCAAAGAGGAGCTGTACAACTGGACATGTCAAGAAGTACTTACATTGAGCCACCATACAAAGGCTGTGGTCTCTTTTTCCCAGCATTTTCTTCTCTGGGAGTGTGTCTTCCCTCTGCACACGTGGTACAGTAGATGACCAGGAGCTGCTCCTGGCCGTGGCTCATCCCTCCCTGAGAGAGCAATGGGATGGGCAACGTCTACAGAACAGTGTCCCACAGCGCTTAAGAATATGCAGGCCGGTCCTCCCTTTCCTTGGCAGGCTTTCCTACCGCCCTTCCTTGCCATCAGTGTGGTACAATAGAAAAGTTAGAAGGGCGGTGGCTCACGCCTATAATCCCAGCACTTTGGGAGGCTGGGGCGGGCGGATCACGAGGTCAAGAGATCGGGGCCATCCTGGCCAGCATGCTCAAACCCCATCTCTACTAAAAATACAAAAATTAGCTGTGCGTGGTGGCGGGCGCCTGTGGTCCCAGGTACTCAGGAGGCTGGGGCAGGAGAGTCTCTTGAACCTGGGAGGCGTAGGTTGCAGTGAGCCGAGATCAGGCCACTGCACTCCAGCCTGGCGACAGAACGAGACTCCGTCTTTAAAAAAAAAAAAAAAACGGAATTTTTTTTTTTTTAATGACCTTCCTTAAAGGCAGCAGAGGGAGGTCTCCGTGTCCCAAGCCTCTGCACAGGGTCCCTCATTGAAACTTGGAATAAAAGTTCACCGAAGCCAATGAACATTTTCTGGTTTTCTGCTAAATGTCTGTTTTCTCACATGAGAAAAGTCGCCGTAGAGAGACTGTTCCCTAGATTCCCGGAAAAACACCGTTCCATTCCCATTTAGAAACAACTTATAAATACAGTTGTCTATGTGTGGGCTTTGTTTTGGTTGCATTTCAAACCTGCTTTCTCTCATTTACACCTTCAATTAAGTGCTTTTATACTTTCTCAGGTTCCCAGTTACGGGAATTCTCTTGGTTGTGTCTAGAGCTGGCTCATTGCATTCATTATGTGTTATATTTCACCATTTTAGCTTTCAGAGATAACTGTGTACCCAGGGTTGGTATTCAAAACTCTGAGCAACTGAAAAGCCACAGGCACCAACCAATCAGAACAGATGCTAGCTATAAGCAACCAACGCAGCTGTGCCGTGCCATGCACACAGATGGAGCCTCAGCCTGGCTGATGTGATCTATGTAAGAATCTGGTCTATGATTCCATTCTAGCTTCTATTCCTACTTTGTACTTGGCCTACTTGTGAAATATGTCTTCATGTAACATTGAGGAAAGGCAGTAAAAAAAAATTTCTATTGCCATAAAAAACACATAATTAATGCTGCAGTGGCAAACAAAAACCAATGCTAGTGTAACCACCCAAGGGGTTCACCTTGCCCGGTGCCTAGACAGAGCCGATTCATCAAGACAGGGGAATTGCAATAGAGAAAGAGTAATTTATAGAGCCGGCTGTGCAGGAGACTGGAGTTTTATTATTATTCAAATCAAACTCCCTGAGCATTCAGGGAGCAGAGTTTTTAAGGATAACTTGGTTGGGTGGGGGGAAGCCAGTGAGCCAGGAGTGCTGGTTGACAGGGATGAAATCACAGGGAGTCGAAGCTGTCTCCTTGTGCTGAGTCAGTTCTTGGGTGGGTGCCACAAGATCAGATGAGCCGGTTTATTGATTTGGGTGGTGCCAGCTGATCCATCAAGTGCAGGGTCTGCAAAGTATCTCAAGCACTGATCTTAGGAGCAGTTTAGGGAGTCAGATTCTTATAGCCTCCAGCTGCATGACTCCTAAACCGTAATTTCTAACCTTCTGGCTAATATTGGTCTAGTCCCCAGGCAAGAAGGAGGTCTGCTTTGGGAAAGGGCTGTTACCATCTTTTTTTTTAAACTATAAACTAAATTTCTCTCAAAGTTAGTTCGTCCTACGCCCAGGAATGAAAAAGACAGCATGGAGGTTAGAAGCAAGATGGAGTCAGTTAAGTTAGATCTCTTTCGCTGTCTCAGTCATAATTTTGCAAAGGTAGTTTCAATCGTGCTGATTATTCTCACTGCCTACTTAAGTGTAGTATGAAAGGAACTATTCCTGGTAGAAGCTGATATCTCTATCTGAAAGGCAGGATGTGGCCTCTAAGAACCCGCTCTTACTTCTAAAAGGACAGGTCCTAAGAGACTGCATCAAGCCTTCAGCTCACAAAGAATTGCTGCTGGTACCATTCAAATTATTCATTCTAGAAAGCCCAAAAAAATATTTCTTAAACCTGCTAACTATAACCTTCCGTAATAGCAGCATAGACTACCAGAAGCCAAAAATATACATTTCATGTAAACAGCTTTGAGCTTTGTCAAGTGTTAAATACTGAACTGGTCATCGTACATGACTCAAAGTATCTAACTCAGGGGTGTTTTCTGCACACATTAGTCAATGCCATCTCCTGACAAAATATGACATGCCATTTGCGGCTCTACTAGGCATTCTAAATATCAGGAAAAAAGAAGAGAACTAAGGTATGAGATTGTTACACGCGGTTGTGAGTAACAGCAAGGGAAAAGCAATAGAACAGAGGTCTCTGGGCAGAAAGTTCCTACCAGAGAAATTCTGCTGGTTTGTTCTAATACCCAGGCACTGAGTTAGCTTCCAATGCAAAAGCACAAAATATTAGAAGGAATATTAATATAACCTCTCACTCTATAGAGGAGAAAGCAAAATCCTTCAACTACCTCTCAATTTTAGTTGAAGCATTTAGAGGAGTTTTCTGATGGATATACATAAAACCTGCTTTACACAAATTGGTTTTATGGTGTCCTTGGTTGGAGCATCTCTATTACATAAATCATGAAATGACTGCTTTTGGACAAAATTTCCCCTTTATATTTCTCTAGACTAGGGAACCTGATATAGAGTGTGAAGAACCTTTTTTCTTCTCCCATTCTCTTTTTTTGGGGGCTGATTTTTGGTTCATATTTGTAGGTTCAAGGACAACTCTGTAAAGAATTTTGAAAATTCAAACTTCAACCAATTTGAGGATATCCTAACCCAGTAGTGTTGAAAGTGTGTTCACAGACTACTGACAACTGTTTCTTATCAGTTCATGACAAGATTCATACCGAAATTGAGAATTGCATTTAGAATGCAATAATTTTAAATCCCTTAAAGCTAATGACAAAAAAAGAGGTGTTTATATTTTGTGTATTCATCCATGAGGAACTGGGAATTTAAAAGAACTAGCTGGTTTTTAATCCCAGATATTTTGAGAAGCATTGTTCTAACTTGTGGTCTTTTCAATTGCCCATGCCTTGCTTTTGATCCATAGTTGTATAATGATTGATTCTGACCTTCTGATTAGCAAAGCCCAGGGTAGAAAAATCAAGCACAAAGTCCAGTAAAAATAATTCATCACCTGGTACCAGTATAATATGGCTTGATTTTTGCCTTGAAAAGCACTATCACATATTAGCTCTTTTAAAGTTTTGCAACCATATGAGATAGGAAAGATATTACATGTATTTTATATGTGATTCAGCTGAGCTCAGAGAGAGTGTGCCCTGTCTGAGCTCCCACAGCTAAGCTGACAAACTGGAGAGGGTTAGGAAAGAGTTGAAAGGCTATTCACTGGATGACTGACCATGAAAAAATTGCTTAATTTCTCTGAGGTTTACTTTCCTTATTTGAAGCAAGCAGATAATAATAATTACCTGGCAGGTTGGATGCTTGATGAAAGGAACAAATGAGAAAATATGGTAAACATTTAAAAAATTGTTATTTGTCCTTATTAAGATCTGTTCACTTGCATTACAGGTAGAACAATAGTATCTCACAAAAGTAGGATAGTTTTCCCAGGGCCTGGAACACATACAAAAAAAGTGTCAGTAAATAGTAGCAGAATGAATGTCTAAATGAATGAGCATGGCTTTTTGTCTGTACTAAATTCTTTCTAATGTGCACAGAACTTGATTAAAAGGAATGTAATCTTGCAAATTCTATTCTCTACTGGTATATTACTTAGGATTTCATGGATTGTATTCAACTATATACACATTTTTGGATAGTTGACCCAGAGATTTTCAAACTCATTTTAATTAACGAACTCGTTTCTCCAAAGTTTTATGTACAGTTTCGTAGTTTAAAAACAAATATATATATATACACACACACACAGAGTATATACACATATATGCTATAGATGTGTGTATATACTATGTGAGGCATAGTATATATACAACCTCATAGTATATATGTATATATACCATGTATACATATAGATATATACATACACATATATGTATATATACACATATATATAATACATATTATTTATAGTATATACAAGGGATTATTTTTATTGGAGTTTGTGTCTGATTTTATACTTGATATTGTATCTGTGTGTGTGTGTTTGTATTTGGTGACAGAAACAGCATGATCTGGTTCCTGACTCACTCAGCCTCTCCCTGGCCCCAAAATAGCTCCTGAAATGCTTTTTCAAGCCCCTAGGGCTCCATGAAGCACAGTCTTAAAAACACTGTCTTTTTTATTAGTCGACAGCATGAACAAGTAACAGTAGAAACAAGTTTAACCAAAATGTCCAGAACTGACAAGAATTTATAGTAAGTTAGAAAAAATAAAGGCAAGCATACAGACTTTCAGAAACATAGATATCTCTCCTGAAAAATCTCCCAGAAGTGATAGCCATGAGTCAAATATTACATTTTACCTTTGAAAGTCCAAACTGTAGTGAGTTATCCATAACCTTCTGTGGTTCCACCCAATTTTGTGTTTTGCATGTTTTGAGAGAAATGCAGAATTTCCTGTAGGGTGCTGTGGTTTTCATTGCTTGGTTGATGTTGTGAACATCCAGGGCCAGCTTTCCTCAAGTTCAAAGACAGGAAAACACAAGACACCAATGAAGAAGTTACAAACCTCCCAATACTCTAGTGACCCTGACTTAGAAGGGCCAGGTAGCTGAAAACAGTGACCTGATCAGTCAGAGAAAGTAGAATGGGACCTCTTTAGCACTAATACTTGAAAGAACATGCTACAGCCTCATGTCATGTGCTAGACAAGACATTGGAGCTCCCAAAAAATTGCCTGGGTACAGCAGTCAGTGCAGCCCAGGAAGTTTGTGCAGTTGAGGACACTGAAAAGGTAGAGTGCCAAGGGGCCCATCCATAGGTCAAAGTGGGCACATGGTGAACTCTCAAGATGAGGAGCTTAGTTGTAGCTTTGCTGAGTTCATGGAGAAGACAGGACATGCAATTCACTTATTAAAGTGCCAAAAAGTTGAAAGAATCATGGCTTTGTGTCCTGACTTTCCTGGTCGCATTCTCTCATCTACATAGCAGATGGACTCCCCTCTGGGCTGACAACCTTAGTATGGTTTATATGGCTTGAATTAGTAAATGCTACTCCAAGGTATTGCCATTCCATTTGTCTTCACCCATAGATTTCTCTTTTTCTTTTTTTCTTTTTGAGACAGAGTATCACTCTGTCACTCAGGCTGGAGTGCAGTGGTGCCATCTCGGCTCACTGCAACATCTGCCTCCTGGGTTCAAGGGATTCTCCTGACTCAGCCTCCTGAATAGCTGGGATTACAGCCACCCACCACCACACCCAGCTGATTTTTGTATTTTTAGTAAAGATGGGGTTTTGCCATGTTGGCCAGGCTGGTCTCAAGCTCCTGACCTCAGGTGATCCACCCACCTTGGCCTCCCAGAGTGCTGGGATTACAGGCGTGAGCCACTGCGCCCAGCCTGATTTCTGTTTTTCTTTAATTGCAGAAGCTCTAATATGTAAGTTGGAGGATTCTTATTTCACTATAAATTTATCTTTTTGAGTCTTGCAAACAACAGAGGAGGTGGGTAGGAGAATAGGAAATACTTTAAAGAATCGGAGAGGACATCTCTTCAATCTGAGGTAGCAGCTATGTTTGATTTCATTTTTCCACTGCTCCGAATGATCTTCTCTTCAAATCATGTGACTTATGAGATAGTGACAGATAACACAGGAGTTCATGATTGCTGCATCATTTTCATCTAGAAAGATCTCAGTGCAACTTGTAAGATTTATATCGCTTTCTAGCTGTGAGTTACAAATTCAACAATATACTTTTGCAACAGCACTTTAAAGACAGATAACCTCAACATTTCGCAAAATAATTTTGAAATAATATGTTTGAACATCAACTCTGATGCTGTTAAAGGAACCTAGCAGATGTGTCTTTAATTTAAAGCAATAGACTCTTTCATTAAAACTCTGGAAAGGGCTGGGGACCATTCTTTCTACTTTAGATACACGTGAAATTTAGGCCCAGAAATGTTAGAAGGTGTTGTAAATTCTGTGACTACACTCCAATTTTCTAGGTTGCTGACCTTTCACCTGTCCATTAAATTAGGGTTCATTCAAATGGAGTTTTTTTCAGAGGTAAGATCTTTCATAGTTTTTCATACCACAAAATGTTCTATCCCCACTTAGAGAATTAAAACAAACAAACAAAAAACAGGTAAAACTTGACATAGGGGTAAGAAAATTAAACCACCTTTTGTTATTTTGAGATTTCCAAACCAAGTCTGTGCTGTCCTAAAAAGTACTACCACCTACAATATTAAGTTATAGGGGAAAGACTTTTTTAAATATTAATTGTCCTTCTAGATTATTCTTCTTTCAACCAGAAGACCTAAAAACTGAATATGGACTTAATGAAGATGTCAGATGCTATTTACCTTAGAGTTGGGAGTGCTAGAATCTTAAAATCATTTCATTTTGATTGCCTCCCTAGGAAAGATGATAAGGAGTGACAGAGAGGGAGCTTTGTAGGTCATAGGGTCATAATGAAATGTTCATTTCCATATGCAGAGCCTGAAGATTGAGAAGGGAGGAAGTAGTGAATTGCTTGATAGAACATCTTGCAGTTGACGTATCTGTTGGGCAGTTGGTAACCTAAGAGGAAGCACATCCAGGTGGGATGAAGAGAAAATTGGTGAAGATGATGTGAGATTTATTTTCATTCTCTCAGGTCAGGGAAAAAGATCCAGGAAGGGAAAAAGCATGCAAGTAAAGCAACCTCTGTTGCAAATTATGCTACAAACTCCTAATTACACCATATAAAAGAATTTATGTACTTTTGATGAAAGCTTAGGCTTGGCTTGGCATCAAAGGGAGGTGAAAAGTTTGGGATTCCAGTCAACACTTATGCTGCCCTTCTTTGATGCCACAAAGATGGATCACAGTCTCTAAAGCCAAGAAGATGTATTTTGCCAAAACTAACCTATCTTGACTCATGATGGGTATGAAACCTCAAAATTATGATTTTATAATGAGTTTGCACAGTCATTAGGAAAAATATGATAGTTTTACCACATAGGCCCACCAGGGTTTATTCCACTGGATTTCAGTTTGTAATGCAAACACTGTGATCAGGAGTATTTTCATGAAAGACTCAATGTTCTTCATTTTTAAGGTTTTCAAAGTATTCATATATCACAATTGTCTAGTTACCACAGTGGTTTAGGGTCCTGGATTAAAGAGGGCAAGGTCAAAAGTTTGATCTCTTTAGGTCAGCTGGCCTTTCTCACTTCCATGTCACTGCCAGAATGAATAAGAGCTGCCTGGTCCTAAAATATATGTAGTTTTTACCTTCTTATACATGCTGACTACTATGATTAGCATATAATCAATACCCATAATTCTTTCTGGAAGTTTTGTTTACAAATCCATTAAAAAAATATTTATTGAGCAATATATTAGGCATCACCCCACTTTATCTTCAACTAGACAACTCTTCATCCTCTTTTAAAGTCTAAGAAAATATCATTTCCTCTGAGGGGTCTTCCCTAACACTCCTCTCACACAATCACTGACTAATTAGTTTCCCCGTTCTACACTCCTGAGACACAGTGACTTCTCCTATGTAACACTATTATAATTTTAACAAAATAATCAGCTATTATTTATTTAATGTCAATTTCTCCCACAATTGGGTGGAGAGGTTGAACAGGGCTCTTCTCTTTTATTTATGACACATCTTCGCTATCTAGCAAAATGTCTGGCATATAAAATATTCTTTGGATTAGATGAATGAACGAAAGGTTGTGATATAAAGACCAAAGATTCAACAGGTGTTCTGCCAGGACCAGAGACTGTGAAAATGGGCTAGAAGCTGCTGCTCTAAAACCTAGTGTGTATGTGGTTGGGGCAAAGGAGTGGGAAAAGAGTACACCAGGAGGAGAAGCAATATGACACAGAAACTCAGTGAGGAAACTTAGGGAAGACACTAAGGAATATGCTGCTAATTTGCACAGTAGACATATTTATGAAATTTTACTTTTTTGAGAAATTAATCCATTTTCCTCTTGATATACACTATGAATTCTAAGACATGGATGCACACACACATTTAAAAACTGTATTTAAGAGTGCATAGGCCGGGCACGGTGGCTCACACCTGTAATCCCAGCACTTTGGGAGGCCAAGGTGGGCAGATCACAAGGTCAGGAGATGGAGACCATCCTGGCTAACACGGTGAAACCTCATCTCTACTAAAAATACAAAAAAATTAGCCAGGCATGGTAGTGGGTGCCTGTAATCCCAGCTACTTGGGAGGCTGAGGCAGGAGAATGGCGTGAACCCAGGAGGCGAAGCCTGCAGTGAGCTGAGATTGTGCCACTGCACTCCAGCCTGGGCGACACAGCAAGACTCCTTCTCCAAAAAAAAAAAAAAAAAAAAAAGTGCATAAAGATTTTCAGATAAAAGTATCCAAAAATAGCTCTCTCATAGTCATCATCCCATACAATAAGTCAAATACTTTACCAAATGTTCTGCAACACAGAGAACTTAGAAACTTCCTGGAATCAGAGATGTGGGAAAGAAAAAAATCTCTTATTTCTGGAGAAACACTTAGGGCAATTTTTTAAAAAAAGAAATACATTAAAAGAAGCAGTTTTAAGCAAGTGTTTCTTATATCTTTTACTTTCTGATTTCTTTCTGAACCAGATGAAAAGTACCAACTGAGAAGTCTAAGTCTGCTGCTTCAAATTTTCTTACATTTGCAATGAGAAGATGCAGTCTTTTTATGAGTTCTGCCCTCCCTATTGTTTTTGCCTTAGTATTCTCCAGGCTTCATGGATTTAAGCCATGTAATAGCTGGCAGAGCCTTATCGATGACCTGTTCCAGCTTTATCACTTTGCAGTTGAAGAAAACAGAGGGGTGGAGAGAATTGCCTATGCTAGTTGCTGGCAACTAGAACCCAGGCCTCTGTACTCCCTGTCTGTCCAGTATTCTTTCCCTGGACCACACAGTCTCCCAGGATGAGCTGTGTTTGTGTGTGTTTTGGAAAAGGGTGGATGAGAGGATGGGACAATGCCCAAGATTTGAGACTGACCAATCACTTATATGACCATGACCAGCATTAGGCCAAAAGGATCCAGACTCCCATGCATCCTAAGGAGCCAAAGGACATAATAATGTTTTAGCATAGAAATGAGAAGACTTGAAATGCTGCCTGATGTCTGCAAAAGAGCTTCTGACATCCTAAAGGAACTCAGATCTGGAATCACTATCCTAAAAAAACAAAAGTGTCAGGAAAAGCATTTGGAATATTAATTTGTTATTTATTGAATTTGCAGAATTAGGTCTGCATCAAATCAACATTTGGAGAGTATATTTTCCACCATCCTTAAAGTGTATTTTGAGAATATGATCAATAACAGATAAAAGTAATACCAGACAGAAAAATGAATACCTCCCCAGACCTCCTCATCTGTACATCACTCCCATTTCATTAAATAAAGAAGATGATAAGATATAGAAGCCAGATTGGAAAAGAGACAGCCAGGGCCATTTTACCACTTCAATGACATGATAGAAGTCTTGTAAAACATGCAAATGAGTGTAGGCCCACAAAGCATCACCTAATGAAGACGAATGTATGTGAAACCACCTAAGCAAAGGTGGCATATAATGAATGGCAAAACACTGAACCAAGCTCTTCTGTGCTAAGGAGCTGCAGAGAGCTGACTTTCATCTCATTGTGAAGTAAATAGAGAGTTGAGACCTGGCAATGTGCTTGGTCAGCTCACCCCTGGAGCTCAGCACATCTGGGCTCTGACTTTACAAAGAAAAGCAAAGAACAATGTAAACCTCATAGTCTTTTGGCCCAAAAGATCCTTCAACCCGTTCCCAATCTGTCAGGGTGCTAATCTGTTTTGAACATTTGGTCCTTCTTTCCAGAATGTCTTCCCAGAGTAACCCAACCCTTCCTCCAAACTGCCAGTACAGCCTGACTTCTGTGCTTCTCTCAGCTGGAATTCTACTGCACACACATCTGGCTGGTTGGCTTGTTTCCCTGGTAATTTAGAAGCTGCTTGAAAAAATCTGACTTTTAAACATGCCTATTGGTCAGTGGTCTCCAATGCTTTGCCTTGTGAGTGTTCATTTTAAAACTGTGGCTTCCTATACATAATACCTGTGAAAAAATGCTGGTATCTACTGGGCAAGAAGTTATTGTGTTCTCTCTAAACCCTCTCAAAACTATGGCTATCATATAGACTTGGAGGTAGTGAGGCTTGTGGGGAACAGAAGGTAAAAGAGAAAAAGATGCTTTATCATTTAAATGGTCCTAAGAAACTAATTTACACGCTCTGTTTTTAATCTCTCATATAACTATAACCTGTATACAACTAGGCCCAGTCACTCTTGCTTTGAAGCCAGGTGCAACCAAGGGTAACAGTTAAATCGCATCACTCTGACTCAGAAAGCTTTCAAGAATTTACTAGATCTTTGTTGTAATTTCCTTAAAACTTTCTAAACATCCTTTTTAGACATGTTTTCTTCTGCCTAAGTTTTATGTTGCCATCAGCACCTTCCCTCAAATTTTAGCAGATAAAGTCCCTCGACCTAGTTATATATCAAAGAACACGTTGATGGAATGAAGGGGAGCCATGTAAATTATTTCATTGTTTAGCTTAATTAACATTTATTGAGCACCAGCTGTGTACCACTCACTGTTTTAAGCTTCATGGTTACAAAGATAAATAAGACATAAGACACAATCCCTGCTTATTGATGATGAAACAGCAGGGCAGGCAACATCACTGTCTCCATTTTATAGGAAAGAATCTACACTCAGAGGTTAAGGGAGACATACAGCTGGTGGTGGTGACATATGAACTAGACCAAGGACTGCCTGATTTTTGGATTATTACTCTCTAGTGGTGCATCCAAGAGGCTTTTTTTTGTTTTTTGTTTTTTTGGGTTTTTTTTTTTTTCAGATTGAAAGACATGAGGCCGGGCACCAAGGCTTATGCCTGTAATCCCAGCACTTTGGGAGGCTGAGGTGGGTGGATCACTTGAGGTCAGGAGTTGAGACCAGCGTGGCCAACATAGTAATACCCCGTCTCTACTAAAAATACAAAAATTAGCCAGGCGTGGTGGCGGGCGCCTGTAGTCCCAGCTACTTGGGAGACTGAGGCACGAGAATCGCTTGAACCTGGGAGGCAGAAGTTGCAGTGAGCTGAGGCAGCGCCACTGCACATCAGCAGGGGTGACAGAATAAGACTCTGTCTCAAAAAAAGAAAAAAGAAACTAAAAACATGAACTATTTGACAAAAAACCCCCCACAAAACTTATAGTTAGTTAAAAATCATGAACTGTCATAAAAATAATAGTCATAGTCAACTTGGAATTTGAAATGGCTTTCTATATACTATATGAGACAAAGTAGCAAAGAAGCCATGTTTGCCCATTTCCATTTGCTATTATAATTTCACAGAGCCTCTGACTCTATGATGATATGCAGCTCTTTTGAAAGATGTTTTGAAGACAAAACACGGAGAGCACACACCTCCCTCCCACCTCACGTCTTTTGCCTGAGTCACTACATTTCGTAAAAGATAAATGACCCTCATCCTTGCCTTTTCCTGGACATAAGATAATGTCTGACAGAGTTAGTGATTATGCTTCTGTAATCTACAACCAGATGTCTTTTTACACCCAAACTTCGAGGTGATTCTGCTTTAATATAACTTCAGAGCAAGTTTTATGTGATTTCACAAGTACAGAACCCCTACCACATGTACATAAGCTGTAGGCTAAAATATTGTGCTGAAACAGTCTGACAGAACTGCCCTGGGGCTATAGACGGTAGTCTATAGTCCTCAGTAAGACTTCTGAATAAAATTAACTTTAATTCTCTAAAAGCTTGATTTTTTTTTCTTTAGTCAACAGATATATTTACTCAGTTGAGCTTCTATAGCAGTGCTGTCTAATAGAACTTTCTGAAAAAATTGAAATACTCTGTGCCGCCCAGTGGAGTAATCACTAGCCACATGCAACTACTAAGCCCTTGAAATGTGGCTGGTGCAACTGAGAAACTGAATTATTTTATTTTAATAAATTTAAATGTAAAATCTTCACATGACTAGCAGCTGCTGTATTAAACAGCACAGCTCTATAATGTGCAGATAATGCTAACATTGGGGGTGACCAAGGATCACCTCTTACTGAAGGATAATCTTCCCCTTAACAGATAGAAGGGATATTTAACAGATATTTAACGTATTTTAATATTTTGGGGGGGGGGTGCAGGTTCAAGTATGGTTGAAAGAGAAACAGACAAATGTGCTAACAGGCAGCCTTTCATGAAACAAAATAAGTGACAGTGACCATCATTTCACATGCTGGTCACTGGAAGGAGACGGATGATCTATCTGCAGAGACAGGCAGTTATACTTGCAGCGATAGAGAAAATAAGCTTGTGCTTAGAGAAGTCTGTTTCTAAATGAAAGGCTTGGCTATTTTTATCTGTTCAAGCCTAGACATATTACTGAATATTAATAAGCTCTGCGGTCTGAAATGAAGTGGTTAAAGGTGGGAGGGAGAGACATATTTTTCTTCCTTTTAATAAGAGACAAGCAAACCTGAAACTTTAAGTCTTTATCTATGCACACCAGAAAAATATTTCAGTCCTTAAAGCTTCAAGAGTTGGCTCAACAGAGAGCAAGGTGGGTTTTTTTCTGGTATCACTTATTCCCATAATCCTCTGACTTGCACATTGTAGTATCTAAGGATTTTTCTAATGAAAGCACAACTGATTTTTCTTATTCATTTTTCATTTCCACACTACAAGGATATCCAAGCTGCTCAGTGTAACAATATTCCACCTAAGCCAAGGATGCTGGGGAGATTTGGTGACCAGGGCCCAGATAATGTAATAATAAAAGAGAAATTTATAAAGAAATCACTTTCACCAGATCCTTTCCACCAGCCCACTGGGACATGATCAAACAGAGGACGAACAGAAGCCAACACACATGAAGCTCTAAGGGCATCATAATTTTCTTCCCTTAATTATAAGAAATTATTCTGAACATACAAGACACAGCATATGGTAATATAAAGGTAACAGCATATGAGTTTTTAACCAGTTTTGATATGGTGACATCACTACCTGTTTTCTGTTTCTCTTTGCTTCTTTGCAAGGGAAGGAGTAATTAAACCCATTCTAGGAGGGAGGGAACTTTCTCTGCTCCCACTTGGTTCCCATCACTCCCCACACCCAGGAGGGAAGGTAAATATTTCTTTTTTTTTTTTTTTTTTTTTTTTTTTTTTTTGAGACGGAGTCCCGCTGTTTAGCCCAGGCCGGATTGCAGTGGCGCAATCTCGGCTCACTGCAAGCTCCGCCTCCCAGGTTCACGCCATTCTCCTGCCTCAGCCTCCCGAGTAGCTGGGACTACAGGCGCCCGCCACCGCGCCCGGCTAATTTTTTGTATTTTTAGTAGAGACGGGGTTTCACCGTGTTAGCCAAGATGGTCTCGATCTCCTGACCTTGTGATCCGCCCGCCTCGGCCTCCCAAAGTGCTGGGATTACAGGCGTGAGCCACCGCGCCCAGCCGGGAAGGTAAATATTTCTTATTCCCTTCTAGGAAGTGTATGATGACTAAGCATCCTTAGAAGTTAGCTTTTAGTTGTTAGTGATTTGAGCTCTGGATTTCAGTTATGGAGGATAATTGCACCAGAGAAAATAAAATAGTACAGGGCTTTGAGCCTGAAGGATAAAGGGTCCAGAGCTGGCACTCTGGAAAGTACTAAAAGTTGGGGATAATGAGCAAAAGGAAAGGGGAGTTACTAGATGGGGAGAATTATCTGGGAAAACAGGTTGGGGCAGAGAAAGTGGGTAAAGGGGCATTGAACAGGAAATATAGGGTGAACAATTGGAAAATAGTCTTGAACATGAGAATCATAGTTTTCTCAACTTACCACTCAGTGTTCTTGTAAGTGAGAATCATCTTAAAATCTGTGCGCAAGACCTCAGGGGGACTATTTCTCCATCTGTATCATGACTTCACTAAATTGACTGCCTGATGGGCACAGCAACCATTCTTGCCATAGAATGTTATGCTCTTTGTGGTGGCACTCTATGAGCCACCTTGCCACTACATTCCAAAACACCTTAAGCCTGAGGGGCTCCCTGGAATCTTCCACGGGTCATAGGGAAGAGGCTCTCCAACTGTATGTGGAAAGATTGGGTGGCAGAAGTTTACATGTAGGCTGGGATAGAGACCTTTAAATGGAAAGCTCTGTAACGTTAAGTATAGTCAACCACTGATTGCTTCTCTAGTATCTATTCCCTTTTCCATCTTTTCCAAACAGATCCCAAATATTTTTAGGTGTCCACTACCCCTTTTCTTTGTAGTCCTTGTTACTTAGGGGAAGCTGACCCTATTCCCAGTTTGGGGGTGGCTTCTTATCGATCCAAGCATGGTTATCCCATCCCCATTGTCAGTGATTGGTCCAGGATCCAGGCTTAAGCCAATTATCTCATGGTATTCCCTCTTGTTTCAGCTACTGGTCCAGGGCTGGGGAGTGTGAACTACCTGGGGCACTGGCCCAGTTAGATAAAAGGAAATGACTTTTATTTCAAGATTGGAAGAGATGCGATTGCTCTATCCTGCTGGACATAAAAAAAAAAAGCATATCTCCTTGATTCCTAATGGCAGCTATCTTATAATCCCATATAACTCCAATAACCTTATAACATATTATAATCCCCTAAAATTGAGGAGGCAACCTTAAGATGTTCAAAAGCTGTGAGACAGAGAGAAATGGAAAATATCACAATGTCTGAAGACTTTGTTGAGTCACGAACTCAGCCATTTTTGCAGCCCACCCTACCTACGGATTTATTCATTTCCTTGCTTAAATTAATTTTCTTGCAGTTTTCTACTACTTGTAGCTGAAAACTGGCTTAAAATGTTCATTACAAACACCCAGGAAGCTGGTAGGGAAAATTACTTTTCTATTAAAATAAAACCCAGAACTTTCAATGACTATCCAGAAATGAAAATCCAGTGTAGAAGTAGGGAGCTTATTAAACAGCTCCAATTTTATCCCTCCAAATCTCACACTTCTACATGGGGTTCTCCGAAGTTAGACACTGTAGCCACCACCATATTTGGACCCAGAGGAGTGTAAATTACCTTTTAAAGTCTGCTATAGATACAATCAAGCTGTAACTTCCAAGACGGCTTTGTTACATGCCAAGAGAGAACAACAGGGACACAAGCAAATAATATACCAGTGGATCAAATTTGTCTGACTTTCGAAGTACCACATAATTGTTCCATAGCTAGCTGGGGCCTGGGTTTACAGACCTTGTCCTAATATCTGAGATGTTTACCAAAAGTTGACCCAGCTTCACATGGGATCCTACTCAGGTTTCTAATTTCCTCCTAATTGACCTCAACATAGACAGCACCATTTTAAAATTTGTCCCTCCAGAGTTCCCTCTTAAAACTTTGACAAATTTTAATGTAAGATTTCCACTTGAGTTCTAGTCAAGAGAGCCTATGTGTTTGTCAGAGTCTGACTCAAGAACCATCCACAGTAGGATCTCCAGGGATTATCACTTAAAATGCAGATTCCTGAGCCCCAGGCTAACGATTGTGATTCAGTAAGGCTTGAGTGGCACCCAGGAATCTACATTTTAGCCAGTTTGTTCAATGATTGTTCCCAAGATAAAAATTTAAAGCTCTGTTTTAAGAATAGCTTTAAATTCTCCAAAACTAGCAGTAAAGGTAGCCTGTATATCATGCTATCATGAAACAAACACACAAATACAGTTCTCCACAAATGTACATATAGTAGCTATTTTGGACTTTTAAATCTGGCTTACAGCTGCAGTTGTATAAGCCATTTTCTATATCCTCTTTTTTTTTCTTAACCAATCCAAATATATGCTTTTTTTTTTAACCAGAAGAATGATTACAACATGACAAAATGTTTGTTCTCTCTTGCATTTAAAGAATTATTGTGAAAGTCCATATATACATTTCTTTGTAAAATGGGAATTTCACAAGAAGTATATGGAACGATATATCTAAGGCTGATCATAGAGTTTTGATGGAAATAATTTTATTTACAATAAATTTTAAAGAGTGCTAAACACATATTGGAAACAGAATGCTAACACATTAGAATGCAAGGGTGACCAAAAAGAAAAAGAAAAAGTAGTTCAAGAAGTGACCAGTCTGCATGCCAAGCTCATGCCTCCCCATAACATAATAAGAAGGGCCCTGCTATGGCAACATATCTCCTCAGCCATCTAGTCGCCCATCCACCCACCCATTGTTTTCTTTTTCCACATCACATTTTTTTAATTTATTATGTTTCAGGTTGCTATAACCTTACATCTTTATGTGGAAGCACATGATTTAAGTAGCACATAAATCTACTGTGAACAGTTTATTTGAATGCATGTAATTGTTACTTAGGTGGAATGCCTCTGCTGTAATGACACCCAGGTCAGATAAGTTTCACTTGGTTCTCCCAGAAGCAGTTGTCAAGACAAAGATTTAAGTACTAGCAATTTATTTGATGTCATAGCCAAGGAATCAAGGGTCAGGGAGAGGTGAAGTGAAATAGAGAAAAGAAAAAAGAATAACGGGGTGTGATAATGAGCCATTTACTTCTGTGGCAACTGGGACTTATCCCACAGGGGACCTCTAGGACACTACACATAACACATCTCAGAGTTTTCCCAACCAAGGTGTAAGGAACTGGGGTATTTATCCACCAACTGCCTTTCATCATTGGTTGAGGGATGCTCCAGGGACATCTGTAGGAGATTGGTCAGAGTGGTGGGAGAAGCAACAGGGAAAGGCTCTGACTATTCAGAAGGCTCTGCATAGCTTTGGGGGAGAAGAGCTGAAGGCAGCTGTTCTCTGCCCTTGAGTCAGAGGGCAAGGAGTAGGTACAAGGAAGTGTAGGGGAATTTATCTTAAACAGGCCTGTTTACTTATGTTGACCAGGAACCCACCTTTGATCATCCATGCATGTGACACAGAGGAACAATAATGTTAATTACCCACAGATTGTGTTTGCTCCAGGCTTTGGCATTATGTCAGTACTGAATAAAAGCAAGTAGCTCCAGCTGTTAGAGACTGCTCACTCTTTGGCAACTAGTGCCGGGCAGTCCCCTAGCTGCTTTTACACTGCATACCTGTGTCTGAGTACTCCTTTCTTTCTTTTTTTTTTTTTCTTTTTTTGAGACAGAGTCTCACATTGTCGCCAGGCTGGAATGCAGTGGTGCGATCTCGGCTCACTGCAACCTCCACCTCCCGGGTTCAAGCAATTCTCCTGCCTCAGCCTCCTGACTAGCTGGGGTTACAGGTGCGTGCCACCACGTCCAGCTAATTTTTGTATTTTTAATAGAGACAGGGTTTCACAAAGTTGGCCAGGACGGTCTCAATCTCTTGACCTTGTGATCCGCCCACCTTGGCCTCCCAAAGTGCTGGGATTGCAGGCGTGAGCCACCGGTGCCCAGCCCTGAGTACTCCTTTTACCCATTGCTTGGCCAGGATCTGTGGGACAGATCTGGCAGACATCATCTTTCCAAGAACTTCCATTGCCCTTCTTGTATGGTGTTGAGTGTCCTGGGTCTCAGGAGCTTGGAGTAGAAAGCCACCAGCATGTAAGGAACTAGTGAGTGCTGAGAGGATATGGGTTGGGCACCAACAGTGTCTGCTGCAGTCCAGCCTTTGTATCACTCAGATTCCTTTGGGTCCCATGTTAAATGGACACAATCCTGACACTGATTTTTCAGGAGATGATTGGTCAGAATTTCAAAAGAGGGGAAAAAAAGAAGAAAGACAACAGAAAGTTTAATAGGGTAAGATACAATCTAGACAGCTGCAGTTGATCCCAAAGTCACCCCTGATAATTGCTATCTCCCTCTTCTACCCCTTGTTTAGCAGTCCTGCTAGTCTAGGTTGTTTGCTTCGTGTGATAACATACACTTTCATTCCTGGGGGATCTGAGTCCCTGATTACTATGCTCTTGTTAAACTATGACTGCTTGAATTACCTGGTCATAAGGATCACAGTGCATGAACTCAATAAAAAGTGCCCCAATGAATTTACTGAGTTCTAGACATCTTTCCTGCTGGCATTTCGTATGAGCAATCCTATTTCTTTTCTTTTCTTTTTTTTCTTTTTTTTTTTTTTTTTTTTTTCGAGACAGAGTCTTGCTCTGTCACCAGGCTGGAGTGCAGTAGTGTGATCTCAGCTCACTGCAACCTCCACCTCCTGGGTTCAGGTGATGCTCCTGCCTCAGCCTCCTGAGTAACTGGGACTACAGGCACATGCCACCATGCCTGGCTAATTTTTGTATTTTTAGTAGAGATGGAGTTTCACCGTGTTGGCCAGGATGGTCTTGATCTCTTGACCTCATGGTCTGCCTGCCTTGGCCTCCCAAATTGCTGGGATTACAGGCGTGAACCACGGCACCTGGCTAAGCAATCTGATTTATTTACAGTAATCAGGACCAATGACCACTCCCACTATAGTAATTCTCGTCTTTACTGTTGATCTATTAGTATGTGGAATCCAAAATGATTAGGAGGAAGTTATATCTTTAGGTAAGAAGATCTCAAAGAGAGGTCTGAAGAGCCCTGAGAGTTCCCAGTGACAGAGGTCCACTATTTTCAACTGCGTATCTGCAAGAGACCAAATTTTCTTCATGTACTTAAACAAAAACAACATATCACAGCAGAGTGAATACTGAAGCCGATATGAGAATCTATGTCCTATTAAACCAGATATTTAAAGGTTTTGTGAAAATATAAAACAATGGCATTCTCTCATTAAACCTTTTTGGTTTGGAAATAATTTATTTTTCATTAAAATGTGTTATTTATAATAACGTAATGGGTTTACTATGGTTATTTTAAAATAACCATATTTATTTACATTTTAAATACTAAAATTTATTTACATTTTAAAATACTAAAGAAAATTTTTAGTTTTAATTATGAATAGGGTATTTAGTGGTAGAGAAAAACCCACACAAATAAAACTCATTGGTCTGCAAAGAGTGTAAAAGATCCCTGAGAGCAAAGTATGTGAGACCTCTGCTTTAGTTTTAATGGCACACTGACAGTATTCCCTAATAATTGTGACTCTTCCCTGTGTTAAAAGAAAACTTCGGACAAATTAAATTGTACGGAGTTTAATTGAGCAAGAAAACAAAATGATGCACTAATCAGGCAGCCTCCAGAATCACAGCAGATTCAGAGAGACTCCAGGGATGCCTCGTGGTCAGAACAAATTTACAGACAAAAAAAAACGGAAAGTGACGTACAGAAATTGGAAGTGAGGTACAAAACGGCTGGATTGGTTATAGGTTGGTGTTTGCCTTACTTGAACACAGTTTGAACACTCACAGCAGTGTATGAGTGGTTGACGTACTGCTGCTGGGATTGGCCAAGACTTAACTAACTTAGTCCTAAGTTAGGTTTCAATCATGTTTGCCTATTAAGTTGTGTTCCGGTTGGTCCACAGGGACTCAAATGTAGAACTACGGAGTCCTTCTCAGGCCATATTTAGTTCACTTTAACACCTGTGAACTAGTACCTCCACTGCAGCAGAGCCTAAAAGTGCTAGAATGGAAGTACAAATGTCCTGAGAGGGTCACTGGGAGTGACAGTGAGAGGAATCACTCCTTCTGCCACTGGTTTCTTGACCTACGTGTTATAACTTTTGAGTCACCAAACCATGTAATGGCTATAGATTTGAAGTTTAGGCTGGGAACGGTGGCTCATGCCTATAATCCCGGCACTTTGGGAGGCCGAGGCGGGCAGATCACTTGAGTTCAGGAGCTCGAGACCAGCCTGGCCAACATGACAAAAACCCGTTTCCACTATAAATACAAAAATTAGCCAGGCGCAGTAGCTCACGCCTGTAATCCCAGCTACTTGAAAGGCTGAGGCAGGAGAATCCCTTAAACCCAGGAGGCAGATATTGCGGTGAGCCGAGATTGCGCCACTGCACTCCAGCCTGGCAAGAGAGCGAGACTCTGTCTTTAAAAAAAAAAAAAAAAGTTTATATCTCTCCAACTCTGCAGGGTATAATTCCCAAATGGGCATGTTAATTGTACTTCCAAAAATGATATTATGAAAATTTTCTAAAATGCGCAAAATATAATGAACCTCTCTGTATTTAGCATCCATATTCAACAGTTGTTAAAATTATGTAACATGGTTTATCTTTATTCTTTGTTTAATTTTTTTCTTTTGCTCTGCCTATGTCATTTTAAAATTCTTTTACATTTTTTGAGATATAATTGAAGTACACTTCACACATTAAAAGTGTATAAGTTGATGAGTTTTGACATATTATACACCCTTAAAGTCATCGCAAAAATCAAGATAACAAACATTTCCATTACTTCCAAAAGTTTTCTTCATGCCTGTTTGTGATCCATTCCTCCATCCACCACTGTCCCCAGGCAACCACTGATCTGTTTTGTCACTGTAGATTACATTTTTTCTATAATTTTATGTAAATGTGTTAAAAAATATTAATTACAAGACCTTTAGGCTGAGGTAGCTCCAGGGCTCTGGGTCCCTACATAAGCAAACCAAAACCCAACTCACTGTAAATAAAACAAAGCTTAACCAATCAGAAACTAGCAACTAACCTCTTATTAGGGACTTTCCACTGGAATGATCCAAACAAGGTTACTGCTCCACTTTGACCAATTTTTAAAAACTGTTTTGCCTTGCTTCCTCATTTAGTCTATAAAAGTGTTTCCCTCATAACCCTTTGGGGAAGCCTCCAAACCACTTGTGGTCTGGAGTTGCCTGATTCATGACTCCCTGTTTGCTGAAATAAACTCTTGAATATTTTAATGTGCCTCAGTTTATTTTTAACAAATTAAATGATATTAATATGTGCTCTTTTTTTGCTTGGATTCCTTAACTCAGCATAATTATTTTGAGATTTAGGCACTGATATGGGTTGGCTGTGTCCTCACCCAAATCTTATCTTGAATTGTAGTTCCCATAATCCCCACATGCCGCAAGGGGTCCTGGTGGGAGGTAATTTAATCATGGGAGTGGTTAACCTCATGCTGTTCTCGTGATAGTGAGTGAGTTTTCATGAGTTCTGATGGCTTTATAAGGGGATTTTCCCCCTTTTGTTTAAGACTTCTCCTTCCTGCCATCATGTGAAGAAGGACGTGTTTGCTTCCCTTTCTGCCATGATTGTAAGTTTCCTGAGGCCTCCTCAGCCATGCGGAACTGTGAGTCAATTAAACCTCTTTTCTTTATAAGTTACCAAGTCTCAGGCAGTTCTTTACAGCAGCATGGGAATGGACTAATACATGCACATTGTTACATATCTCAACAATTTATCCATTTTACCATCGAGTAGTTTCCCAGTGTATGAATATAAAGTCATGTGCTGAATTACAGTGCCTTGGTCAAGAACAGACCACATATATGACAGTGGTCTTATAAGATTATAATACTGTTTTTTACTGTACCTTTTCTGTGGTTAGATACACAAATACTTATCATTGTGTTAAAATTTCCCACAGTATTTAGTATAGTAATATATTGTACAGGTGTGTAGCCTAGGAGCAATGGGTTACAGCATATAGCCTAGGTGTGTAGTAGGCTATACCATGCAGGTTTTTCTAAGTACATATGATGTTTGCACAAAGATAAAATTGCCTAATGACACATTTCTTGGAATATATCAATTTCATTAAGTGATGCATGGCTGTACCATAATTTATTTATCCTTTCACCTGTTGATATACATCTGAGCTGTTTCTAGGTTTTGGTTATTAAAAATAAAGCAGCTATGAGCATTTGTATACAAGTCTTTATGGGGGTGTAGGTCTTCTATTTTCTAGGAGAAAAATGGCCTGGTCTGTGATAGGTGTTTGTTTTTTGTTTGTTTGTTTTTTAGTTATTGTTTTTAGTTTTTTAAGGAACTGTCAAACTTTTTTTCAAAATAGCTATACCATTTTACATTTCCACTAGTAGTCCAGAAGAGTTCCAGTTGTTCCATATCCTTACCAAAACTTGATTGGTCACTTATTTTAGTTATTGTATTAGGTGTGTACTGATAACTCATTGTGGTTTTAGTTCACATTTCTCTAATGACTAATGATGTTAAGCATGTTTTCATGTTAATTTGTCATGCATATATCTTCTTATGTGAAGTATCTGAATAAGACTTCTGCTTATCTTCTTATATTTAAGGGTTTTTATATGTTTTAGAAACAAGTTCTTTGGTAGATATACGTGTTCCAAACATTTTATCCAAGTTTGTGGCTTGCCCTTTTGCTTTCTTTTGAAGAACCAATGTTTTTATTTTGATGAAGTCCAATTTTATAATCCCTTTTCTTTTATAGTTTTTGTTTTTTATGGTCTGAGAAATCTTTGCCTACCCCATGGTAGCAAAGATTTTCTCTTGTGTTTCTTCCTGAAGTTTTATAATTTTACATTTTACATTTAGGCCCTTCATCCATTTCAGGATAACTTTTGTGTATGCTGTGAGGTAGAGGTTGATATTTTTCATATTCATATCAAGCATCAACTTTTTGAAAAGCCATTTTTTTCTCATTAAATTTCCATTGCACCTTTGTAATCAATCAATTGATCATGTATCTGTGGGTCTATTTCTAGACTCTATTCTGTTCCATTGATAGATTAATAGATATATAATCTTTTTACCAATGCCAAAATGTCTCTGTTACTATGACTTTATAATAAGTCTAGAAATCAGGTAGAACAAGTCCTCCAACTTTGTTCCTTTTTTGAAAAATCAGTTAGGTCATTTTAGGTGTTTTTCACTTCCATATATAATTTCAAATCAGCTTTCCAACTTCTACAAAAGAGCTTGCTAGAATTGTTATTGGTATTGCACTGACAAATTTGGTGATAATTGAAATCTTCATGATCTCAAGTCTTCTAATTCATAATCATGTCATGCTTCCCCATTTACTTAGTTTTCTCAAACTTCTCTAAGCATGTTTTGCAATTTCGAGTGTAGAGGTCTTGGACATTTTTTATTACAGTTATTCCTAAGTATTTTATGTTGTTCATTTGCTACTGTAAATGAAATTGTATTTTTTAAATTTAATTTTCATATTGTTTGCTAGTAATGTATAAGGAACAATTGATTATTGTATATTAACCTCATAGCCTGTGGCATTTCTAAATTCATTCATCAGTTCTAGCAGTTGTTTTGTAGAGTTCTTAATATTTTCTACATGAGCAATCATATCATCTGCAAATTCTTTTTCCTTTCAACTTTTTATGGCTTATTTTTAATTTTTTTTCTTATCATACTGGCTAAAACCTTCAAAACATATTGAATAGAAGTGGTGAGGGTGAGCAGGGACCTGTTTCTTGATTTGAGGTGTAGCAATTCAGTCTTTCACCAGAAAGAATGATATTCATTGTAGGGTTTGTTTTGTTTTGTTTTGATCAGTTTAAGGAAGTTTCCTACTCTTCCTAGCTTGATGATAGGATGCTGAATATTTCAAATGCTTTGTGCACATTGAAACAATATGATTCTTCACTTTTATTCTGTTAATATAGTGAATAACATTAATTGATTTTTGAATGTTAAACCGAACTTGCATTCCTAAGATAAAACCTACTTGGCCATGCTCTATTATCCTTTTGCCATATTATTGGATTCTACTTGTTGACATTTAGTTTTATTGAGTTTTCTTCTTAATTATTTCCTTTCTTCTACTTAGTTTGTGTTTACTTTGCTCCTGCTCTTCCAGATTCTGCAGGTGGAAACTTATGTCATTGTTTTTATACCTTGCAGATTTTCTAATATATGCATTTAAAGCTATAGTTTATCTTTCTATTCTTATTTTTATTCATATCAACGTGTTTTCTAATTTTCCTTGTGCTTTCATCTTTCACCCATGAGTAGAAATGTGTAATGGTCAAAGAATACATTATGTATGATTTTGACCTTTCTAATTTTATTAATTCTATTAAGAATTATCTGACTATATATTTATAACAATACCTCGTATTAGTATTATTTTACAAATGAAGAAACTGAGACTTAGAGAAGTTCTACAGCTGGAAAGGACAGAGTCAAGATTCCAGTCCAGATAATCAGGCTCTAGACCAGGTGCTAGGAAGGGCCATGTGAGATAAGCTCTGCCTGCTTTCAGGCCTCAGAGTATTAGCCATGTGTGTTCTGTGGCATGGGCCCTTCAGAAAATTAAACTCTGCTAACAAAATCTTCTCAGCTGGATGACCAACAAGGCATTGCTCAGTCTGCATTAACAACTTCTGGCACCCAGACAAGGGCAGGAACAGGGCCCTCATGGGGACTAAGAATCATCTTCTGCTGTGGGCCCTTCAGAGCAGGTTCCTGCATTCCACCCTCAGCTGATCCATAGCACTAAGAAGACAGGGGGCTCCCTGACATGAGCTTTCAGGATGAGGTAAGGGGAGGGTCTGCAGCATCCCAATCATTTCATGCAGCAGCTGCTTGGGCCCAAGCTAGCTGTGGAACAGCAAGGATGGCTCTGTTTGAAGGGCTGATGAGGAAGGTCTAGCCTCCCATGTGAAAGCTCAAGTCACCAGGTGGCCTCTCTTGGGACTGATGTTCTTTGAGCATATACCATTTTTCTAGCGTATAATGTTCTTGGTTACAATTTATATTGACTCAGCTGCAGGCACTCTGCTGACACAGCTGTGTTGTCATCTGAAGATTGTTAATTCCTCATATAAATGTAATGATACACACATATAGCTTTGGTCTGGGTCTGGGTGGAAAAAAAGTGAGCAAGTGCCCCCTCTCTAAAATTACACAGGAGCCATAAACCCGCGGTAGGAGGCTATTACTAAATCTAGACATCTCGTACTAGTTAATGCTTTGCTAGCTAGGCCTTAAATCATGCCACTCATATTATTCTCTCACTTACACCCCTTCTACAAATTCACTATCCTTCACCCCGCCTCTGACACTTCTGTGAGATGTATGGGATCCAGCCTGAGAGAGCACCTCCATTTTGTAACAAGGAAACTGAAGAGCAGGAAGAAAGAGTAACTCACCCAAGGTGAAGCTGGACCAGAACTCAGAAGCAGAAGGTCTTTGTTCAGTAAACTTTGCAGTAGAGTACAGCACCCTGGGTTAAACATGGTGGCCCACGTTCTGCCTGTCAACCTATACATACTATGGAATGGAAACTGTCAGTTCCACAGGGATGTTTGAAAAATAAATACTCTGCTTTCTCTGCATTTCCTATAGATCCTGTGTTAGTTTCTTGTGGCCACCATAATGAATTACCATAAATGTGGTGGCTTAAAGCAACAGGAATTCATTCTCTCACCGTTCTGGAGGCTAGAAGTCTGGAATTCAAGTGTGAACAGTGCTGGTTCTTTCTGGAAGCTCTGAGGGAGAATCAGTTCCATGCTTCTCTTCTAGCTTTTGCCAGCAATTACGGGTATTCATTGACTTGTAAATGCACCACTCCAACCTCTGCCTTCATCTTCACATTACCTTCTCCTCTGTGTGGTCTGTCCTCTGTGTGTCTCTTATAAGGATATTTGTTTTTGAATTTGGGGCCCACCTGGATCATCCAGGATGAGCTCATCTCAAAACCCTTAACTTAATTACATCTGCAAAGAGCCTTTTTCTAAACAAGGTCACATTCACAGGTTCCAGGTATAAAGACAGGGACATATATTTGGGGTAGGGGCACCATTTGCTACATGCCAAAGCTAAGTAAAATATCAGAGTCCATAATTAATTTAAGTAAGAAAATATTATTGAGTTTTTAGTATGAGGCAGGAATTCAGCTAGGAGCTGGTGATAAAGAAACAAGTGAGATATACCACTACACACCTAACTGTAATCTAATAATAGGCCCATATGCAACTGATCCAAACACTGGTGAGGTACAAGTATAGGAGCAGGCATTATGCCATCATCCTGTTGGAGACATACTTAGCTTATATGAGTAATTTTAACAACAACAAAAGAAGTCTTCCCTAAAATCCCACTCACAGTTAAAGGAAATGCCATCATTTCCTTTGCTTTTGGTGTGAACCCACCATATGGAAGATGATAGTACAAGAAGTTGACAGAGTTAAGACATACCATACCTGCCTCTTTGAAAATACTTCATGTGGTGTACAGCAGAGCTCTGGACAGTTTCATCTTCTTTGATTTCTGTGGTCAGACTCTCTCAAAGTGAATGTGGAGCTCAAACTACTTTTCACTGTATCAAGTAATAAACATGCTAAATCATTCCCAAAAGGCAATGAAGAATAAAAAGATAGAACTCAATAAATGAGAAGTGCATTTCCCTATAGCAAAAAAAAAAAAAAAAAAAAAAAAATACTGCTTCAAGTTTTTTTCTTGTGGAAACCCTGGAAACAAGAGCACATTCCCATAGAGGTCCACATTCTCTCCTAGTTAAGAGACTGGCCCGCTTTACTAACTTTTTCCATCAATGTAGATTTCATAGCTAATTCACAAAGACAAGACCCCTAAACCACCAGAATTTACAAGAATCGAAGTTACTGAATGAATTTTGTCTAAAATTAGGGGAGTGCCAAATGCTTTTAACTTCACCTCCTACTCCATTCCACTACCCCAGGTATAGCATTCAGTAGGTTTTTCCTTCTCTGATTCTGACCCTCAGTTCAGTCAGTCAGAGCCAGTTTAGAAGCAGATGCAGTTCAATGCTTTCTTAATGCAGCAATCTCTGAAAGACAGTGGTGAACAGAAAAGGAGAAAGAAAAGTTTATACCTCTATGGATGCATATTCCTCAAGTTTGCCAGAAATATTAGAAAAGGTTTAATCCCCTCTAATTTGAGAAGATTAAAGCTTAAAAGCCATCTTGAGCAAAGCAGTGTGTTCTGCCACTATGCTGCTGGCATGGGCCACAGATGAGATCAGGGCCCAAGGCTTCTAGGTTTGGGCTTCTTTTTCCTAAAAGAGAGTGGGAAGGACAGGGAGAGAAAGAGAGAGAGAGAGAGCCTTTTGACTTAAGTAAATGGCCTGATTCGAAGCCCAACTTGCCAAAGCGCCAGAGCCAGGCGTTTCAGAGAAAGGAATCAGAATGGAGGTGCTCACAAGAAAGGCCTTGATTTGGATTCCAACTTAAAATCGCATTTCCAGACACAGCAGAAGGATGCACTTCTGGTTGATTCTCCTTGCTGTTGTCATGACCAGGAGAATTCTGGTCCACATCCATTCTTAATTGGTTGATTACATTTGATCCGGAGGCCATGAAATTGGCCAGTTGATTATACCCTTTCAGAATGGTTCTCTTTGGGAACTGCAGTCTGGTGTTACACTGGATGGGGAGTTTCCTTGTGGTTTTTACTCCTTCTACAGAAATGCACTTCTTTCTCCCAAAGCAAGTCTCCTTCCCATTGTCCCTCATAACTCTTCTTTGGCCTTCTCTCATATTGCAGAAGATTTCCAGGTTATAACCTGGAAATTTCATTACTTAGGATTGTTTATGCCCAGTGTCACAAGAACATGAAAGACTTATCCAGACCCTGACCACTTTTCCCTTCTAGGGCACACTCCAGAAATGCAGCCACAGCAATATTTCTTATGTATATTACACTGCAACTTTGATATTTGCTTAATAAAATTTGGCAACACATGGTCCGAAGTGCTTAGTTTTCTTGGGGCACTTTCTAAGTGATTTGTACCTCTGATTTGATTATTCAGTCCACAAAAAATCTGCTCTTTAGACCTGTCTAGAGTATTTGCATTCAGTCTCTTTTGTCTCTGGGGAAACAAGTGAGCCTTAGGCCACAGAAGATGCTCTAATTTGCCCATCCCTTTATGATAACAAGAATTAGCCAGCCAAAGACTGGAATAAAGCAATCACTACTTATTTCTTATTTTACCATGAGGATAAAATGATCACATGCAAAAAAAAAAAATTAGCAAGGTATACACTGCAAACAAGTTTCGGGGAGACAGAGAGGGGTAGAAGATTGTGGTTTCATTTGACGAAATTATTATGCTCATATTTTCCAGTTTGGTTAATCCACACTTACCTTACTTTCCCTGTTCATGTTCACATTAGTGGGGTTATTTTCTCAGGATGCAAGTTATAGATAGTCCATGCAAGTGTTTTCTTAGGTAACCTTTGGATCTAAGTAGCATGAGGTCATGATTGCTCAATTCACATATGAAGATAATAGGAGTGAGAAAATGGCCCAGAATTAAGGGCAGTTAAACAAAAAGTTAATTGTGAAGAGGATAAGCTTATGCAGCCCCTTTCCTGAACTTTCCTAAATCCGTTTTATTATAGTGCCCTTTTATTATAAAGAGAAAACTTCTCTGTAGGCTTTCAAAGATCAGAGCTCTTCAGTCCCGGCTATACTAACCATTATTTAACCTTAATAATTAGAAGTCTTTCTCTCCATGCACTTCCTTCCACTGGGGACTTTATGTCAACCCCTGCCCCCAATAAAAAAAAAAATGAGCTAGAAAGTTTAACTGTGTTTTGACTAATAAAGAGAGGAAAGAAAATGGAATTAAGCCTAAAAATGTGGCCCCAGAATGACCAGATTATTAGAGTAAGGAATATCTCAAGTAAGAAATGCATTCTAGTCTGAAAAATGTTTAGAGATAGATTAAACCAGTGGCGACCAGGCATGGTGGCTCACGCCTGTAATCCCAGCACTCGTGGAGGCTGAGGAGGGCAGATCACGAGGTCAAGAGATCAAGACCATCCTGGCTAACACAGTGAAACCCCGTCTCTACTAAAAAATACAAAAAATTAGCCAGGTGTGGTGGTGGGCACCTGTAATCTCAGCTACTCGGGAGGCTGAGGCAGGAGAATGGCGTGAACCTGGGAAGCGGAGCTTGCAGTGAGCCGAGATCACGCCACTGCACTCCAGCCTGGGTGACAGAGAAAGACTCTGTCTCAAAAAAAAAAAAAAAGAATAAAAATTTCTACTCCCCACCAACCCACCAGGCTCTTATATAATGAAATATCCCTTGTTAAGTCGCTATGGGTTTAGCAATTCTTTCATTTTTAAAATGTTTATCAAAACTACTAGTGGTATGAATATTCCATGAACAGGTGGTACCAATTATATTTTAATTTAGGTCCAGAGTACATCATTTTGAGCAACCCCTTCCCCTATACATAAAAATATTTTCAGAAATAATCATGAGATGATACAAGTAATAAAATGGCCAGAAAAGAAATATAGACAATGAAAAAAAATAAAAATAAATAAAAAAAAAAACCAGTGGTGGTAAAACAGTTTGAGATAGATGAAATGCTGTTTCTTTTCTGGACTGGCAATCATTCTCTAGTGGGCAATGTTTTTAAAACACAGAGTATATTGGGTTTGCTTTTCATTTAAGAAAAAAGCACTCAAGATAATCAGGAAAAAAATCAAAAAATATAGAAAAGGAGGGAGGAAAAACAAACACACAAAAACCACCCACTTATAGTCCTACTAGATTAGAAACAATCTTGGGAGTCTGTGGAATTCTGTGAATTTTGTGAAAAGAACATGACCTTTGGAATCAGAGAGATCTGGATTATTTTATTTTATTTTATTTTATTTTATTTTATTTTATTTTATTTTATTTTGAGATGAAGTCTGACTCTGTCACCCAGGCTGGAGTGCAATGGCGCCATCTCAGCTCACTGCAACCTCCACCTCCCAGGTTCAAGCAATTCTCCTGCCTTGGCTTCCTGAGTAGCGGGGACTACACATGCGTACCACCATGCCCAGCTAACTTTTAGATTTTTAGTAGAGACGGAGTTTTGCCATGTTGTCCAGGCTGGTCTCGAACTCCTGGCCTCAAGTGATCTAACCGCCTCAGCCTCCCAAAGTGCTGGGATTACAGGCGTAAGCTACCGCACCTGGCCAAGATCTGGATTTAAATCCAGTTCCAAGCTGTGTGACCTTAGACAAATCCCTTCAATTTGAGCAGATGCTTAGTGAATGGAAAATGAACTACAAATCTGATCACTTTTCTATATCAGAGTCACTGTAGAGGAATACTCACTTTTTCTATTCATATACCTCCCTGATTTTCAGATCGATGTTTAACTATCTTTAATGTTCCTGATTTGGCTTGTTTATTTTTCATTGTTATGATCTGAAAGCCACATTACTGGCTTCTTCATTTGGCCAGTAACTGCAACTCCATTGCAGCCTTATTTTAGCTAAGTCTATTGTAGCTCTTGCCTTTCTCCCCACAGGAACCCTGCTTTAGCCTTTCCCAAAGACATTTTCAGTCCCTACCTACTAGCATTGGTGTGCCAGTGACATCCTACTCTTCTTCTTGAAACAGGGAGCAGCCCATGAACCTGATGCTGCAAGACCACCTTCTTAGTTCTCAAAGTAAACAAAGGTTAAAATGAAAATGGTTATGATGAATCATACTAATGCTGTGTTTCAAAGAACTTCCTATAGTATTATGTCAACAAGATAAATTAATTCAAATGTTGGGAAAGCTACTGCACCTCTTGCCCACTGCGCTCTCTAGTGTGCTTTGGAGGAGCACCCACTGCTGCAAGTCCTTCCCACACAGCTTGCAGAGTAGCACCCAAGAGTCCTGGGGGCCGCCCTCCCAAGTTGGATGCAAGCAAAAGTCTATGTACAAACTCTTTTCATTACCCAGGCTGCCGAGAGAGCCTTCTGGAGCTCACAGATAAAATTCAAAAAGCTCAAGCGGTAGCAAAACCTTGATGCTTATTGAAAACCAAAGCAAAGCAAAACAATAATCCACCTAGCTTATCAACACCTTTCCTGGGACTAGGTGAGGTCATGCTTTATGAAACGCCATGGGTTGTGAAATTAGTTTGATAGATGCAGTTCACAATTTTTAAATAAAAAAAAATAGAAAGCATTAAAGTAGAAGATAGATGGTACAGGTAGATATTGTTTCACAAACTTTTTTCAATGTGTGTATGTCTTTGTAAAGCAAATATTTCTTCCCATGATCACAGTTAGAAAGGTTTAAAAACTTTTTCCATGGTCTGAATGTTCGTGTCCCTCAGTTCATAGTTGAAATTGAATCCCCACTGTGGTGGTATTAAGAGTTGGGGCCCTTGGGAGGTGATTAGGTCATGAAGGCAGAGCCTTTATGCATGGAATTAGTATTCTTATAAAAGAGACCCAAGGAGCTTATAAGTCCCTTCCTCCATGTGAGGACACACAGAAGGTGCCGTCTATGAGGAACAGGACCTCGCCAGACACTAGATCTACTGGTGCCTTGATCTTGGACTCCCCAGCCTGCAGAACTGTAAGCATTACATTTCTGTTGTTTATAAATTACCCAGTCTAAGGCATTTTGCTATAGCAGCCTGGATGGATTGAAACGAGCTTTGCGTTAGGACTTGGGCCCGGAGTAAGAGCAGGGTAACACGAGGGGTCTGAAAGATCATTGGAGAAAAGAACAGGGCAATGATGGGGACAGGTAGGTGCTTGGGTGGGTACCAAAGAGAATTCTTTTCACACTTCTGCCAAATTCCTGCACATATATGCATGTACACCAAACCATACCACACTCTACATACACATTTGCCTATTCCTAACACCACTGTTCTAAATTCCTAATATGTTTCCAATTGCTGCCTCCAGCATAAGTGCCAGATTCCATCCTTGATCTGAGAGAATCTTGGAAAATGTCAGTCCAGGTGGATGTCCACAGGAAGAACATTAGGAACAAAGAGAGACCTCTGTTTCTTTCTTGAGCTGGGTGTAAACACTAATGCGAGAGTGATCAACCCCCTTGTTTACATACCTTCCTATTTTAGAGTTTCTGCTTTGGAATATTTAGATTAACAAGAATATCATATGTACAAATATCACAAGAAGAAAGTCTCCAGTTTTAGGTTAGATTGCTAAGCAGTTGTAATTCAAATATGAGAAAACTTGAAGTTTTATGTTCTTAGCCACATCATGTGCTCTACAAATGTTGCGACAGTCTTTCCTAAGGAAGGTCCAGTTAAACCGCAGCCTCCTCTCAGTTCTCTCTAAATCCAGCAGGGAGTGTGTGTGTTGTTCCTTCTCCCTGTGTCTTGATCTCAAGAGGTACCTTAGGAAGGCTGCAGTTGGACAGCTGAGCCAAAGCCACAAAGACCACATTTAACTCTCCTCATTTGGGTACATTTGACATGTTCTCTCATCTTATCACCATGGAAATCCCACAGAGAGAGTGTGAGTGAGGGAGAGGGGAACTGAAAAGGACTCACCCACAAGACATTACTGCCACACCCAGAAGCAGGTTGGTGAGAGGTGGAAGCAGCCCCCTAGGTCTCCTCAGCTGCTGGGTCTAACCAGCCCCTCATAGGGTGTGGGATGCTCAACCCTGTCCCAACTTCCCTCCCTCCCTCCTGTGGGGCTAAAAGGCAGCCTCAGCTCCATTCTTCAAGCTTCTTTCCTTGCATTCCTCCCCTGACCCTCAGCCCCATGACTCTGTCCCATAATATTTACCTGCAGTAGGCAGATGTTCAGATCACCTCACCCAGGAAACCTCCCTCAGAAAACTTTGCTTCTTCTATTACCCTCTGAAAATTTTATTTCTATAATTATTTATCTTAATTTTGGTGAGCCTTGTTGCATATTTAATCATTAGCATCCTACTGGTTTTTTGTACTACACTATTTCTTCGTGTTCCTGTTCAAGCTACCCTACAAAAACCAACTATCCTGCCAGCTTGGCAGAGTGCCTTTATATTTCATAGATGCTGCCTGATTCATGAATTGCTAACAAAAGCCAGTTAGATTATTGAACTACATCTATTGAAATTTTGTTTTTTGACATTGTAAGTATGAAAAAGAGCCCCAAGAATATTTGACATAGAACACAAAGGTAGCCCAGGAGTGGGGTGTATGAGGTCAAGAGAATGGAAAGGGCTGGGCGTGGTGGCTCAAGCCTGTAATCTCAGCACTTTGAGAGGCCGAGGTGGGCAGATCATGAAGTCAGGAGATCGAGACCATCCTGGCTAACACGGTGAAACCCTGTCTCTACTGAAAAAATTAGCCAGGTTTGATGGCACACACCTATAGTCCCAGGTACTCGGGAGGCTGAGGCAGGAGAATCGCTTGAACCTGGAGGCGGAGGTTGCAGTTAGCCGAGATCGTGACACTGCACTCCAGCCTGGGTGACAGAGAAAGATTCCGTCTCAAAAAAAAAAAAAAAAGGGGAATGGAAAGGCCAAACAGGGAAAGACCACAGAAAAAACATTGAATCTGAATGTGATATTTGGGGCAGTGGAGAGGCAGTGGAATGAGCCTCAAAGGATAGAACTTAACACCATTTAGAGTAGTATAAACGTGTGTTGTGTCAGGTGGATTCTCAGAAGTCTTATATGGCAAGTTCTAGTTAGTTTTTGGTCTCCAACACTGTGACATGGTTGATAAAATTTCCTAACATTAAATAGGCTGTATCATGTAAGCAAAGATTTCTTAAACAGATTACAAAAATAAATTGCTTATACAGAAAAAGACTGATAAAGCAGACTTCATTAATTCCAAGAACTTCTCAAAAAAGATACCACTAAGAGAGTAAAAAGACATGCCACAGACTTAGAAAAAATATTTGCAACTCATCTATCCAACAAAGATTCAGTATTTAATGTACTTAAAGAAATCACACATCAATAAGAAAAGGACAGTTGACTCAAATACAGTGACTCCTTGAACAACGAAGGGGTTAGGGGGCAGCAATCCCTGTGCAGTTGAAAATCTAGGTATAACTTTTGACTCCCCAGAAACTTAACTACTAATAGCCTACTGTTGACCAGAAGCCTTATTGATAGCATAAACAGTCGGTTGACACATATTTTGTATGTTCTATGTATTATATACTGTCTTCTTTCAATAAAGTAAGCCAAAGAAAAGAAAATAATAAGGAAGAGAAGATATATGTACTATTCATTAAGTGGAAATGAAACATCATAAAAGTCTTCATCCTCATGATCTTCACTTTGAGTAGGCTGAGGAAGAGGAAGAGAAGGAGTTGGTCTTGCTGTCTCAGGGGTGGTGGAAGCAGAAAGAAATCTGCACATAAGCGGACTTGCACAGTTCAAACCCATGTTGTTCAAGGGTCCATTGTAAATACAATTTTATGAGAGGAGAGGCAAATGGCAAAAGACTTGAACTTCACAAGATATTCAGGGAAATGCAAATTGAAACCATCCCTTGCTCTCAGAATGGGGGGGAAAGGGTGGTGACAAAGACATGGAACATCTGGAATTCTCATACATTGTTTTTGGGAGCAAAATTGGTATGAACATTTTGGAAATATATTTTTAATAGAAGTATCTACTAATAGCTATATAAACACATACCCTATAATCCAAAATTCCATTCCTTAGTGCACAAGAATAGTCATAGCAGCAGTTTGAGTCCCAACTGAAACCAGCCCAAATATTCATTAACAATAGAATGAATAAGCACATTGTGATAAATGTATGAAAATGGGATATTACTCAGCAATGGAAATGAACTAGCACTAACATAGCAATGTGGATGAGTCTCACAAACATAGTAAAAGAAGCCCAACATGAGAATGATTTTGAAACTGCCTTTGCAAAATTATGACTGAGACAGTGAAAGAGATCTAACTTAACTGACTCCATCTTGCTTCTAACTTCCAAGCTGTCCTTGTTCATTACTGGGTGTAGGTTGAACTAACTTTGGGAGAAACTTAGTTTGTAGTTTATAATTTAAGCAAAGATGGTAACAGCTCTTTCCCAAAGCATACCTCCTTCTTTCCTGGGGACTAGACCAACATTAGCCACAAGATTAGAAATTATGGTTTAGGAGTCATGCAGCTGGAAGCTACAAGATTCTGATTCTCCCTAAACTGCTCCTAAGATCAGGGCTTGAGATATTTTGCAGACCCTGCACTTGTTGGATCAGCTGGCACCACCCAGATGATTAACTGGCTCATCTGATCTTGTGGCCCCGCCCAGGAACTGACTCAGCGTAAGAAGACAGCTTCAGCTCCCTATGATTTCATCCCTGACCAATCAGCACTTCTGGCCCCACTGGCTTTTCCCCACCCACCAAATTGTCCTAAAAAACTCTGCTCCCTAAATGCTTGGGGAGACTGATTTGAGTAATAATAAAACTCTGGTCTCCCACACAGCCGGCCCTGTGTGAATTACTCTTTCTCTATTGCAGAGGGCAAGGTGAACCCCTTGGGCAGTTACAAATTCATTTACATAAATTTGAAATGACAAAAACAAGTTATGGTGATCACATCAAGATAGCAGTTATCTTTAGGGGAGTGGGAAGTGACTGAGAGAGACACAGGGGAAATTCTGGAATGATTTTTATGTTCTATTTCTTGATTTTATGAAGGATACACATTTCTGGTTTTTAAAAATTCATCAATTTGTACACATTTATGAGTTTTATATTTGTCTGAGTGTGTTATATGTTAATAAAAATTCTGTGGTAAGTCTGGGCATGGTGGCTCACACCTGTAATCCAGCACTTTGAGAGGCCAAGGCGGGTGGATCATCTGAGGTCAGGAGTTCGAGTCCAGCCTGGCCAGCATGGTGAAACCCATCTCTACTAAAAATACAAAAATTAACCAGGCGTGGTGGTGGGTGCCTGTAATCCCAGCTACTCAGGAGGCTGAGGTAGAAGAATCACTTGAGCCCGGGAAGCCGCGGTTGCAGTGAGCCAAGATCATGCCATTGCGCTCCAGCTTGGATGACAAGAGGGAAACTCTGTCTCAAAAAAAAAAAAAAAATTATGTGGAATATGGTTCCCATGTGAGTCTGACTTGGAGCTCTGCAGCCTTTCTGGGAGGAGATGCCTCATCTCCTCCATGAGAGTGGGCAGAAAGATAAGAGAGGCAATGAAGAGTTATCAAGGTTCAACCTCATGAGAAGCCTTGTGAAGTGACAAAACAACTTTACCATGAACCCATGTACACTCAGTGCCAAAGGAGAGCCACTGCTTGAGGGAAGGCTCACGCAACAAGGTGTAGGGGAGGGCCTCAGAGAGACAGCAGACACTGCATCTGGGTCTTGCTCTGCCCCATGAGGCAGGCACTGTTGTTAGAGAGAAGAAAACTGAGGCATGTAAAGATTTGGTACAGAGCCCTGGGTCACATGTGTTGAAGTGGCAAGATCTGAATCCAGGATTTGAACTTTCAGCAGCCTGTCTTCAGAGCTTGAGAACTTTACTACTATGCAGTGGAACCTCTTGCAAAGGCAAGGTTGTCCAGTAGACATGGAAAGTGAGCCACATATGTGGTTTTAAATAATCTAGCAGCCACATATGAAAAAGCAAGAACGAGGTGAAATTAGTTTCAATATTACATTTTAACCTGATATATCCAAGATATTATTTCCACATGTAAGAAATACAAGAATAAAATTAGTGATGAGATAGTTCACTATTTTTAAAATACTGATATTTCACTGTTTAAAAGTCTTTGAAATCCTGTGGATATTTTCTATTACAGCACATCTCTGTGTTGTACTCTCCCATCAGATTAGCACTCTCCCATCAGATTAGCACTCTCCCATCAGATTAGTCCTTCTGCTTCATTGGTCAGAATCACATATCCAAACCTAAATAATTATTGCTGTAGAAGACCAAAAATGTGCCATCCAGAGTAGGACTGTAGGAGACCTGAAAATGATACCCCCAAATATGCCTCCTCGTCATAAGGATCATTTTGAAGGGATTATTTTGAGAAACTGCACACATGAGATTTACAGCACATCTCTATTTTGGACTAGCCACATTTGCAGGGTTTATATGGCTACTGGCCACTGTACTGGATGGCGCAGGTCTAGAGAGCTGGAAAGAAAAGAGGAAGACTATCCCAGTGAGAGGAGCGGCCTGGGCAAATGCTCAGGACAGGAGTGCTCTGAGCATTTGGGGCATCTTTCATGAACGGCCTGAATCTGAGCATTCTGACAACTGCTTCCAGGGAAATATGTTCTGCCACCTGGCAGACTCTTTTCTGCCTCTAGTAATTAGAGCTGAAAGTGCACATCCAAATGGGCCTCACTCAGAATCTCATGAACACACAGGCTTTCAGATCCACAAGTCAGGATGAGGGAGAACCTACTTTCAGCCATGTCCCTGTAAGTCTCCAAGTCTCCAAGGCCAAGCCTGGCCCTAACGCCCTCCATCTCCACCTGACCCCCAACCTCCTCAGGCCTGTCCCTCCTCTCCCTGCCAAGCAATCCCTTCTCAGGCTCATTCATCACTGTCCTTACCCCTACCATCCACCTCCATCCTCTTCCTCATTCCTGACTTCACACTTTGGGGCTGCTATTCTTCCTTCTTGCCTCCTCCTCTCTGCCTCTCCAAATCTCCCCAACAGTTTCCTTAGGACCTTAATGTAAGCTGTTTACATGATCTGTGAAGAGGCCAGCTCTCACCTGCAATCACAGTTTGGGCTGTACAAGCCAGCATTGTTCTCATATCCCATATGTCATAGTCTGGTCAGTTTCACAGCCAACTTGTCCCCCAACTAGAGCCATATCTTTTACCAACACAGTGTCAGAGAAACAGGAGGCAACTTAAAAATAAGCGTCATGAGAATAAAATCTCCAGGGACTGAAAGAAACAGAGTTCTCCTGCCAACAGGACTCTTAAAAGGTGACATTTTATAGTCGTTGTGCATTTGCCAAATAATGTCCTGCTAAATCATTCCTTGGAGTCTGTCTGATTACAGCGTTAACTATGAATTAATTCTCCATCTGTATAGGAAACAATGATATGCAGTAATGTGAACTATGTCCATGTTTAACTCATTTAGAAATACTGGCAAGAGGCTGGGAGCAGTAGCTCACGCCTGTAATCCCAGCACTTTGGGAGGCCGAGGTGGGCGGATCGCCTGAGGTCAGGAGTTTGAGACCAGCTTGGCCAACATGGTGAAACCTGATCTCTAGTAAAAATACAAAGATTAGCCGGGCGTGGTGGCGGGTGCCTGTAATCACAGCTACTCAGGAGGCTAAAGCGGGAGAATCACTTGAACCAGAGAGGCAGAGGTTGCAGCAAGCCGAGATCGCGCCATTGCACTCCAGCCTGGGCGACAAGAGTGAGACTCCGTCTTCAAAAAAAAAAAAAAAGAAAGAAAGAAAGAAAAGAAAAAGAAATACTGGCAAGAGTGGACTGAGGGATGTTCATTTGCAGACAAGCATGCCATGCAGGTGTGGGGGTGTTGTAAACAATGACAAGCGTTAGGGTCAGCTGCCACCAGAGATACATGACATGTAAATAAATAATGTTCTCAAATGTCTGCAATGATGCCTTATTTCTATGTAACCTCAGAAAAATTTAATTAAAATAATTTTACTATCATCCCTGAAGGCATGGTCCTCTCTTTGAGGTCTTCATCAAGTAATACTGGCAAATGCTCTGTTTCTGGGAAACAGGTAGCTATTTCTTTTTTCTTTTCTTTCTTTTCTTTCTTTTTTTTTTTTTTTTTTTTTTTTTTTTTTGAGATGGAATCTATCTCTGTCACCCAGGCTGGAGTGCAGTGGCACATTTTTGGCTCACTGCCACCTCCGTCTTTTGGGTTCAAGAGATTCTCGTGCCTCAGCCTCCTGAGTAGCTGGAATTACAGGCACCCGCCACCACGCTCATCTAATTTTTGTATTTTTAGTAGAGACAGGTTTTCACTGTGTTTGCCACTGTTCTTGAACTCCTGACCTCGTGATCCACCCACCTCGGCCTCGGAAAGTGCTGGGATTACAAGCGTGAGCCACCACGCCCAGCCACAGGTGGCTATTTCTACAAATAAAACCAGTGGTTGCCAGGACAATTAATAGAGGTGTTCTGTAAACCACAGGGCTAAACCTCTGTGCCAGGACCTGAGTCAAGTGCAAGATCAGCTGATAACTTGCAGAGTTGCTTCCTCTCTGACCTGCTTCTCTGCACATCTGTGAAATGGAAGGAAATGAGCTTATATCATGAGGTGGAATAAAACACTAACTAGAATGTACACCTATTGCAGGACTCTGCTGCTCACTGAATGGAGTCCTCAAGAGAAAGAGAATGAATGTGCCTTCTCTGATCCTCCCTAAAGTAGAAATGAAGCTTTAAATCTAGTTTCATAAAAAAAATTATTGTGGGGTGCAGGATATGAACATCAGGAGGAGAGAGCAGAATTAAGCACATCATTAATTCATGGTGTCCAGTCATCATCACTCTGGGCAAGGCTCTTTCTCGTTTTGTTTGCTCTTTTTTGTTTTATGTGAGTCATCCCTGACTTCTACTTGCCCCCAACCTCCCCGCAATACGTGCTCACTGAGTGTTCTTGGGTGTGTGTATATAGCAATACATTTGAAATTTTATGATGTTGCATTATCTCTGTCTATTCTCTATATATAAATGGTAGTAACTATAAAGCTCATTCTTTCTCTTCCTTTTTCACTCAGCATTATGCTTTTAGAGTTGTCCAGAGCTTGACGCACACTGTTCCCTATTTACCTACCCATTCCCCAGCGGTGGACACAGAGGTAGAGCATCAAGCCTAATGGTTAAGGCTTCATCCACAGGAAGCAGGCTGCCTGGCATGACACCCTATTCACCAGCTGTGCGAACTTAGCCCATTTGCTACACCTCCCATGCCTCAGTTTTCTCATTTCTAAAGTGGAGATAGTAAGAGTATTGAGAAGATGTAAAGTGTTTAGCACACATAAGCATCTAGCAAGTGTTAGCCATCAGCATCTGTATCATCGTTTTTATTCCCACACCCAGTGCCGCAATGAACACCCTCATACACATCCTTTTATGGGTCCATGCCTGGGTTTGTCTGGGGTGTAGGCTCTAGAAAGGGGTGGTTGGGTCACAGGGTGTAGACACACTTCATTTCACCATGTACTGCCAAATTGCTCTCCAGAATGACTACCCCAGTCTACAATCCCACCATCAGGTCCTGAGCATTCCGGGAAAGGTTTTTGCAGCCAGAGAGAGCACAGATTTTTAACATCTCCCCTCCAGTTGCACTGACATCATCTGTCTGAGAGACTTCTGTCCAAGTTGGATGGAGAAACAGCTCTAAGACACGTGGCTGATTTAGCAGTCTGTGCTATTCTGCACTCTAGAGCCCTAAGCCCTGTGGGGATTATGAAACAAGGGGGAATCAGAATCACCCTAATGGGGAGGAGAGCTTCAACGTGCCTCCCCAGGGGCTTCTGACCTCCACACTCTAGAAGGATGTGGACCTCTAGTTCATTCCCTGTGGGTAAAATCCCTGCCTCTGGGAAGCATTGTCACTGATGGATGATGTCAGCCCAGGACAAAAGGCAGAGAACCACGAAGGGAGGACAGCCCTTCAGTGGCTCAAGGCCCTGGAGAAGCTGGAAGATGATGATGCAACTTGATGGGTCAGGGGCACTGAATGTCCCTTATTCCAGAAAATTATTCTATTGTCAAAGATCTCTCCACAGCCTGGAATACCAGAAATGCCACTATTTAACTCATTCTTTAGAATTAAGCCCACATTTTCTCTGGAAGACCATGCACTATCAACAGTTACCTTGGAGGGCTCTGGGCTCAATGCCTGTTAGTACCAGAGAGTGTAAAAGATCTAAGCAGTAGTCACTGAAGAACTTGGACATCTGATAATTCTTTGGTAGGTGAAGCAGGAGATGTGTGTCTCAGGCTCCCTGGGGATGATGAATATAGCTCCGGGAGAGATGCGGAGGCTCATGTAAGTGTACCATCTAAATCCAGTCTGGCATCCACATCATACTCCGTTTTATGAGAGGCAAGTCAGTAAAATTTTGTTTCCTCTGTGTATGTCTGTCTCATAAGAGTTCATTAAACTTCAAAGGCAGAAGCCATGCAATTCACCCATTGCCTCACCCACTGGTGAGCTGTTTCTTACTTGGTCATCCTCCCCTTCTAAAAGGTAACGCTCTGGCTCCCAATTGTGCTGAAGCTGCTAGGAAGTGAAATTGACACTTGGATATATGAAGGTTTGTAGCCCCCAGGGATGAGAAGCAGAGAAAGAAACTCTGAATCAGGTGATGAGCAAGCAGCTTCCTGCCTAGTGAAGCAACAATCACGTGATGCTGATGGACTCTAGGCTTTCACACTCTGGTCTCAGACCTGTCTGCTAAGTATTCAAATTTTTGGATGCTAGAGAAGATAGTGAAAAAAGATTTATATTGGCATAGCAATAGATCACCAATTTAAAATATTGTTTATTTTTCATTACTTTTTATTCCATGTAATTTTTTCGGTACAGCAATAAGCTGACATCTAGCAACAGATATTTGTTGATGAGTGAGAAGTCAGTGAAGGACAGGGCTCCTCACTTAGTTCTCAGATCTCACTAAGGCTTGAGACCACTCTCACTTTCCCACATGGCCATTGATACCATAAGGTAAATATTGATTAAAATTAAAGAAATGGGCCAGGCGCAGTGGCTCACACCTGTAATCCTAGCACTTTGGGAGGTGAGGGTGGGCGGATCACGAGGTCAGGAGTTCAAGACCAGTCTGGCCAACATGGTGAAGCCCTGCGTCTACTAAAAATACAAAAAAATTAGCTGGGCGTGGTGGTGGTAGTCCCAGCTACTCAGGAGGCTGAGGCAGGATGATTGTTTGAACTGGGGAGGCAGAGGTTGCAGTGAGCCGAGATGGCACCATTGCACTCCAGCCTGGGCAAAAAGAGCAAAACTCTGTCTCAAAAAAAAAAAAATTAAAGAAATGTTGAAATCTGATACAAACATCTCAGCTGGAGGGTGGTTAAGCTACGGTTGAAGCATTAGTCTGATGTGTGGCAGGATGGGAATCCGAGGGGCCTGAAGCCTGGGCCAACAGCTGGCTCAAGAGAGAGAGAGATCAAGGTCCTGTGAAGACCAGGGTTAGAAAGTGGGTCAGCCTAAGAAACAATGATGCTTACAATGAACCCCTTAGAGAAGGCAGGGACTGATGTTGCAAAGGCAAGGATGATTTAAACAAGGAGCATCTGATGGAAGAGTGGAAGAGACAGGTTGAAAGGTGACAGTGGTGCTGGGTTTAGGGACAGGGATCTGGTGTGCAGGCAGTGGGGGGTGCTGAGATGAGTAAAATAACAAGGAATAAAAGAAGTAAAGGCTTGAGATCTGGGTCTAGAAGGAACTCTGTTACAGTTTCCCCTTACCCATGTTTTCTCCCTTTACAGCATATTCCATCCCCATCTCCTCCTCCCACTCCTGCGTACAGGCAGCAGGGCTCAAGCTAGACCCTATGGCATCCAGAGGAGGGCATCTGCTGGGGGTTTGTCTCTCCAATTTGGTGTCAAATTGGTATTAATGAGTGTCCTTTTCTCTACCTTCTGGAACCATGCCCTGCTGGATTCAAGCCTCTGTGGCCCTCCAAGTGAGGCCCCTAAACCCATCCAAAGGTTTTCCCTGCCCCAGAATAGACAGGCCCAAGAAGAGAAGTTTACCCAATCTTGCCCACCTATCTAAGTCCTGGACCCAATCACTCTGGCCTCTAATCTGTCTCTGACTTTGACCCCCAGCTCTAAAAACTGCGCCAGATTCTTCACTCAAAAACATTTATGGACCGTCTACTATGAAACAGGCATGCTCATCCTTCCTGGAGATACAGTTGTGAACAAGACTCTGTCCCTATGGTCATGGAGACTATTGCCTAGTGAGAGACAGAATTCAGTAAAAAGGCAATTTCAGGAAGATGTGATAAATACTGGGATGGGGAAGTGGGAACACTTAGGAGGGCAGGGGGAGGCAGAGTGGGGCAGAAAAGACTTCCTAGAGGAAGTGAGAGCTAAATCCAGATGCAAAGGACCAGTAGAAGTGAACCAAGCAAAGAAGAGGTCTGTGGGTGTGGGCAGGGCAGTGATTTTGGAGGAAGGAATGGCAAGTTCAATAGCTCAAAGGCTAAAGTGTAGGACAGGTTCAAGGATCTGAAGATAATATGGCTGAACCCAGAGGATCATGGAGATGGGGCTGGAAATGTGATGGCTTCCTAGATCGCTGTGTGAAAAAGTGTGTCCACTGAGCATCCAGGCTTGGAAAGAAAAAAAGAGTCATATCTGCCCTGGATTGTACTATAAATTTCTTGAAAATAAAAACTGTGCTTATTCATCTCTGCATCCCCAGTGCCTTGCAAAGTAGGCACAGTAATCTGTCAATAAACTTTCTTTCAAGGGTTCAATTATTGCATGGGCTGGCTAATAGCTTTTCTCTGCCTACAATTCCATATGATGAATCACTGCAATGCCAGTGTTACGGTTGCATAGTAAGTATTAGAGCAAACGCTGGTCTCAGTCAGGTGGTAGTGGTATGTTAAGAATACACAGACTAAAACAAAGATATTCTACATTCTATACACTCAATACATTCCAAGAGGGATTAAAGATATATCAGGATCCCCCCGCCACCACATAGTACTACACGTGGACACGTTTGATTTATATGTCTCTTTTCTTCTTCAGAAGTTCTTTTTCTACCCCAATTTGAAATGTTTTATAAAAATTTTTTGAGGTTATTGCAGTTTTGTAGCAGTAATATGGTAATGACTCACCTATATTTCACAATAAATTACTGTAAAAAGCAACACCCACAAGCTTGCCAATGAATTCCTCAGTTATCCTCTCTATGACCTATGAAAATAGCAATGTTTTCTTTAATCATCAGCATAGAGATTACTGAAGACTTTGTCTACAATTTTAAAAAACATAATTCAGCACTAAAATAATATAACAGAATTGGATTATCTTAGATTTTAATCTCTAAACACAAATTCCAGATTATGTCAAAACATATAAGTATTCCTGAGTTACTATTAGGGTCATAGAAGAAAACATATTTCTAATAGGTTCTAGGAAAGTGATGAAAATGAGGTAGTATTCCATAAATAGAGGAAAATGTAAATTGGGGTAACAGTAAGGCTTTGGATTTAAGTGACAATTGCTCCTGACCTTCTCAAAGAATGATTACCCACAAGCTCAGGCTACCCTGCTTAAAATTCTGCAAGTCAAGCTGGTTTATTCAGGATACAGCAGGTAGGATGTATCTGAGGAATCTCACTCTGAACTTATTGTGGCTACTGGTTAGGATAGGAATAGGGTGAAAGATGAGGCCTGGCTCATTTGGAGTTAATGGTGAAATATAAGAGGAAAGGGATGGAGTTAATGGTGAAATATAAGAGGAAAAGGATGGAAATATATTAAAAGCTGGTGAAATATAAGAGGAAAGGGATGGATATTCAAGCAAAAGGTCAGCAACACTTTGGTCTTTGCAACCAAGCAATTATCTTTATATAGCACCCCCTTCTTGGGAAAAAGAAACTGTGTTCAAAAGATCAAAATTTTAAATCAGAAGAATTACATGGTTAAGCATGAAATTAGTGTGAAGTCAATGATTAGAAATTCTTCAAGTATATTTTTATTTTACAGTAGCATATCTATTTTAAAAGCTATTTAATTCAGAAATGTTTAGATAAGGGATATGTTGATGGAAACTAATCAAACTTTAAAATTGCTGGTGCAAGCAGATTTATTTTCTTAAATCTTGAATGATTTTGCTGTTAACATGTTCTTTTCAGCAGTCCGGAACAAAATAAGTATATAAATTCTAACTTCAAATAACATAATTATTACTCTTTGAAAGCTAGAAAAACTGAATCAAGAAAACTTTCATGGCTTTTCCCTAGAGCCAGGAAAAGTGGAAGGTTCCCTAACTATGAGAAAGGCCAGCCTGACCTTTTCTGTGAGAAATAGAACCATGCAGATAGTAGTCAGATGAGGCTTCAGCTTCCAAGAGCCCTACCCTGAGTGTCCTATTTTAAATTGAGAACACTCCACCCTGAAACTTCCCATCCCAACCACTTTACTCTGTTTTTTTCCATAGCACTTACTTCCTTCTAATATGCTATTTACTTTTTATTGTCTGTCTCGGTTCACCAGAATGTAAGCTCTACAGAGGTTAAGGATTTTTTTTGCCAGTTTTGTTCGCTGATGTATCTCACCTTCCTAGAACAATGCCTGGTACATAGTAGATACTGAATTTGTCCTTATGTAATCAAAACTGGGAGACAATAGACTAAAGAAGGAAGTTCAGAGTATTAAGGACAAGTGCTAGTGATTCAAACTAAGTTATGAACAAATAGTGAAATATCTAACAGGGAGGGGCCAACAGTTAAAATTCAGTGAGGACCAGGATACCAAGCTGCTCAGAAGCTTTAAAGTCCAAAGTAAGTCAGCAAAGATTGAAAGTCCAGAAGACATTTAATTCTTTGGCAGACACTTTAGCTACCTACTCACTCTCCACTTCCCACTTTTACTCACCATCTGAAACCTTTATTTTGGTTATAATAACATTGTGCACCACTTCAGATGGGGATAAATGGACTAAGCCAATTATGACCATTCTTTTCCCCGTTTCTCAGCTGCTCAGTCCAGGCCAGTGAGAACTAAATAGAAGTCAACTGGGCACATTCTGGAAAATAGAAATTAGTTTTGCTGGTAAATGGAGACATAAATGATTGGCATAGCCTTTCCCTCTTCTTCCTACCTTGCGCATGGACATTAGAGCTGGAGCTGTCCCAGCCACCTCAGGTGCTCAGGGAAAGACCAAGAGAATTCTCTTTATTTAATTCACTGTACAGGTTATTTACCTGCTTGTTCCAAAATTTATTTTGGACCCTTACCTATAAATAAAATTTCCAAACTCCCTTGCCAACTGCCTCCAGCTAGATATGGTCATTGGCAGCACTAGGAGGAAATTGAGGAATAAGAGGAATGGAGAAGCCAGGGGATTTATCTTCCCTTCCTCTGCTTCCAGCAGTATCTCCAGTGTTGACATGGTCTTCTCCATAATCCCAGCCAATGCCAATGGGCCCTTTTCCATGGTCCCAGCTCCCACCAAGCAGCCATCTTACACATGTTACACATCCAGCTCCAGGTGACTCTGACTTCCAAGCTCTGGTACACACTATCTCCTTTCTTTGTCCCTTCAGTCCTGTGGGTGGTAGTGGCTTCCTGCTGTTACTAATCTTTAAGCTGCTAATCTTTAAGAAGCCCTATTTGGCTTCTCAGCTCTTCCAGTCTTTTTGTACCTCGTGCCCTGTATTAAATTATTTCTATTGGACACCTGGCACGAACTGAGCTTTCCTCTCTGGATCCTGATTTATACTACATCGTATTTGGCTTTTTCATTGCTTGACACAAACCACTCTTCAAATGGACTCAAACCTTAAGAAATAATTACAAATTCCTTATCTTGTGGACTGGTAGATTTTGTAAAGTCTATCCCCTTTTACAGGGTACTCATGGCCTCAGTGGGTAAGGAGAGAGTAAAGACAGCAAGTTGGTGTGGTTATATACGTGTGGATACATATACACACACATACATTTACATATATATACATATATAATCACATGGTTATATATGTCTTTACTATCTCCTTACCCACTGTGGTCATGAGCACCCTCTAAAAGCCATGGCTGCTCCCTGCCTGGGAGATTCCAAAATTTGACTCTTCCATGTTATACTTAGAACATATTTTCTTATTTTATCTCTGACTCGCTCCATCCCAATGGCTCTATACCCTGACTCACCCTTTCTGCCAAGCTCCTTAAGATAGATAACATATTTAGATAGCCTATCATCTCACCCCAAGATTTCCCCTCCTCAACTTCTCCCTTGGATATACTCACCTTCAGCCATAAAGCAAATGATGTACTATTCTACAGTTCACCAGTAGTCTCTTGGAACCAAAAACAGCCTGGACCTAAAAGCATCTGGCCTTCTACCCCTGCAAAGAAAGATCCAAACAGTATGTATGTGTGTATGTGTGTGCACATGTATTGCAGGATGAATTTAAAATTTCCTTCTTCTCATGGGTGCAGGACAGGATAGACACTTTGGAGGATAAACAAATTTATTATTTCAACCAATATATATTTAGCTTTTGCTTTGTGCTTATATGCAAGGGATACAGCAATGAACAAAGCAGATAAATCTCTGCCCTCTGGCCTCCTAAAGCTGATTCTGACTCTCCAGAATGGCAAAGAGAGCCATTTACTGCCAGTAGGTCCTGTTATTAAGGTTATTAAGGTCATGTTTCCATAAGAGATAGGGTCAAAGTTTTGGTTTCAAAAGGAATACCCTTTCTCCTTATAAGATTAGATTGTGTTGTCCTCCCAAAAAATGACTGCTCATTCTAGCAACGTGTGGCTTGCTCCCTGGGAAAATCAGCAAGAAATAAACCAGAATGCTAAGTGATAAGTAGACCAAAATAAAGTGATGTCAACAGTTTTACCTTCTCTCATTGGCTGGAATTCAAACCCTCCTCATCTACAGTCAGCAATTTGGGGGCTTAGAACATGATACTGCAAAGTATGGTGCCTTGGCATGCTAAGTACTTTGAACTGAAGGAGATTGGAAGGACCTCAGAAGCAAGGTCTCTCTGACCTTCCCCCGCCCTCTGGTCTTCCACTTCCCTTTCTTCCCTGAAGGGAGTCAGAGAAACCAGAATTCCTCTTCCCCATGGCAGATCATAAAAACTAGAACTCCACTCGCCCAAAGCAAGCTATGAAAACTAGAAAGGTCACTCTCTCTCTTCATCCTGCAAGACCCTCACTCCAGAGGGTCCAGCCCCAGGGAAAGGAATGCTACAGAGAGAGGCCAGAAAGAATCTGAGCAGACAGCCCTTGCTGGGTTTATCCCCTCAGTCTATCAACATTAGATCATACCTTTTTGCCTAGGCACGTTTCTACACAGCTGTGCTTTCTTCATCAAACTTAAGTGTAAAAACGGACACTTTTCCCTGGGTCTTTTGGTCTTCATTTCTGAAAGTTCCCATGTGACATAAGAATTTGTATTATGCTTTTTGCTTGTTAAACTGTCTTTTGCTACAAGAATGTTGGTGGTGACCCTTATGATGGGTAAGGAAAGGCATCACACCTTTCTGCCCTGATGCAATACCTGAGTGGGAGTCTTCATCAGCATTCAGTCCAGGACTGAGGCACCTAAAATGTGAAGGATGTGTGAAGGGAAAATAAATCTAGGGAAACCAAATTCACTAAGCCAAAGTGAAAAGTCAAGCTAGAAATTGCTTAGGGCAAACTTGCCTCTCATTCTATTTCTAAAAAAGATAGCTACTAAGAAAAAAAAAAAACAAAAAACTATATACCTCCCTCACAATTTGTCCACAAGGAAATTCCTTGCGGACAAAGGACAGACAGAACTCAAAGTTATCTCTCTACTCACTGAGATAAATGCACATCTGATTGCTTCCTTTGGAAATACTAATCAGAAACTCAAAAGAATGTAATCATTTGTCTCTTATCTATCTATGACCTAGAAGCCCCCTCCCTGCTTTGAGTTGTCCCGCCTTGCTGAAATGAACCAATGTATATCTTACATATATTGATTGATATCTCCTGTCTCCCTACAAATGTATAAAACCAAGCTGTGCCCCGACCACCTTGGGTACATGCCGTCAGCACCTGCTGAGGCTGTGTCATAGGTGAGTCCTTAACCTTGGCAAAATAAACTGCCTGAATTGACTGAGATCTGTCTCTGATATTTGGGGTTTACAGATGCAAAACGGGACTGGGTGGTAGGGAGGAGGACAACAGAATCTGTTTCTTACCAGGAAAGAGTGGAATTGTCAGAGAAAATAATGAGAGAGAGAAGGAGTGGGAGGGAAAAAGAGAGGGAGAAAAAGAAAGAGACACAGAAAAGAGAGATGAGAGATCGTGTCTTCATGGGACTCCCTCCTTTTGAAGGCTTGAATATGTTACTCCCTCCACAGCTACACTTGAAAATGTCATGCACATCCATGTGAAGAGACCACCAAACAGGCTTTGTGCGAGCAATAAAACTTTTTAATCACATGGGTGCAGGCGGGCTGAGTCTGAAAAGAGAGTTAGCAAAGGGTGGTGGGATTATCATTAGTTCTTATAGGTTTGGGATAGGCAGTGGAGTTAGGAGCGATTTTTTGCCGGCAGGGGGTATATCTTCTTACAAAGTACATTCTCAAGGGTGGGGAGAATCTTACGAAGTACGTTCTTAAGGGTGGGGGGATAACATTACAAAGTACCTTCTTAAGGGTGGGGACGGTATATTGTCACAAAGTCAATTGATCAGTTAGGGTGGGGCAGAAACAAATCACAATGGTGGAATGTCATAAGTTAAGGCAGGACCTGGCTATTTTCACTTCTTTTGTGGATCTTCAGCTGCTTCAGGCCATGGATGTATATGTGAAGGTCACGGGGGATATGGCTTAGCTTGGGCTCCAAAGACCTGACAGGAGAGATGTTCTTTAAGGTTCTATTTAGCTTCAACATTCCAGGATCTAAGATCTAAAGCAGGATGGAAAAAATCTCAAGTTTATTAACTGGATTATATCTTATTTGGTAAGGCTCAACATTTCTTAAGGAATAACACTGTATTTTTATTAGTTTTCATAAAGAAATAAAAAGTACATTCTAATTTTCAAAAGTAGTTATGAATTTTAATGCCTTATATGTCTCAAGAAAGGTCTGAGTTCAGTCAACTTGTTTGAACTGGTTTCTATAATCAAGATAAAAATTCCTTCTAAAAGTAAAAAATAACTGCTATATTAAACTAAAGTGAGATCTTTGAAATATTCTAATACTTACTTTGCCTTTATGATCTGGCTTAATCTTCACATCTACCCTATGAGGTAGATAGTATTTTAAATTTTGTATTTATAGGTGTGGAGATTGAGCTTTGGAAAAGCTGACTAATCTGCTCAAAGCCACCTGGCCCGTGGTGATGGAGCTGGGATCTGAACTCTGGCAAGTTGATAGCTAGCTATTTATTCCACTATCCTATATTGCCTCAGACACACTAGAGGATGTTAAAGTGGCAAAAGACAGTAAGAAAAGTCTTGAACTGTGCTTGCTTTAATCTTCCCTATGAAATTTAAAAGAAAAATCCTTGTTTATTTTTCTCTAATGAACATATATTGCTTCATTTTATAAAATGTACACTTGTGATATACATATCAATCCACTTTCATCAACTGATTGGAGTTATTCAGAGCAGAAAAAAATTTTCTAAACAACAACAACAAAAAATAATTTGAGCAAATAATTGTAAAGCTAAGCATAACTCAAGATACTGTTTCCCAAAACAGACTGCTATGAGTTGAATGTGACCCTTGAATTCATACGTTGGAAACTTAATCCCCAATGCAACACTGTTGAGAGGTGGGACCTTTAAGAGGTAATTGGGTCGTGAAGGCTCTGCCCTGATGTGGGGATTAAGGTGGTTAGGATGAATTCAGTCCCCTTCCACCGTCCACCGAGCTTGTGCTCTCTTGCCCTCTGCCTTCCTCCATGGGATGATGCAGCAAGAAGGTGCTTGCCAGATGTGGGCCCCAAGACCTTGGACTTCCCAGCCTCCCGAACTATAAGAAATAAATCTTTATTTTTATAAATTACCCAGTCTCAGGTATTCTGTTACAGCCACACAAAATGAACTATGACACAGACAAACCACTTCATATTTAATTAGAGCAGCACACATCCCAACCATATACAAAAACAGCTGTGTGTGTGTTTTCCAAGAGCAGGATCACCGTTTTCATGGTTTTATCATCATCACTATGAGACGTTTAAGAGCAAAGCAGAATATATTATCCAGGTTTCGGAAGAGAGGCAGGAATTTTAGCAAATACTTCCACGTGAAATTTTTGTCTAGCTTACTTAACAGGATTTTCAACCTGCATGATAAATAAACTTTTTGGATATTGGGCTGTTTACATTTTTCCTCTGTAAGTTTGAAAGATGATTTCTTCCAGTGAAATGGATGTGAAAATAATGGATGAAAGAAGTTGTAAGTGCTCCAGCACCTAATGTAAGATTGTACCCCACACACATTCTGTCCAGGAATGAGCTTATCAGGTGCCAGCCTCAAGGCAACTAGTCTGAAAGGACACTGAAGAGCTTTCCATTCTAAAGACACTTGTTTTCCAACTTCCTTATCTTTAAGTGAGGAGATAAGTAGCAACAAAACTATGTATATCACTTCCTACAGAATTCTTGCTCCCTTATCCACATAGCTTCATCCAGTTTCAAAAAGGAAATACAACAGACTTTATCACCCTCACTCAATGGCCCCACTGCAGCAAATCTTTGTGGTCTACAGCATAATTTTCCAGATTAGTGGAACAGATCCGTTTTCCAGATATTTGTGAACACAGCTGCTGACTGCCTTATCAGTGGGGGCAAGCAACAGGCAGCATAACCCGAGTTTATTTTTTTTAGTTAAAAATAGGAACATAGCCAGCTAGCACTCTGGGGTTGGGATGGTGAATGAAAGGATGTAGAAACCACAAAGAAAAGGAGAGAGAGAAAAAATGGCAAAACTCCACTATAGGGGGCTGGCTTTTATAAAAAATATTTTTTAATGCCTTTGACCTGACTCCTGATGGAGTTTATGAGTTCAACTCCTTCCATCTCTGTTGAATCTACAGTGAAGATCAGTCCTATCCTAAATTCCCAAATTCCTCCAACAAAGTGTTATATTCCACAGGTCAGGAGATTTATAGCCCTGGTTCACTAACGTTGTATGCAGAAATTGGGAACCGTGGTTCTCAACCTGACTTATGTAAGGGAGTCCCTTAAAATCTTTAAAAACTACTGAAGCCTGGACCCTCACCCCCAGCATTTTGGATTTAATTAGGCTAGGTACAGTCTTGACCTCAGAATTTTGAAACTCTCCCCATTTTTCTGGTCCTAGACAAGAGTGTGATGTGAGGCCCAATGCTCTCAAACCTGCTTCTTGAAACTGCCTTTGCAAAATTATGACTAAGACAGTGAAAGAGATCTAACTTAATCAATTCCATCTTGCTTCTAACCTCCAAGCTGTCCTTGTTCATTCCTGGGTGTAGGCTGTACTTACTTTGGGATAAATTTAGTTTATAGTTTATAGTTTAAAACAAAGACGATAACAGTCCTTTCCCAAAGCAGACCTCCTTCTTGCCTGCAGATTAGATTGCCTTTGTGGGACTAACATTAGCCACAAGATTAGAAATTATGATTTAGGAGTCATGCCACTGGAGGATACAAGATTCTGACCCTCCCTAACCTGCTCCTAAGATTAGTGCTTGAGGTATTTTTGCAGACCCTGCACTTGATGGATCAGCTGGCACCACCCAGAGCAATAAACCAGATCATCTGATCTTGTGGCCCCCACCGGGAAAATGACTCAGCACAAGAAGACAACTTCAACGCCTTATGATTTCAACCCTGACCAATCAGCACTCCTGGCTCACTGGCTTCCCCCCACCCACCAAATTGTCCTTAAAAACTCTGCTCCCTGATTGCTTGGGTAGACTGATTTGAGTAATAATAAGACTTCTGGCCTCCCGCACAGCTGGCTCTGCATGAATTACTCTTTCTCTATTGCAATTCCCCTGTCTTGATGAATTGGCTCTGTCTAGGCAGCCAGCAAAGTGAACCCCTTCAGCAGTTACATTCTGAGGCCCAGACTCTCTACCTGAAAATCAGGATTCTTTGGGACACAATAAGAAGGATTACACAAGTTCATGCCACTCTCCTGCCTCAGCCTCCTGAGTATCTGGTACTACAGGTGCCCACCATCATGCCCGGCTAGTATCTTGTATTTTTAGTAGAGACAGGATTTCACCATGTTAGCCAGGATGGTCTCGAGCTCCTGACCCTGTGATCCACCTGCCTCAGCCTCCTAAAGTGCTGGGATTACAGGCGTGAGCCACCGTACCCGGCCTGCACTTTCTAGCAATATAAAACCTCACAGATTTGAGTCAAAGCTACCAGGACTAATCAAAGCCCACCCATCCTTCTATCAGGGTAGATGTAGTAGGCCAAGGATGACTTCTTGGCCTGCTGTTTTCTTCTTGGACATGATATTGAGTCAAGATGAATTTAAACCCATAATCAAATAATGAGAGCTCATCCTCTGCCCCATAATTCACGTTGACCTGGAAAGTATATTACCTCCTTCCTAATTGCCATGTGAATTACATGCATCTGATGCTCAGAGGAGTGAAGGTAAGACCAGGATTTCAAATCTCAGAATTTGAGGTACATCTGATTCAAATTTAAAGCATTGCTGAAATGATGCATTTAGCAAAAAACATGATATCTCTCCCCGCAGTCCCCCTGAGAATATGTGCATAATAAAGGTATCATCCATTTTACATGCGAAGCCTTTGTGGTGTTTTCCACTGTCTCAAATCTAATCACAGTTAACCCAACAAAGGGATTACAGCTTTATCGGGAGTTTATTTTCCAAGACTGCCCCATGGCTCTGTGAGATATGGTATCCTGTTTTTCCCACTATGCTGAGCCCAAAGATCCCATTAAATAAAGTTGGACTCTTCAGTTATGCAGAAATATAAACAGTCTGCTCAGTGTGGCTTGGTATTATATTTTCATTTAGGAAAAAATAAATTTCTAATACTAAACAGTGTTGACCCCTGTAACTCAGAAGTTAAAATATAATAAAAGGAAATTCTAAAATTTCACCAGAAGAAAAGGCACTCTATATTCACATACACATGTTTTGCCATTTAATGTACCATAGCCGTAGAGTCTACCTGCTAGTCAATGATGTCTGAAGTTTTTCAGTGGATAAACTAGTGAGGGCATTCTATATCCCTTTGTAGTATGAAACAAACCCATCAGAAATCTTTATAGCACCAAATCTAATCTATTTTCTTGATACATAATTAGTTCAGCCCAATCTGAACATTTGGTATTGTGTGGGCTTGGTAACAGAGTAGCTGGAGAAAGATATAAATAGGGTGGCACGTCTCCACTGTGTAGGTTTCCATAGACTAAAGATCTAATACTGCCATGGTCCTCAGTAGGCCAAACCAGTGGAATAGATTGTCCAGGCCCAGGTATGATTAGGTTCAATCAACCTTTTTAACTAAAACAAAATTATTATATTTCCATGTAAAATTGTGAACTTAAATCCCAAGGAGGAAACCTATTATATACCTTCAGACCTCTACACACTCTCTTTCTACTAACAGTCATAGAAATTCAAGCCACGGGCCAGGCGCAGTGGCTCACACCTGTAATCCCAGCACTTTGGGAGGCCGAGGAGGGTGGATCACGAGGTCAGGAGATCAAGACCATCCTGGCTAACACAGTGAAACCCCGTCTCTACTAAAAATACAAAAAATTAGCCGGGCGTGGTGGTGGGTGCCTGTGGTCCCAGCTACTTGGGAGGCTGAGGCAGGAGAATGGTGTGAACCCAGAGGAGGAGCTTGCAGTGAGCCGAGATTGTGCCACTGCACTCCAGCCTGGGCAACACAGCGAGACTCTGTCTCAAAAAAAAAAAGAAAGAAATTCAAGCCACGTCTCCTCAGGTGTGTTTCCTTTGACGCAATGATGAATGATCTAGTAGGAGATGGTGGCAATGGCAGAAGGTTGTGGAACTGTTTCTTTTGAAAGGACGTTGATAACCCCATTCTACATTGGATTTTTGTTCACCCACATAGTTGCCTCTGGCTGTTACCTCCACAGAAAGGGAGATATTGCATTTTCCAAAATGGCTACAACAATATTTCCATCTTTCCTGCTCTTATTATGTGATCTCACCACACCCATATCTTGAAGGGAGTCTAATTCTCCTCAGTTTGAATCCGGAAAAAGCATATGGCTACTCCTACTAGTAGAATACAGCAGAGGTGATGCTGTGTGATTTCAAAGACTGAGTCATAATAGATAATGTAGTTTTTGCCTTGTTTGCTAGAATGTTTACACTTGGAGTCCAGAGCTGCCCTGTTAAGAAGCTCAACTACCCTGAGGTCACCATGATGTCAGGAAGCCAAACTCGATGGAAAGGCCATTAAGTGGGTACTGCACTTGACAGCCCAGTGTCATTCCCAGCAAACAGTCAACACCAACAGTGGGAGAGTTGTCTTGAATGTCTACACCAGTCTAATCTTCAGAGGACAGCAGCTCCGTGACATCTGACTCCAACTGCTTGAGAGATCTTATGCCAGAAATACCCAGCCAAGCTCTTCCCACATTCCTAGCCCCAAAGAATTATTAGCAAAATAAAACAGTTGTTTTAAAATGGTTGTTTTAAGCCACTAAGTTTTAGGGTAATTTGTTATGAAGCAATAGTAGCCAAAACAGAATTATTTCGTAGTCACTTTTATTTCCTATTGTTATGGGGCAGGCAGCGGAGTGGGGGGAGTGTTCCTTTTCCTTAGAGCTGCCAAGATGGTGACAGGCCGCTTCCAAGACGGCGGCAAGCCTCTTGTTCTCTGACCTGGGGTTCTTGGCCTCACGGATTCCAAGGAATGGAATCTTGGGCCATGCGGTGAGTGTTATAGCTCTATTAGAAGCCATGGGTCACGGAAGAGAACCGTGCAACCCAGCGATTAGTATTCAGCTTGCTTAGGACAAACCCAGGCACTTAGCTGTGCAGGAACAATGGCGAGCGTTTAGCCTGATCAGGAGCAGCAGTGGGAGCCTTGCTGGATCAGGAGCGCAGGGGGACACCCTGCTGCATCTGGAGGGGTGGAAGACAGCGTCAGGTCTGTGATGGCGGCAAACAGCAGTGGTGGATGGCCAGTGAAAGCTCAGCTGGAGCCATAACAAACACAGACCAGAAAAGTGTGCAGTTGCAAGATTTAATAGAGTGAAAACAGCGCCCATAAAATGGGAGGGGACCCAAAGGGGGTTGCCCTTGCTGGCTCCAATGCCTGGGTTTATATCCCGATTATTGTCCCTCCCCCTGTGCTCTCAGGCGATAGATGACTGGCTATTTCTTTACCTCCTGTTTTAGCCTAATTAGCATTTTAATGAACTCTCTTTACTACCTGACTGGTCGGGTATGAGCTAAATTGCAAGCCCCGTGTTTAAAGGTGGATGCGGGCCGGGGGCGGTGGCTCACACCTGTAATTCCAGCACTTCGGGAGGCTGAGGCGGGCGGATCACGAGGTCAGGAAATCAAGACCATCCTGGCTAACACAATGAAACCCCGTCTCTACTAAAAAATACAAAAAATTAGCCGGGGTGGGGGCGGGGTGGCAGGCGCCTGTAGTCCCAGCTACTTGGGAGGCTGAGGCAGGAGAATGGCATGAACCCGGGAGGTGGAGCTTGCAGTGAGCCAAGATTGCGCCACTGCACTCCAGCCTGGGCAACAGAGCGAGACTCCCTCTCAAAAAAAAAAAAAAAAAAAAAAAAAAGGTGGATGCGGTCACCTTCCCAGCTAGGCCTAGGGATTCTTAGTTGGCCTAGGAAATCCAGCTAGTCCTGTCTCTCACTATTATTCAGGCCGTTTCCAAATTTAAGAAAATCAGAAGTTTCGGGTCACCCTCAGGGAAGGGGCATCTTTTCTAACACACTTGACTGCTGAACTTTCCAACATCTTGGTGTTCCTAGAATCTGCTAACAGCCAATGGGCCCTGATAGGCAGCCATATTATTAGGGAATTAGGCATAGAAAATTACATTTACCAACACTCTTCTAAGAGAAATTGCTCTGTATATTTGGGAAAACACACTTTGATCAACTACATAGCAGGGATGAGTTGAAAATAGGGCAGAGTGAGATATTCAAGTCCATTTTCAAGTAGTAACAGTCACTAAACTTCCTTCTAAGAGGAGAAGGGAGTCATATATATTGTAGATTTTTTTGCTTTGTTGAGCACCTAGCTAAGTAGGGAATGCAAATTTAGGAGAAGAACTGAATTACTCAGCAAAATAGAGGAAACTGGACCATGCTTGGAAAAAGCAAAAAGGAAACACCCCATTTGCTGAGTAGCCATAATGCGAACTTTGGGAAACAGAGATATTTAACAGTGTTTTGAAAGAGTTTGCTGTGGAGCATATAAGAAAAATGGTATCCCCTCTCATCCTTAACAGAGTTTCAGTAAATAATGTATCGTTCAATAATTCTCCTGTTGCTAGTGGTTTAGGGAAATGCAAAAGTGTTGAAGTTAGCAAGGGGATGAAAAAAAGACTATATTCAGAAGCCATCAGAAAGCTAGGATAATCCCAGACTGGTAAAGATGTAGCAGGGACAAAACATTTAAAAAAATAAAATAAAATAAAAAAAGGATGAGGCTGAGTGTAGTGACTCATGCCTATAATTCCAGCACTTTTGGGAGCACTTTGGGCTACACAAGAGGATCACTTGAGGCCAGGAGTTCAAGACCAGCCTGAGCAGTATAAAGAGACCTCAACTCTACAAAAATAAAATTAGCCTGGCATGGTGGCACACACCTGTAGTACTAGCTATCAGGGAGGCTGAAGCAAGAAGGTTGCTTGAGACCAGGAGTTCAAGGCTGTAGTGAGTGAGCTATGATGGCACCACTGCACTTCAGCCTAGGCGACAGTGTGAGACCTTGTCTCTAAAAAACATAAAAATTTTTAAAAATTAAAAAGAATGAAAATTGCAAAAATAATAATTTACCTTATGGTATCACCCAGTTATGGAAGGTATTTTTTAAAAGAAGAATTTTATGCACACTGTCCTCTGAAGATTGGAAGAGAGAACAGGTACACACACAGGAATTGTTATGCACTTATCAGTACTTTTTTTCTCCAGGTGCTAATGATTATTTGATTTTGAAGGATAAAGAGACTTGTGGAGAAAGTTGGGCTATAGATAAATAGAAAAAGTCATATACCGGAGTCCCATAAAAATGGCTCAATGTTTTAACCAACTGCTACCAGTGAGTCTTCATCTCTTGCTCTTTTTTAGTCTTCTCAAAATTTTCCACTCATCTGTCCCATTTTTAGGAAATTAGTTCCAGTGTGAGTCTATCCTGATGAAACAATCTGCACTGAATTGTCACCCATTGAGTCTATTTTGTGTATTTTAGCTCCCAGGGTCCTGTGCATTTGTAGCCTATACAAACCTCTTACTCCATAAAGTTGGGTGTAAGAGAAGTATCTCATTTCTTTCTTCAAATTTAATCCAAATTTGAGTGTGAAAAAATGCTGAATATATGTGAAGAGATTTTTTTCTTGAGCTCTCCTTAGCTATCTTTTTGAAAGCAGAGCCTCCCAAAGGAATTCAATGATTATAAATCCCCTCCTTGAGAGTTAACCAGGGAAGATTGACTCCTATGGCTAGAGAGGAGAAGTTGGCACCAGGATAAGAATTTCTCTAAACAAACATCGCCAGAAAACTATCTTTATCTCCCATCCATTCTCTTAAAGGCCAGTTTACCTTTCCTAAAAGTCTTTTGTTTTCCTGTAAATGCCCTTTGTCCCACTCCCCTTCCCCTACTAAAGATGGTACATAAGCCCTCAACTTTAACCACTTCCTTGAGTCATATTTTTCTACAAACTTCTGTGTACATTCATGCATAAAATTTGTCTTGTCTCTTGCCAATTTGCTTTTGTCAGTTTAATTGGGAAGGCACCAAGTACTAAACCTATGAGGGTACAGGAAAAATTTTTCCTGCCCCACAAACCTCCTGCCTTCTAAGGTGTAGAAAAATTCAACCTCTCATTACTGGGGTTGGTCGGGAGGAATCTTCCCTTCAGGCTTCACCTATAATCTGGGAGACTCAGGCTCCAACTAGAATGTAGGAAATAGAGGGAGAACTGAAGGGAGGCCTTCAGTTCACCCTGATGATGATACATGCTCATTGTCCAGGTTTCATTGTTCCAGGATACTGTAGAGTCTGGTGTCTGTGTAGAATCCCCTGCTGTCTGTGGGCAGAGCCCTGTGCTGGCATCCAGCCACCTTAGCTGCAGCTTTCTTCAGTTTTGTCTCCTCCCTGAGTTTCTTCATGGTGCAGGGAGCACATCCCCCGACTCTCCATGCAGATTTCCATTCACTCCAGTCTTAAAGAATCACCCTTCTCAAAAAACACTTATTTCTCCCCCATCTCCCTAGTACAATCCACTCAAAGGGCTCAGTTATTGGGAACATAAGAGCCAGAAAGACCCATGGTTTATAGTAATTTTTGCTTCCTATGCCCACCACATAAACCTCTCTTGAGGCAAGGGAAAGGCTCAGAGGGCAAAGCTACCTTCCTGGGAGAAGGAAAGGAAAACACAAGGCAAAAAGAAAACAATGATATCTCAACAAAACACTCAAACACATATTTAACAAGTTATTCTGGAAGCAGCAACTACTGCTAAAAGTAGCCCTATTTGAACTCAACAGAATGGGTCCTTTAAAGTGAGTCCTCTAGTTCCTGCGGGCCATACCACAGCCCCTCCCCAGAAAGGCTACACCGGATTGGAACACAATCCACTTGAGAAAAATCTTGAGTTTGGGCATGTTATCCTTGGAGACACATTTCTCGTCATATAGCAACGCTTGTGGAGCTTTCATTTCCCCTCAGCAGAAAATTCCGAACTGAGATGGTCACCTTGAAGGTAACAGCACCCACAACAATCTTGGAATCTCTGATCACAATGTCCTTGCTTCTTTCTAAGGCAGGATTAACCGACCTTCCCTCTTGAGTTCAGTTTCCCTGCCCACTCCAGTCTCCACCCCATAAGAGATGAGACCTGCCTCCCAGGACATGGGCTTAAATGACCTCTGAGAGGTAAACATTGAGAAGACATTTTCCTGCCCTAGACCCTACCCTTCAGGCGCCTGTCAGCAACGATTCTGATGTTAGTGAGCCAAAGGCAGCCCTGTCCTACCTGGCTCCTGCCAGAAGCTGCTGCCTTTGAAAATAGCAGAAAGAGCTTTTTCTGTTAAGAGGAAGCAACAGAACCCCTGGCAACAAGCAGACCTCATACTTCCCTCAAGCCACTTGTTTACAGACGGGCCCAGAGTAGGGAAAATGAGGTCAAGGAGCCGCTTCTGTTTCCCTCTTTACTGGGCCTAGGTGACCTGAGAGATGACCTTCAGAACCAGATACCTTTATCTACTGCCTCGGTGCCTGTGAGACTTGTGATATCAGCAGGGTTCTGCAGAAATCCCTTGTTATCCTTGTAAAGATAACAAGTTAGAAGTCTTTTAAAAGGATATAGATTTTCATGTGCAAACTAAGAGATATATTCTGGAAAAGTGCAAACTATATAGTTTTCATAGGGCATTTTCCTGCATTCACTTTGATCAAATAACCAGCAGCCCAAGTCTTTACTCTCTGTTTTTATACTTCTTTTAGCATCCTCACTTTATAAATGAGGTAAACTGAGGCTCAGAGGGATTAAGTGACTCATTTCAGGTCCCACAGCTAGTAAATGATATAGAATCCCGAGGATTCCAAGCTAAGATTTCTGATTCTCTTTACCCATTTGTAGCCTTTTCAGATGTATATTTCACCAAAGCATGTTTAGGTTTATTTGTTAGTTTAACATAGGTGGCTTAAGACTGAAACTTTCTAACATTAAGAGAGTCTGAATCCCTGTTAGAAAAACCAGACATGTATTTATGAAATTCTAAGCAAATTATGTGTCTCTGGGAGAAACCGGTAGATCACAATTGGCAAAGGAAGTCTAAACCAGTCTCTCTTAATTATGTTACCAAGAGTTGCTTTCTGTGTATAGGTCATTAGTTCGATTTAAGCATTAGTGTGTGCAAAGGGTGTGTTTCTGTGTGTGTGTATTAGAGGTGTCCATGGGATACACAAATAAGCTTCAATATAGAGCAGGATAAAGCCAAAGAATAAGTACATTGTATACAACAGAACAACTAGAGTGTTCTGTAGCTTTGAAAAACATTGTGGCCAAACAAAATGTTCTGCCAGGGGCAACATGGGCTAGGTCTCTATCATCCGAATATGAATGGGTCATATTTTCAGGTTCTGTTGGCCTTTGAGGCCCAACCTAACACACTATGTTCTTGTGTAGCTGAGTTGCCCAACAAAACCAATGGTTGCATTTGAAGATCAAGAAAGAAAAAGTTAACTTTCATTCCCTTTCTCAGAACTGTACCTTCTTTAGAGAAATCCTTAGTCCTCAACAAGTGCCTCTAAAGAGAATAAAATGAAGCGTGCTTCTTCTGAGAAGCTATAGCATTTTGAAAGCTTATTTTCAATTGGATGAGGGTTTCATTACAACCATGTAATAGTAACTACTGTTAATTGAATGTGCAGGTACAATACAGATGTCATCTAATTTAACCACCAAGAAAGGCTCATGACAAAGGCAGCATTTGTCATATTTTCAGATTCAGAAACTGGGGTTTAAATATTTTAAGTAATTTGATCAAAAAGAACCTGTGGAAAATGATGGAGCTTTCTGACCACAAAGCCTTAGCCACTATGCTATATTGCTTCTCAATTTTACACTAGGGAAAGGCTAAATTATCCACACAGGATAGATGGTAGTTAG